>NC_000001.11:113190198-113493228 GCF_000001405.40 Homo sapiens | reverse complement strand
TTTCTGGGTTCTCTAATCCATTCCATTGGTCTATCTGTCTGCTTTTGTAGCAGTATCATGCTGTTTTGGTTACTGTAGCCCTGTAGTACGGTTTTAAGTCAGGTAGCATAATGCCTCCAGCTTTGTTCTTTTTGATTAGGATCACCTTGGCTATTTGGGCTCTTTTTTGGTTCCATATGAATTTTAAAATAGTTTTTTCTAGTTCTGTGAAAAATGTAAATGGTAGTATAACAGGAATAGCATTGAATCTATACAATGCTTTGGGCAGTATGGCCATTTTAGCAATATTCTTCCTATCCATGAGCATAAAATGTTTTTCCATTTGTTTGTGTCATCTCTGATTTCTTTAACCAATATTTTGTAGTTCTCCTCATAGAGATCTTTCATCTCCCTGGTTAGCTGTATTTCTAGGTATTTATTCTTTTTGTGGCAATTGTGAATGGGATTACATTCCTGATTTGGTTCTCAGCTGGACTGTTGTTGGTATATAAGAAAGATTGATATTTACACATTGATTTTGTATCCTGAGACCTTGCTGAATTTGTGTATCAGCTGGAGGAGCTTTTGGGCTGGGACTGGGGTGTTTTCTAGGTATACGATTATGTCATCTGCAAAAAGAGATAATTTAACTTCCTCTCCTCCTATATGGATGCTCTGTCTTTCTCTTGCCTCATTGCCCTGACCAGGACTTTCAAAACTATGTTGAAAACGAGTGGTATTCTTTTCCAAGAGAATGGAAAAAGGATGCCAAGAGAGGGCATCTTTTTCTTGTGCAAGTTTTCAAGGGGAATGCTTCCAGCTTTTGCCCATTCAGTATGATGTTCACTATGGGTTTGTCATAGATGGCTCTCACTATTTTGAGGTATGTTCCTTTGATACCTAGTTTATTGAGAGTTTTTAACATGAAGTAGTATTGAATTTTATTGAGAGCCTTTTGTGCACCTGTTCAGATAATCATGTGGATTTTGTCTTTAGTTGTGTTTATGTGATAAATCACATTTATTGATTTGCATATGTTACACCAACCTTGCATCTCAGGGATAAAACCTACTTGATCATGGTGGATAAGCTTTTTGATGTTATGCTGGATTTGATTTGCCAGTATTTCCTTGAGGATTTCTGCTTCAGTGTTCATCAAGGATATTGGCCTAAAGTTTTCTTTTTTTGTTGTGTCTCTGCTAGGTTTTGGTCAGGATGATGCTGGCCTCATAGAATGAGTTAGAGAGGAGTTCCTCCTCCTTAACTTCATTGGAATAGTTTCAGTAGGAATGGTATCAACTCTTCTTTGTACATCTGGTAGAATTCAGCTGTGAATCTGTCTAGTCCTGGGCTCTTTTTGGTTGGTAGGCTATTTATTACTGAATCAATTTCAGAGCTTGTTATTTGTCTGTTCAGGGATTCAATTTCTTGCTGGTTCAGTTTTGAGAGGGTATATGGGTCCAGGAAATTATCCATTTTCTTCCAGATTTTCTAGTTTATGTTCACAGAGGTGTTCATAATATTCTCTGATGGTTATTTATATTTTCATGGGGTCACTGGTAATATCACCCTTGTCATTTCTGATCATTTATTTCAATTTCCTCTTTCCTTCTTTATTAGCCTAGCTAATGGTCTATTTTATTAATTTCTTCAAAAAACCAGCTCCTGGATTCACTGATCTTTTGAATGGTTTTTCATGTCTCCATATCCTTCAGTTCGCTCTAATTTTGGTTATTTCTTGTTTCCTGCTAGCTTTGGGATTTCTTTGCTCTTATTTCACTAGTTCTCTTAGTTGTGATTTAGGTTGTCAAGCTGAGACCTTTCCAACTTTTTCATGTGGGCATTTAGTGCTATAAATCTCCCTCTTAACACTGCCTTGGCTGTATCCCACAGATTCTGGTATGTTGTCTCTTTGTTCTCATTAGTTTCAAAGAACTTCTTTTATTTCTGCCTTAATTTCATTATTTATCCAAGAGTTTATTCAGGAGCAGGTTATCCAATTGCCATGTAATTGTATGGTTCTGAGTGAATTTCTTAGTCTTGATTTCTAATTTGTGCTGTGGTCCAAGATATTGTTCGTTATGATTTCAGTTCTTTTGCATTTACTGAGGAGTGTTTTACTTCCACTTATGTGATCAATTTTAGAGTATGTTCCATGTGACAATGATAAGAATGTATATTCTGTTTTTTTGGGGTGGAGAGTTCTGTGGATGTTGATCAGGTCCATTTGATCCTGTGCTGAGTTCAGGTCCTGAATATCTTTGTTAATTTTCTGGCTCAATTATCTAACATTGTCAGTGGGGTATTAAACTTTCCCACTATTATTGTGTGGGAATCTGTCTTTGAAGGTCTCTAAGAACTTGCTTTATGAATCTGAGTGATCCTGTGTTGGGTGTATATACGTATATTTAGGATATAGCACTTCTTGTTGAATTGAACCCTTTATCATTATGTAATGCCCTTCTTTGTCTTTTCTGATCTTTCTGATCTTTGTTGGTTTAAAGTCTGTTGTGTGTGAAACTAGGATTGCAACCCCTGCTTTTTTCTGTTTTCCATTTGCTTGATAGATTTTTCTCCATCCCTTTATTTTGAGCCTATGTATGTCACTCCGTGTGAGACTGGTCTCTTGAAGACAGCATACCAATGGGTCTGATTCTTTATCCAGCTAGCCACTCTCTGCCTTTTAATTGGGGCATTTAGCTCATTACATTCAAGGTTAGTATTAGTATGTTTGGATCTGACACTGTCACAGACCCTGGTTATTTTTCAGACTTGTTATGTAGTTGCCTTACAATGTCACTGGTCTGTGTACTTCAGTGTGTTTTGTAGTGGCTGGTAACAGTCTTTCCTTTCCATATTTAGTGATTCTTTCAGGGGCTCTTGTAAGGCAGGTCTGGTAGTAATGAATTCTCTCAGCATTTGCTTGTCTGAAAAGGATCTTATTTCTCTTTCACTTATGAAGCTTAGTTTGGCTGTATATGAAATTCTGGGTTGGGATTTCTTTTAAGAATGTTGAACATTGGCATCCAATCTCTTCTGGCTTATAAGGTTTCTGCTGAGGGGTCTGTTAGTCTGATGGGCTTCCCTTTGTAGGTGACCTGACCTTTCTCTCTAGCTTCTTTTAACATTTTTTTCATTCATTTTGACCTTGGAGAATCTGATGAGTATGTATCTTGGGGATGATCTTCTTTGTGAAGTATTTTACTTGGGTTCTCTGCAATCCTTGAATTTGAATGTTGTCCTCTCTAGGTAGGTTGGGGAAGTTCTCATGGATGATATCCTGAAATATGTTTTCCAAGTTGGTTCCATTCTCCCCATCTCTTTCAGGAACACCAATGAGTCATAAATTTGGTCTCTTTACATAATTCCATATTTCTTGGAGGTTTTGTTCCTTCCTTTTCATTCTTTTGCCTCTATTCTTATCTGTCTTATTTCAGAAAGCCAGTCTTCTAGCTCTGAGATTCCTTCCTCTGCTTGGTCTATTCTGCTATTAATGGTTGCAATTGCATTATGAAATTCTTGTAGTGTGTTTTTCAGCTCTGTTGGGTTGTAACCTTCTTTTCTATACTAGCTATTTTGTCTATCAGCTTCTGCATTGTTTTATCCTGATTTTTAGCTTCCTTGGATTGGGTTTCAACATACTCGTGTATCTCAATGAGCTTTGTTCCTATCCACATTCTGAATCTTATTTCTGTGATTTCAACCATCTTAGCCTGGTTCAGAATCCTTGCTGGAACGGAGATGTGACCATTTGGAGGAAAGAAGGTACTCTGGCTTTTTGAGTTGTCAGGGTTCTTGTGCTGATTCTTTCTCATCTTTGTGGGCTTATCCTCCTTCAATCTTTGAGGTTGCTGACCTTTGGGTGTTTGTTTTTTCCTTTTATTCTATTTGATGACCATAAGAGTTTGACTGTGGTATAGGTGAATTCAGCAGACTGGCTTCATTTCTGGAAGGTGTTAGAGGGCCACTGCTCAGCTCTCAACTCCAGGACTGTGTGCTCTAACTCTGGCGGACTTGCATTGGCTCTTTGTTCTCTGGCTCCTCGAGGTTAGAAATCCACTGTGCTGGGGTCGGGGGGGGCCTAAGGTGTTCCCAGACCGCTGGTCACTACACTCTGATAGGTGGTGTGAATGAAAGCATTTCATAGTGCAATGACAGCAGGATCCATCCTCATTTGCATGTGCCAGCAGCAGTGGTAGCAGCAGCTGTGGCAGAGTGCTAGTAGGTGCCAGGATGCCTGTCTCCATGTGGGTGTTCACCAGAGTAGTGAAGGGAATGCAGCTGGAGCAGGGCGCAGGGGGCCCCTGCTGGTGACTGTGCGCACAGTCATGCTAGAAATGGTGTTGGCTCAGGGGTGGGGTACTGGCAGGTGCAGGTCTGGGTGCCTTCTCTGTGCCCTGCAAGCAGGAGTTGTCACTCAGGGCTGGGGAGGATCTGCTGTTCTCTGTGCCTAGTTTGACTCCCACAGCAGTGTTAGTGCAAGGGCAGGCTGCTGGTTGGAGAAGGCTGGCTGTGTCTGCCAAGGCTCTGCCTGCAATGGCAGTTGGTGGGTGGAGGGGGTCGGACTGCACTCCCTCACACTGGTGTGGCAAAGGAAAGCAAAACTCACCCACACAGATACATGCCAGCTGAGTAAGTTGCCATGGGTTAGGGGAAACTGCAACATAGGGAGGGAGTATGCAGGCTGGTTCATGCCCACAGAAACCACCCTGCTGAAACTCTCCACTGATCACCCATGGTCTACCAGTACAGAAGCTATAATGCAGGCCCCCCAGGGCACCTGAGGCTGCCCTGCAAGCAGGAATGGGGCCTGGGAGGGGTCAGCAGACCAAGGGGCGCTCAGGTTGGACCTGCCTCATCTGATGGGCAAGACCATCCTGCAGAGTTGAGGACTGACAGTTCCCCTAGCACTAAAGACTCCTATAGGAGCAAGTTGAGCCTATGGGGATGGCTGTCCCTGGCCATGCACCACTACAGATGTTCCTGCACCAAACCCTTTGGGATCCACATCAGCTGGCTTGATGCTTCTACCACTTCTCTGAGCATATACAGAATAATCTTTCCAAATAGTCAATGAAACACTAAATTTTCTAAACTAGATGTAATGAAAAGCGTAAATAATTTAATAACGGTAAGTTAAAATAGTAGTAAAAAAAAGCAAGAAAAAAATCATGTAAAATATTTGGTGTATTAAATTGTCAGGATAAAAAATTAAGGAAGATCCTTCCAAGAGATCTTGGAACAAGTTTGTTCTCTATCATAACTTTACCATTTCTACAGTTGCTTGTTCCTACAAAGAATTAATTATTTTGTTAAACAATAGAAAAATGTTTTAGTAAATCATGCCACAACTACTCAATATAATATTATGCTGCCAATAAAATTGCTTGCAAAAGTGTGGTACTAAAGTGAAAAAAAATTATTTTATCAACTAATTTGAAGCAGAATGCAACATCAAATATAAGCATGCACACAATATAGAAAAAATGAAAAAAAAAACAGATGTCAATAGGTATTATCTATGAATGAGGTGGCTATAGATGACATTTTTCTTTTTAATTTCTACTTTACTACACTTAAATTTGTTATAATGTATTATTTTCAATAAAAATTTCAATAATTTTTACTTGCAATATATCACAAACATAAGTATTTCCCTATTTTTGGTTAATCTAATTGAATTATGCATACCTCATGCTTATTAATACATTTATGCCTAGTGTTCCATTACTGGAACACTAAGCTTGTGGGAGTTATTTTTATCCTACTGCTCAAGGTTATCACCAAGATCTGATTTTTCACAAAAAAAAATTTGCAACTTCTGGCATAAATGGGTTAATACAATTAATTCCAGTTAAAATTATTGTATACACAGGAAAATTATAGTAGAGACCCTGGATTTCTGTTAACAAGTATTTACAATCCAATGAAGCTTATCTGTTCTATTCTTACCACCCAGCCAAGTTTCTTCTGTCTCTGAATTTTCACTGCACTTTGTTAAAATATTTCTTACAAGTCTTCATATACAGTTTACTTTCATGCATTTATTTGTAAATAAGTTCTTAATTCCCTTGAATTCTTGGTGATCAAGGATTATCCACATTTCCTAGAGCACCCAATACAATGTTACATATTTAATAGTTTAAATATCTGTTAAATTATTGAAAGCCATAGAATTTTAGAGTTAAAAGAAAACTTGACAAGAAACCTTCCCCTAATTCGTACCTCAAGACTTTGTAGGCTGGGGGCAGTGGCTGATGCCTGTAATCCTAGCACTTTGGAAAGTCAAGGCAGGAGTATTGCTTGAGGCCAAGAGTTTGCAACCAGCCTGGGCAACATAGCAAGACCCTGTTGCCACACACAAAAAAATTAAAAATTAGCCATGTGGTGGCACAACATAGCAAGATCCTGTCTCCACGAAAAAATAAAAAATAAAGCCACGTGGTGGCACATGACTGTAGTCCTAGCCACTCAGGAGGCTGGGATGGGAGGATCACTCAAGCCCAGGAGGTCAGGTTTATAGTGAGCTATGATCATGCCATTGCACTCTAGATTGGGTGAAATCGCAAGGCCCTGTCTCAAAAAAAAAAAAAAAAAAGACTTTGAAGACCCCCTATTTTTGTCTTCACAAGAAAGTATATAAACTATAAGAAAACATCAAAATATACATAGTAAGTCCTCACACCATTTAAAGATAGTTTTTATGCCCAAAAATATATTGAAAATTCACAGCTTGACTGAGAATCAAATCAAGAACTCAACCCCTTTCACAATAGCTGCAAAACAAACAAACAAACAAACTTAGGAATATACCTAACCAAGGAGGTAAAAGACCTCTACAAGGAAAACTACAAAACACTGCTGAAGGAAATCACAGATGACAAAAACAAATGGAAACACATCCCATGCTCATGGATGAGTAGAATCAATATTGTGAAAATGACCATACGGCCAAAAGAAAAGCAATCTACAAATTCAATGCAATTCCCAATATCAAACTGGAATTGCAATTCTCAATATCAATGCAGTATCAAAATACCACCATCATTCTTCACAGAACCATAAAAAACAATCCTAAAATTCATATGGAACCAAAAAAGAGCCCGCATAGCCAAAGCAAGACTAAGCAAAAAGAACAAATCTGGAGGCATCACATTACCTGACTTCAAACTACACTATAAGGCCATAGTCATTAAAACAGCATGGTACTGGTATAAAAATAGGCACAAAGACCAATGGAACAGAATAGAGAACCCAGAAATAAAGCCAAATATTTAAAGCCAACTGATCTTTGACAAAGCAAACAAAAACACACAGTAGGGAAAAGACACCCTATTCAACAAATAGTGCCAGGGTAATTGGCAAGTCAGATGTAGAAAAATGAAACTGAATACTCATCTCTCACCTTATACAGAAATCAACTCAAGATGGATCAAACACTTAAATCTAAAACCTGAAATCATAAAGATTCTAGAAGATAACATTGGAAAAACCCTTCTAGACATTGGCTTAAGCAAAGACTTCATGACTAAGAACCCGAAAGCAAATGCGACAAAAACAAATATAAGTAGATGAAACTTAATCAAACTATAAAGCTTCTGCGAAGCAAAAGAAATAATCAGCAGAGTTAATTGACAACCCACAGAGTGAGAGAAAGTCTTCACAGTCTATACATCTGGTAAAGGACTAATATCCAGAATCTACAAATAAACAAATTAGCAAGAAAAAAAACCAAGCAAACAATTCCATCAAAAAAAAGTGGGCTAAGGACATGAATAGATAACTCTCAGAAGAAGATATACAAACGGCCAACAAGCATATGGAAAAATGTTCAACATCACTAAGCATCAGGGAAATGCAAATCAAAACCACAACGTGACATCACTTCATTCCTGAAAGAATGGCCATAATCAAAAAAATCAAAAAATAATAGATGTTGGCATGGATACAGTGAAAAAGGAGCACTTTTACATTGTTGGTGGGAATGCAAACAATCACTATGGAAACGAGTGTGAAGATTCCTTAAAGAACTAAAAGTAGATCTACCATTTGATCCAGCAATCCCACTACTAGGTATCTATCCAGAGGAAAAGAAGTCATTATAAGAAAAAGATACTTGCACATGCATGTTTATAGCGCACAATTTGCAGTTGCAGAAATATGGAACCAGCCCAAATGCCCATCACAATGAGTGGATAAAGAAAATATGGTATATATGGGTTAGGCGTGGTGGTTCACACCTGTAATCCCAGCACTTTGGGAGGCCAAAGCCGGCAGATCACAAGGTCAAGAGATCAAGACCACCCTGGCCAACATGGTGAAACCCCATCTCTACTAAAAATACAAAACCAAAAAAAATTAGCTGGGCGTGGTGGCGCACACCTGTAGTCCCAGCTACCTGGGAGGCTGAGGCCAAAGAATTGCTTGAACCCGGGACACAGAGGTTGCAGGGAGACAAGATCATGCTGCTGCACTCCAGCCTGGTGAGAGAGCAAGGCTCTGTGGAAGGGAAGGGAAGGGAAGGGAAGGGAAGGGAGGGGAGGGGAGGGGAGGGGAGGGGAGGGGAGGGGATGGGAAGGGAGGGGAGGGGAGGGGAGGGGAGGGAAGGGAAGGGAGAAAGGTAGGTATATATATATATAATAGAACACTGCTCAGCCATAAAAAATAATGAAATAATGGTATTTGCAACAACCTGGATGGAACTGGAGACTATTATTCTAAGTGAAGTAACCCAGGAATGGAAAACGAAACATCGTATGTTCTCACTCATATGTGGGAGCTAAGCTATGAGGATACAAAGGCATAAGAATGATATATTGAACTTTGGGGACTGGAGGTAAAGGGTGAGGGGTGGCAAGGGATAAATGACTACACACTGGGTACAGTGTACACTGCTTGGGTGATGGGTGCACTAAAATCTCAGAAATCACCACTAAAGAACTTATTCATGTAATCAAACACCACCTATTCCCCCAAAAATCTACTGAAATAAAAAAATTTAGAAAATAAAACAAAAATTCACAGCTTGAATTCAATCTGGATTAGAATCATACTTCAGGATATTCATTTAAAATTTGCCACAGTTTCCCATATGGTAAATCATCTTTAAAACTCCAGATTTTTCAAAGTGATTTTCAATTTTTCAAAGTAATTATGCCCTTTTAGAATCATTTGCTATTTCTAAATCTGAAAACTGGAGAAACTTGCATATGAACGATATGATACATAATATTGTATCAATGTTAAACTTCCTAAATGGGATACATGCTAAAATATTTGGAGGTAAAATATCTGCAACTCACTCTCAAATGGGTCAGGGAAGAAAACAGATAAACACACACACACACACACACACAATCACATTAGAGAGAAAAAGTACAAGTGTGCTTTTGCAGCAAAATAATAATTAAGACACACTGGTACTATTGTACTGTATTGTTCTATTCTTGCAACTCTTCCGACGTGTGAAATTTTTCACAATAAAAGTTGGAGAAAAATAAACAAATCCAAACCACCTCATCCTGCCTCAACAATATTCATTTCATACCTTTAGATCTTTTAGATCTAAACAACAGAGCTTTGAGGCACCGGTACTTTTATTTAATAGCACAATAAAATTTAAACATCTCTGTCTTAGTCTGGGCTACTATAACGGAATACCACAGGTTGGGTTGCTTAAACAGAAACTTATTTTTCACAATTACGGGGGAAACTTTAAAATCAGTACCAGCATGGTCACATTTGGTGATGACTCTTGCTGGTTTGCTGTCTTCCTGCTGTGCCCTCACAAGCCAGAGGACAGAGAGAGAAATCAAACTCTCTTGGGTCTCTCTTTATAATGGCACTAAGCCCATCATGAGGGCTTTACCCTCATTACCTGATTACCTCCCAAAGCCTCAATCCCCAGATATCATCATATTGGGGATTAGGTTTCAACATAGGGATTGTGGGGAGACACAAACATTCAGTCCACAGCAACCTCTAAAAAGAAAGAGCATCAAAAGTCAGTTACTACGGATAGATCCCATATGTAAATATCAGCACCACTTTGCATTCATATCAAAATGGCATTCACATATGTTAAAATGTTGAGGCATGTTCAAATTTTCCAGTAATCTTTTAAAAGGTAAGAAAAGGATCTGCATGGGTACATTGGCTCACATCTGTAATCCCAGTATTTTGGGAAGCCAAAGTGGGTGGATCTCTTGAGCTCAGAAGTTCGAAAACAGAAAGTGGCAATATGGTAAAACCCTATCTCTACAAAATACACAAAAAAACTAGTTGGGCATGGTAGTGCATGCCTGTGGTCCCAGCTACTCAGGAGGCTGAGGTGGGAGGATGGCTTGAGCCCAGGAGGTTGAGGCTGCAGTGAGCCAAGATCATGCCACTGCATTCCAACCTGGGCAACAGAGAGAGATCCTGTCTCAAAAAAAAAAAGGGGGATCTTAGATATTGCTTCTGATGTTAACAAAGCAATTCCAAAGGGCATCATGCCTTTAACCCTACTGTCAATTCACAAATATACTTACATTTTCCATAAAAAATTATTAGATTTAGTCAGAAAATAAGATCTCCAGTGGTTAAAAAAAAAAAAAAAAAAAAAAGTAGGTTGAGGTCTGGTGCAGTGGCTCACACTTTCAAGCCCAGCACTTTGGAAGGCTGAGGCAAGAGGATTGCTTGAGCTTAGGAGTTCAACACCAGCCTGGGCAACATAGTGAGACCTCGCCTCTATGAAAAATAAAAAAATTAGCCAGGTGTGGTGATGCATACCTGTAGTCCCAGCTACTTAGGAGACTGAGGTGGATCAAGGATCACTTGAGCCTGGCAGATTGAGGCTGTGGCAGCCTGAGTTATAGAGTGAGACCCTATCTCAATGAAAAAAAAAATAGGCTGAACAAACTGAATTAAATAGGAAACTCTCAAATATCTTAATAACTAAGACAACTATCAAAAGACTACCGGATGACTTACATGTGTATAAAAGGGAAACTAAGACCCTCAAAAGTTCAACATCATAACAGCCATCACCATCACCATCAACAGTAAAGTCTCTCTCTCCTGTCTTCTGAGTATCACAATTAAGGAAATAATTAGAAAATTGGAATACTGTGAGTTAGATAAAACTCACAGTTTTTATCTTATAGTTATAATCTTAAATATTTAAATTTAATTTTATATTAAGTTTATTACATAAATTAATGATTATTACATAGTTTAAGTTTGTTTCTTCCTGAATGCTGAACTATGTTTCATGGGATTACAATCATATTGAAAGAGATGAAAAAAAAAAGAGAGAATGAAAGAGAAATGAGAAAGAGCTTGTCTAAACCTTGAGCAGGGAAATGAGTTTTCCCCTAATATCTCCAGAAAGGAATATAGTCCTGTGACATCTTGACTTTGGCCCCATGAGATCCATGTTGGACTTCTGACATGCAGAACCATAATTTAAGAAATTTGTGTTGTTCAAGTCACTGAATGTGTGGTGATTTGTTACAGCATCAACTAAAAACAAATACAAAAATAGAATTAAGTTTATTATGCAGTTGTTTATGGGATTGCATGGTAAACACTGGCTTTGATCTGAAAAAAATAGAATGAGCAATTTGGGTTACAAGATTTAGAAATTTGCCAATAGTAATAACAAATTCATGCCACCAGTTACAGTTGCACTAAATTAAAGAATTAAAAATCAAGACAGAAGCTTGCTTCTCTTTTTCAAAAAAGAAAAAAAAACAAAGGTAAAAATCTACAACCCTAATTAGTTCAAAGCTACAAGCTTTATATATATAGTGAATTAGATAGCTAACATAATTGAATGTAGTAACTCTGGTGAAATTCATCCATTTGTTTCTGTCAATGTATAGTGTTCATTATTTTAGAATAAAACCTTTACCTGAACAATCAAAATATAAGAAAATAGATTTAGACAGTGAACTACAAAGGCGGACCTAACTAGGTTTATAAGATTTGGGGTATAAAAGAAATAGAAGTCATGCTAAAAAGTATTTCTGAATCCTCATGTAATCTTTGCTGAGATGCATAATTCTAGAAAAGCAATATGCATTACTAAATGGCAGGAAATTTTTGAAGAAAACTAGGAAAATTAGGAACAAAACAAAAAGCAAGCAAGCCTTTAAAAAGAATGCTTCTAGAAAAGGAAAGAAGAGAGATGCATAGTATAAGTAATATGGATGTAGTGATAATATGAAACAGGAATCTGTAGGCTTTCCAATTCTGACTTTATTAAATAGTAGTATATTGAGAATCAAGTCCCTTCTTCTGGCTTTTGTGGACCAGGTCCTTCTGACTATCCTTCCAAATTCAAATAAAATAGCTAAACACATCTGTGCTTCTTAGGATGATAAAAGGTTTCCTACTGGCGGATTCAAAAGTCACACTAGAGTGCCATCAGTAAGATGGCAGAATAGGAGTTTCCAGCCCTTGTCCCCTCATAGAAACATCAATTTGAACAACAATCCATGCACAAAAAAAAACTTTCACAAGACCTGAGGAATCCAGGTGAGAAAGTATAGCACCTCAGTGAAGCATGGAAATAAGAAGGCACACTGAAGACGGTAAGGACAGTTTCACATTACCTGTATCATTCATTCCTACCCTGCACAGCACAGTGTAAAGAGAAATACCCTTTGTATGGGGCAAGAAGAGTAACGTGAGCACATGACTTCACCACAGACCTTAGCACCAGGTCAATGTCTATAGCCCCAGGCTCCAGGTCCACTCCTACAGAGCTAACATCCAGGTCAACCCCTGTGGACCCAGATTCCAGGGCCATTCCACTGCCACGTCAGCTCTCATGGCCCCAGGCTCCTGGCCTGCCCCTGTGGACCCAGGCACTCGGCCAGACAGCCCTTAACTGTAGAACTCCCCCCAGTACCAGGCCAGCCCCCACAGACCCAGGCACTAGGCAAGCCCTCCCTATAGGCCCTGCAAAATGGCCTAACCAGAATCTGTAAATAGTTGACTGTTGCAGGGCATTCCCTGCCAAAGCTAGTCAGTAAAGACTGGAAGAGGTGCCTACTTCTTCAAATGGGCAGATACTAATGCAAGGCAACAAAGATCATGAATCATCAGGGAAATATGACACCACAAAGGCACAAAATGAAGCACCACTAAATGACCCTAAAGAAATACAGATCTACAAATTACCTGACAAGGAATTCAAAACAAACATCTTAATGAAGCTCAGTGAGCTACAAGAGAATCCAGATAGAAAATTAAATGAAGTCAGGAAAACAATGCATGAACAAAATAAAAAAAATCAAAAAAGAAATAGAAACCACAAAAAAGAAACAAACAGAAATTCTGGAACTGAAGAATACAATGAATGAACTGAAAAATTCCATAGAGAGCTTTCGACAGCACACTTGATCAAGCAGAAAGAAGAACCAGCAAGCTGTAAGATGGTTCATTTAAAATTACCCAGTCAGAGGAACAAAAAGCAAAGGGAGTTAAAAAGAGTGAAGATAGTCTATGGCACTTATGGAGTATCAAAAGAACCAATATATGTATTACAGAAATAAAAGAGAAAGAGAAGGGGCATAAAGTTTATTTAAAGAAATAATGATGAAAACCACCCCAAATCTGGAAGAAAAAAATGAACATCCAAATCCATGAAGCCCAAAGAACCTGAAATAGATTAATAATAAAGAGATCTTTACCAAGACACATTTTAATCAAATTCTCAAATGTCAAAGACAAGGAGAGAATTTTGAAAGCAGCAAATGACTAGTCACATACAAGGGAACGATTTTAAGACCATGAGTATATTTCTCAGCAGAAACTTTGCATGCCAGGAGAGAATGAGATGACATATTTAAAGTACAGGAAGAAGAGGAAGGGAGGGGCATTCCAAGATGGCCGAATAGGAACAGCTCTGGTCTGCAGCTCCCAACGTGATCAACGCAGAAGACGGGTGATTTCTGCATTTCCAACTGAGGTACGTGGTTCATCCCATTGGGACTGGTGGAACAATGGGTGCAGCCCATGGAGAGTGAGCCAAAGGAGGGCGAGACGTCACCTCACCTGGGAAGCGCAAGGGATCAGGGGATTTCCCTTTCCTAGCCAAGGGAAGCCATGACAGACTACCTAGAAAAACAGGACACTCCCGCCCAAATACTGTGCTTTTCCCAAGGTCTTAGCAACCGGGAGACAAGGTGATTCTCTCCCATGCCTGGCTTGGCAGCTCCCACGCCCACAGAGCCTTGCTCACTGCTAGCACAGCAGTCTGAGATTGATCTGAGAGACTGCAGCCTGGCTGGGGGAGGGGCATCTGCCATTGCTGAGGCTTGAGTAGGTAAACAAAGCGGCTTGGGGAAGCTTGAACTAGGTGAAGCCCACCACAGCTCAACAAGGCCTACTGCCTCTAGACTCCACCTCTGTGAGCAGGGCATAGCTGAATAAAAGGCAGCAGAAAACGTCTGCAGACTTAAATGTCCCTGTCTGACAGCTCTGAAGAGAGCAGTGGTTCTCCCAGCACAGCATTTGAGCTCTGAGAACAGACAGACTGCCTCCTCAAGTGGGTCCCTGATCCCTGCGTAGCCTAACTGGGAGACACCTCCCAGTAGGGGCCGACAGCCACCTCATATAGACAGCTGACCCTCTGGGACGAAGCTTCCAGAGGAAGGATCAGGCAGCAATATTGGCTGTTGTGCAATATTTGCTGTTCTACAGCCTCCGCTGGTGATACCCAGGCAAACAGGGTCTAGAGTGGAACTCCAGCAAACTCCAACAGACCTGCAGCTGAGGGAACTGACTGTTAGAAGGAAAACTAACAGAAAGGAATAGCATCAACGTCAACAAAAAGGTCATCTACACCAAAACCCCATCTGTAGGTCACCAACATCAAAGACCAAAGGTAGATAAAACCACAAAAATGAGGAGAAACCAGAGTGGAAAAGCTGAAAATTCTAAAAATCAGAGCACCTCATCTCCTCCAAAGGTTTGCAGCTCCTCACCAGCAAATGAACAAAGCTGGACAGGGAATGATTTTGACAAGTTGACAAAAGTAGGCTTCAGAAGGTCGGTAATAACAAACTTCTCCAAGCTAAAGGAGGTTGTTCGAACCCATCACAAGGAAGCTAAAAACCTTGAAAAAAGATTAGATGAATGGCTAACTAGAATAAACAGTGTAGAGAAGACCTTAAATGACCTGATGGAGCTGAAAACCATGGCACGAGAACTTCGTGACGCCTGCACAAGCTGCATCAGCTAATTCAATCAAGTGGAATAAAGGGTATCAGTGATTGAAGGTCAAATTAATGAAATAAAGCAAGAAAACAAAGTTAGAGAAAAAAGAGTAAAAAGAAATGAACAAAGCCTCCAAGAAATATGGGACTATGTGAAAAGACCAAATCTACATTTGATTGGTGTACCTGAAAGTGATGGGGAGAATGGAACTAAGTTGGCAAACACTCTTCAGGATATTATCCAGGAGAACTTCCCCAACATAGCAAGGCAGGCCAACATTCAAATTCAGGAAATACAGAGAACGCCACAAAGATACTCCTCAAGAAGTGCAACCCCAAGACACATAATTGTCAGATGCATCAAGGTTGAAATGAAGGAAAAAGTGTTAAGGGCAGCCAGAGAGAAAGGTCGAGTTACCCACAAAGGGAAGCCCATCAGACTAACAGCAGATCTCTCAGCAGAAACCCTACAAGCCAAAAGACAGTGGGGGCCGATATTCAACATTCTTAAAGAAAAGAATTTTCAACCCAGAATTTCATATCCAGCCAAAATAAGCTTCATAAGTGAAGGAGAAATAAAATCCTATACAGACAAGCAAATGCTGAGAGATTTTGTCACCACCAGGCCTGCCTTACAAGAGCTCCTGAAGGAAGCACTAAACATGGAAAGAAACAACCACTACCAGCCACTGCAAAAACAGGCCAAATTGTAAAGACCATCGATGCTATAAAGAAACTGCATCAATTAACAGGCAAAAAAACCAGCGAACATCATAATGACAGGATCAAATTCACACATAACAATATTAACCTTAAATGTAAATGGGCTAAATGCCCCAATTAAAAGACACAGAATGGCAAATTCGATAAAGAGTCAAGACCCATCAGTGTTCTGTATTCAGGAGACTCATCTCATGTGCAAAGATGCACACGGGCTCAAAATAAAGGGATGGAGGAAGATCTATCAAGCAAATGGAAAGCAAAAAAAAAAAAGCAGGGGTGCAACCCTAGTCTCTGATATAACAGACTTTAAACCAGCAAAGATCAAAAGACACAAAGAAGGCTATTACATAATGGTAAAGGGATCAATTCAACAAGAAGAGCAAACTATCCTAAATACATATGCACCCAATCCAGGAGAACCCAGATTCATAAAGCAAGTCCTTAAGAGACCTACAAAGAGACTTAGACTCCCACACAATAATAACGGGAGACTTTAACACCCCACTGTCAATATTAGAGAGATCAATGAGACAGAAGGTTAACAAGGATATCGAGGACCTGAACTCAGCTCTGCAACAAACAGACCTAATAGACATCTACAGAACTCTCCATCCCAAATCAACAGAATATACATTCTTGTTAGCACCACATCACACTTATTCTAAAACTGACCACATAATTGGAAGTAAAGCTCTCCTCAGCAAATGTAAAAGAACAGAAATCACAACAAACTGTCTCTCAAACCACAGCGAAATCAAATTAGAACTCAGGATTAAGAAACTCACTCAAAACTGCACAACTTCATGGAAACTGAACAACTTGCTCCTGAATGACTACTGGGTAAATAACAAAATGAAGGCAGAAAGAAAGATGTTCTTTGAAACCAATGAGAACAAAGATACAACTTACCAGAATCTCTGGGACACATTTAAAGCAGTGTGTAGAGGGAAATTTATAGCACTAAATGCCCACAAGAGAAAGCAGGAAAGATCTAAAATTGACACCCTAACATCACAATTAAAAGAACTAGAGAAGCAAGAGCAAACATATTGAAAAGCTAGCAGAAGGCAAGAAATAACTAAGATCAGAGCAGAAGTGAAAGAGATGGAGACACAAAAAACCCTTCAAAAAAATCAATGAATCTAGAAGCTGGTTTTTTGAAAAGATCAACAAAACTGATAGACTGCTAGCAAGACTAATAAAGAAAAAAAGAATCAAATAGATGCAATAAAAAGTGATAAAGGGGATATCACCACCGATCCCACAGAAATACAAACTACCATCAGAGAATACTACAAACACCTCTACGCAAATAAACTAGAAAATCTAGAAGAAATGGATAAATTCCTGGACACATACACCCTCCCAAGACTAAACCAGGAAGAAGGTGAATCTCTGAATAGACCAATAACAGACTCTGAAATTGAGGCAAAAATTAATAGCCTACCAACCAAAAAAAGTCCAGAATCAGAGGGATTCACAGCCGAATTCTACCAGAGGTACAAAGAGGAGCTGCTACCATTCCTTCTGAAACTATTCCAATCAATAGAAAAAGAGCAAATCCTCCCTAACTCATTTTATGAGGCCAGCATGATCCTAATACCAAAGCCTGGCAGAGACACAACAAAAAAAGAGAATTTTAGACCAATATCCCTGTATTGATGCGAAAATCCTCAATAAAATACTGACAAACTGAACCCAGCAGCACATGAAAAAGCTTATCCACAACGATCAAGTAAGCTTCATCCCTGGGATTCAAGGCTGGTTCAACATAAGCAAATCAATAAATGTAATCCATCACATAAACAGAACCAACGACAAAACCACATGATTATCTCAATAGATGAAGGCCTTCGACAAAATTCAACAGCCCTTCATGCTAAAAACTCTCAATAAATTAGGTATTCATGGAACGTATCTCAAAATAATAAGATCTATTTATAACAAACCCACAACCAATATCATACTGAATGGGGAAAAACTGGAAGTGTTCCCTTTGAAAACTGGCACAAGACAGGGATGCCCTCTCTCACCACTCCTATTCGACACAGTGTTGGAAGTTCTGGCTGGGGCAATCAGGCAAGAGAAAGAAATAAAGGGTATTCGGTTCAGAAATGAGGAAGTTAAATTGTCCCTCTTTGCAGATGACATGATTATATATTTAGAAAACCCCACTGTCTCAACCCAAAATCTTCTTAAGCTGATAAGCAACTTCAGCAAAGTCTCAGGATACAAAATCAATGTGCAAAAATCACAAGCATTCCTATACATCATTAACAGACAAACAGAGCCAAATCATGAGTGAACTCCCATTCACAATTGCTACAAAGAGAATAAAATACCTAGGAATCCAACCTACAAGGGATGTGAAGGACCTCTTCAAGGAGAACTACAAACCACTGCTCAAGGAAATAAAAGAGGACACAAACAAATGGAAGAATATTCCATGCTCATAGATAGGAAGAATCCATATTGTGAAAATGGCCATATTGCCCAAATAATTTATAGATTCAATGCCATCCCCATCAAGCTACCAATGACTTTCTTCACAGAATTGGAAAAAACTACTTTAAACTTCATATGGAACCAAAAAAGAGCCCACAGTACCAAGACAATCCTAAGCAAAAAGAACAAAGCTGGAGGCATCACGCTACCTGACTTAACCAAAACAGCATGGTACTGGTACCAAAACAGATATATAGACCAATGGAACAGAACAGAGCCCTCAGAAATAACACCACACATCCGCAACCATCGGATCTTTGACAAACCTGACAAAAACAAGAAATGGGGATAGGATTCCCTATGTAATAAATGGTGCTGGGAAAACTGGCTAGCCATATACAGAAAGCTGAAACTGGATCCCTTCCTTACACCTTATACAAAAATTAATTCAAGATGGATTAAAGACTTAAATGTTAGACCTAAAACCATAAAAACCCTAGAAGAAAACCTAGGCAATACCATTCATAACATAAGCATGGGTAAGGACTTCATGACTAAAACATCAAAAGCAATGGCAACAAAAGCCAAAATAGACAAATGGGATCTAATTAAACTAAAGAGCTTCTGCGTGGCAAAAGAAACTACCATCAGAGTGAACAGGCAACCTACAGAATGGGAGAAAATTTTTGCGATCTACCCATCTGACAAATGGCTAATATCCAGAATCTACAATGAACTCAAACAAATTTACAAGAAAAAAACAACCCCATCAAAAAGTGGGCAAAGGATAAGAACAGACACGTCTCAAAAGAAGACATCTATGCACCCAACAGACACATGAAAAAATGCTCATCATCACTGGTCATCAGAGAAATGCAAATCAAAATCACAGTGAGATACCATCTCACACCAGTTAGAATGGCAATCATTAAAAATTCAGGAAACAACAGATGGTGGAGAGGATGTGAAGAAATACGAATGCTTTTATACTGTAAGTGGGAATGTAAATTAGTTCAACCATTGTGGAAGACAGTGTGGCGATTCCTCAAGGATCTGGAACTAGAATTACCATTTGACTCAGCCATCCCATTACTGGGTATATACCCAAAGGATTATAAATCATGCTGCTATAAAGACACATGCACACATATGTTTATTGCAGTACTATTCACAATAGCAAAGACTTGGAACCAACCCAAATGTCCATCGATGATAGACTGGATCAAGAAAATGTGGCACATATACACCATGGAATACCATGCAGTCATAAAAAAAGGATGAGTTCATGTCCTTTGCAGGGACATGGATGAAGCTGGAAACCATCATTCTCAGCAAACTATCACAAGGACAGAAAACCAAACACTGCATGTTCTCACTCATAGGTGGGAATTGAACAATGAGATCACTTGGACACAGGGCAGAGAGCATCACAAACTGGGGCCTGTCAGGGGGTGGGGGGGCTGGGGGAGGGATAGCATTAGGAGAAATACCTAATGTAAATGATGAGTTAGTTGATCGGTGCAGCAAACCAACATGGCACATGTATACCTATGTATCAAACCTGCACGTTGTGCACATGTACTCTAGAACTTAAAGTATAATAAAAAAATAAATAAATAAAGTACTGGAAGAAAAAAAAATGTGTCAACCAAGAATACTATACCTAGCAAAGGTGTCCTTCAGAAATAAAGGAGAGATAAAGACTTTCCTAGAAAAACAAAAGCTGAGGGAGTTTGTAATCACTGAACCTGCCTTACAAGAAATGCTAAAGTGAGTTCTTCAACTTAAAATGAAAGAATGCTAATTGACAACATGAAAATACATGAATTTTAAAAAGTTACTATAAATTCAAATTCAGAATATGCTAATACCGTAATAGTGGTGTGTAAATCGCTTTCAACTCTACTATAAAAGTTTAAAATGTATTAAAACAACTTAGCTATAATAATTTGTTAATAGATATACAATACAAAAGATGTAAACTGTGACATCAATTACATAAAATGTGGTGGGAGCAAAAGTTAAAGTGTAAAGTTTTTGTAGGTATTTGAAGTCAAGTTGTTATCAGTTTAAAATAGACTGTTATAAGATGTATTCAGTAAGCCTCATGGTAAATACACACACACACACACACACACACAACTGTAGTAGATACACAATATCAGTAAGCCTCATGGTAAATACACACACACACATACACACACACACACACACCTGTAGTAGATACACAATAACATAAAGAAGAAGGAATCAGAGCATATCATTATTAAAAAAAAAACTATCAAATTCCAAAGGAAGGTAGAAAGAGAGGAGGAAACAAACTACAAAACATTCAGAAAAAAATTAACAAAACAGCAATGGTAAGTACTTACCTATCAACAATTATTTTAAATGTAAAGGGATTAAATTCTCCAACTAAAAGACAGAATGGTTGAAGGCTTAAAAAAACAAGATCTCCATCCTGGCTAACACGGTGAAACCCCATCTCTACTAAAAATACAAAAAATTAGCCGGGCGTGGTGGCAGGTGCCTGTAGTCCCAGCTACTTGGGAGGCTGAGGCGGGAGAATGGCGTGAACCCGGGAGGCGGAGCTTGCAGTGAGCCGAGATCGCGCCACTGCACTCCAGCCTGGGTGACAGAGCGAGACTCTGTCTCAAAAAAAAAAAAAAAACAAGATCTATCTATATGCTGCCTACAAGGAACTTTAGCTTTAAGCACACATACAGGCTGAAAGTGAAGAAATGGGAAAAGATATTCCAAGCAAATGGTAACTAAAAGAGAACAGAGGTAGCTATTCTTACGTCAGACAAAATAGACTTTCAGTCAAAAACTATCACAAGAGACAAAAGTCATTATGTAATAATAAAGGAGTCAATTCATCAAAAGGATATAACAACTGTAAAAATATATGCACCCAACATATGGACCAGAACATCTAAATATTAATAAACAAAGCACGTATTAACAGAAGTGAAAGGAGAAACAGCAATGCAATATAGTCATGAAGTGCATAATAATGTTTTAGTCAACAACAGACTACATATACAACAGTGGTCCCATAAGATTATAATGGAGCTGAAGAATTCCTATAGCCTAATGATGTTGTAGACATTGTAATACATTACTAAGGTGTTTGTGGTGATGCTGGTATAAAAAAAACCTAATGTATTGCCAGTCATATAAAAGTATAGCACATACAATTATATTCAGTAAATAATACTTGATAATGATAATAAAAACTATGTTACTGGTTTATGTATCTACTATATTATACTTTTATCATTGTTTTTAGAGTGTACTCCTTCTCCTTGTTAAAAAAAATGGTAACTGTAAAACAGCCTCAAGCAGGTCTTCCTGTAGTCTTTTTTGATGTAGGTGTTTACTGCTATGAACTTCCCTTTTAGAAAGGCTTCTGCTGCATCCCTTAAGTTTTGGTATGTTGTGTTTCCATTTTTCTTTACAATTTTTAAAAATTTTCATTTTGATTTCTCCATTGACCCACTGGTTGTTCAGGAGTATGTTGTTTAATTTCCACATATTTGTGAGTTTTTCAATTTTCTTCCTGTTAGTGATTCTAGGTTCATACCATTGTGGCTGAAAATATTTGATATGATTTCAATCTTCTTGAATTTGTTAAAACTTGTTTTGTGCCCTAACACATGATCCCTCCTGGAAAATGTTCCATGTGCTCTTCAAAAGAATGTATTTTCTGCTGTCAGCTGGAATGTTATTTATATATCTGGTAGGTCCATTTGGTCTGTAGTATTAGACCCTCATTTCAGACCATAAACAAAAACCAACTCAAATGGACTAAAGACGTAAATGTAAGACCTGTAAGATTACCAGAAGAAAACACAGGGAAAAGCTTTTTTACATTGGTCTGGGCAATGAGTTTTTTGGATATGATGCTCAAAGCACACACAACAAAAGCAAAAATGAACAAATAGCTTTGCATCAAACTAAAAGGCTATATACTATGGATTATTATTTGGCTTTTAAAAAGAAGAAATTCCTGTCATTTGAAACAACATGAATGAGCCTAGAGGGTATTATACTCAGTGAAATAAGCCTAGCATAGAAATACAAATACTCCATCTCACTTATATATGGAATATTTTCAAACTCAGAAGCAGAGAGTAGAATGGTGGTTGTAAGGGACTGAGTGAGATCAGGGGATGAGGAAATGGGGAGATGTTGTTTACAGGATTCTAAGTTTCAGTTATACAATGAATAAATTATAGAAATCTAATGGACAGCATGGTGACCATAGTTAATAATTCTGCATTGTAAACTTAAAATTTGCTAAGTGAGTAGATCTTAAATGTTCTCAATTTTTTTTTAATATAGTTACCATGTGAGGTGATGGCCACATTTGCAGATAGATGTGTCCACGTGATTAAGTTCTGGTCAATAGGTTATAGCATGAAGTGTTGTGTGTAACTGTGAAGTTTTCTAAACTTCATACTTTTTTGAAAGCTGCTTGCTTTCCACTTGTTTTTTTCCCCTTTTCCCACAAACTAGAATGCGAATGTGGTGGTGGTGGCAATTCAGACTCATCTCTGCAGACATGCAACACCTTAGGGAATGGTAGAACAAGAGAGAAGAAACAAAACAAGGTCCCTGGATGGCAGTGTGAAACAGAGCTGCCCAATATTCAGAACTGCCTGTCAGCTCAGACTGAGCAAGCAAGAGAGAAAAAAAAAAAGACTATTTTCTGCATGCAACATGATAATGCCTACAGATAAATTCATTTTTCTACCTAGAATCCATCTCCAATCTTTTGATGGCATATTTTTTAAGCTAAGTTTTCCTGAATACCCTTACAAATGTGTGTGAATTAGCAAAAGGTATGCCACTACTGAAAAGAATCACGTAAACAGAAAAAACAGATAAACTTAGCATATATGGGAAATTGTGGCAGCATGTTAAAAATGAAAAAGAATACATCTTTTCCTTTGAACCTTATACCCTCCTGTTTTATAACTATTTATTTATAAAAGATTTATTCAGAATAATAACATACTGGATTTACAATTAGATATGAAATAAAACTTTCTGTGGGAAATGTTAACAGAAAGCTGAAGGGAAATAAACTTATATTCTTGCCTTTTTGCTTCATCCCAAAAAGTAAAGTATTATAAATCTATTACCAAGCAGAAATCTCTCCTATTAATAATATAAGAGATAAGTTGATTCTTGGGACCACTATATAAATAACCATTTCATTTTCCCAAAAGTCAAATGATAATTTTTCACTCATACACTACCAGTGGCAACACTTTCTTTATACTTTTCCCAGAGCTGAAAAAAATATTACTGGAAGTATAAACATAAAAGCTGATGCCGAACAGAAAAAAAAAAAGACTTTGCTTGCTGAACTTTAATAAATCTTAAAGCAATTAAAAGCAGATTGTAAGGCCTAAGTAAACTTTCTTCATTCCAGGAAAGCAAAAGAGGCATCAAAAAGTCCCCCAAGTCCAAAACTGCCCAGGATTCATTCATACACCTCCTTTCACAATTTTGAAAGTGATAATTATGGATGACCAAAATTACATGACATTTCTTTAGCATACTGGTTAAAGGTACAAACTACACAGCCAGACTGCCTGAATTCAAATTATTTCTATCACTTAATATTTCTGTGTCATTTTGTTACTTAATGTCCCTGTCTCTGTTTCCTGTAAATGAGGAATATTAATAGAATTTTGCTTACAGATGCTGTTATGAGAACTTAATTCTTCAATTATTAATAGAATTTGGCTCAAAACAAGTGCTATTACTCTTGTATTCCTAGATGTAGGTTTCTTCCTGTATGTGCAAGTGTGTTTATGTATGTATCTATCATATATATGCTTTAATTCAAAGCCTCAATTCTTCAAAAGGCTTATGGTCACAATTTCTAGAGACTATGTTATTCATTCAACAACTATTAAGTATCTACTATATTAAAGACACAGTAATAGTCAAGATTAAAATGAAAAGGGTCCTTCCCCATAAGGAGCTCACTGTCAGAATAGCACTGTCCTATAGAAATACGAGATCTACAAATGTGAGCCACATGTAGAATTTTAAATTTTCTAGTGGTTACATAAATATAAAATAAAATAGGTGAAATTATTTTAATAATTTATTTAACCAAATATATTCATATTACATCATTGCAATGGGTAATCAATAATTAAAATTATTGACGACAAATTCATTCTTTTTTATATCTTTGAAATTCAGCATGTGTTTTACACTTACGGCATATCTCAATGCAGATGCTACCGGAAAAACTCTGATCTACCCAATTCTTCCCTTCTTCACCTACTGGCACATGATAAAAGTGGTGAGCTGTCCTGTCCAATACAGTATCCACTCATCACGTGTGGCTACTTACATTTAACTTATATTAAATAAAATTAAAACTTCAGTTCTTTGTGATCTAAGATAAGTTGTCATCTCTTTAAAATACCTTGTTATAAGATGTTTTGTGTAAGCCTCATGGTGACCACAATGCAAAAAACCTGTAATAGATTCACCAAAAATAAAAAGCAATGAATTAAAACATTCTACCAAAGAAAATAACCACAAAGGAAGACAGTAAAAAAGGAAGAGAGGAATTACAAACAAGCAACAAAATGGTAGTACTAAGTCACTATATATTAATAATAACACTGAATGTAAATGAACTCAATTCTCCAATTAAAAGGCAAAGACTGGCTGAACAGATAAAGAAACAATTCAACTTTATGCCACCTATAAGAAACTTAGCACCTATAAAGAAACACAAAGACAGAAAGTGGAAGGGTGGAAAAGATATTTCATACAACTGGAAACCAAAATAGAACAAGAATAGCTATACTTATATCAGATACAATAAACTACAAATCAAAGACTATAAAAAGAGACAAGGTCACTACATAATGAGAAAGGTCATTTTAGCAAGAGGATATAGCAATTATAAATATTTATATACAACAGTGGAGCTCTGAAGTATATATGCAAATATTAATAGATCTAGAGGGAAAGATGGACTGCAATACAATAATAGGAGGGAGCCAGGTGTGATGGCTTATGCCTGCAATCTCAGCATGTTGGGAGGCCAGGACAGGAGGACTGCTTGAAGCCAGGAGGTCAAGACCAGCCTGGGCAACATAACAAGGCCCTGTCTCTACTTAAAAAGTTTAAAAATTAGCCATATGTGGTGGCATGCACCTGTAATCCCAGCTACTTGGGAGGCTGAGGCAGGAGGATCACTCGAACCCAGGAGGTTGAAGCTGCAGAGAGCTATGACCATACCACTGTGCTCCAGCCTGAGTGACAGAGTGAAACACTGTCTCTAAAAAGAAAAAATAGTAGGGAACTTTTAACACCCTACTCTCAGTAATAGATCATTCAGAGAGAAAACCAACAAAGAAACATCAGAGTTAAACTACACACTAGGTCTAACTAACAGAACATTTCACCAACACAAGCAGAATACATTCTTCTCATCAGCACATGGAACATTCTCCAGAAGAGACCATATCTTAGGCCACAAAACAACTCTGAACAAATTTAGAAAAGTAGAAATCATATCAAGTATCTTTTCTGACCACAATGTAATAAAACTAAAAATCAATAACAAGAGGAACCTCAGAAACTGCACAAACACATGGAAATTAAACAATATGCTCTGGAATGACCAAAGGATCAATGAAGAAATTAAGAAGAAAAAATTTTAAAATTTCTTGAAATAAATAAAATGGAAATACAACATAACAAAACGTATGGGATACAACAAAAGCAGTATTAAGAGGGAAGTTTATAGCAATAAACATCTATATCCAAAAAGTAGAAAGACTTCAAATAAACAACCTAATGATACATCTTAAGGGACTAGAAAAGCAAAAAGAAATCAAACCCAAAATTACTATAAGGAAACAAATAATAATGATTAGAGCAGAAATAAATGAAATTGAAACTTAAAAAACAATACAGAAGATCAATGAAACAAAAAGTTGGTTTTGTAAAAGATAAACAAAATTGACAAATCTTTAACTAGACTAAGAAAAAAAAGACCCAAATAAAATCAGAAATGAAAAGATGTAACAACTCAGACCACAGAAATAGAATCATTAGAGACTATATGCCAACAAATTGAAAAACCTACAAGAAATGAGTAAATTCTTGCACATATAAAACCTACCAATATTGACCCATGAAGAAACAGAAAACCTCAACAAACCAATAACAAGTAACACAATTGAAGCTGTAATCAAAAGTCTCCCATCAAAGAAAAGTGTGGAACCTTATGGCTCTATTGATGATTCTACCAACCATTTAAGGACAAACAAATATCAATTCTACTCAAAAAATTGAACCAGAGGGAATATATCCAAACTCCTTTTATGAGGCCAGCATTACCCTGATACCAAAAACAGATAAGGACACAACAAAAAAAGAAGACTACAGGCCAATATCACTGATGAACATAGATGCAAAAATCCTCAACAAAATACTAGCAAACCAAATTCACCAGCACATTAAAAAGATCATTCACCATGATTAAGTGGGATTCATCCCAGGGATGCAAAGATGGTTCAATGTATGCAAATCAATAAATGCGATAATTAACAGAACCAATACAAAAACCCTATGATTATTTCAACAGATTAAATAAGCATTTGATAAAATTCAACATCCCTTTATGATAAAATCCTCATCACAAAGGGTATAAAAGGAACATATCTCAAAATAATAAAGGCCATATATGACAAACTCCCAGCTAACACTGCACTCAAAGGTGAAATATTGAAGATCTTTCCTCTAAGATCTGAAACAAGACAAGGATATCCATTTTCACCACTTGTATACCACTTAATCTTGGAAGTCTTGGCCAAAGCAATTAGGCAAGAGAAATAAAGGACATACATTCAAGTTGGAAAAGAAGTCAAATTAGTCTTGTTTGCAGACAACATGATCTTATACTCAGAAAAACCTAAAGATTCTACCAAAAAAACTATTAGAACAGATAAACAAATTCAGTAAAATTGCAAAATACAAACTCAACATACAAAAATCAGTAGCCTTTATACCCACCAACAGCAAACAAAGTGAAAAAGAAATCAAGAAAGCAATCCCATCTACAATAGCTACAATGAATATAAAATCCTGGGAATCAACCAAAGAACTGAAAGATCTCTATGTTGAAAACTATGTAACACTGATGAAAGATACTGAAGAGGATGCCAAAAAAATTGAAAGATATTCCATGTTTATTGATTAGAAGAATTAATATTGTTACTATGTCCATACTACCCTAAGCAATCTATAGATTCAATGCTATTTCTAACAAAATACCAGTAACACTCTTCACAAAAATAGAAAAAAAAACTTAACATTTATATGGAATCACAAAAGACCCCAAATAGCCAAAGGAATGCTGGGCAAAAAGAATGAAGCTGGAAGGGTCACACTACATGACTTCAAACTTTACTACAAAGCTATAGTAACCAAATCAGCATGGTACTGGTATAAAAACAGACACATAGACCAATGGAACAGAATAAAGAACACAGATATAAATACAAGCATTTACAGCCAACTCATCTTCGACAAAGGTACCAAGAACATACAATGGGGAAAAGACAGTATTTTCAGTAGATGCTGCTGGGGAAACTGGATTAACCATATGCAGAAGAATGAAACTATACCACTATCTCTCACCAAACACAAAAATCAAAGCAAAATGGATAAAATACTTAAATCTAAGACCTCGAACAACTGAAGAAAAACTACTAGAAGAAAACACTGGGGAGATGCTCCAGGACACTGACCTGGGCCAAGATTTTCTGTGTAGGATGTCGAAAGCACAAGGCCACACAGCAAAAATAGACAAATGGGATTATATCAAGCTAAAAGCTCTGGACAGCAAAGGAAACAACCACAAAGCAAAGAGACAACCCACAGAATGAGAGAAAATCTTTGCAAATTATCCATATGACAAGGGATTAATAATCAGAATATTTATGGAGCGCAAACAACACAACAGCAAAAAGCCAAAGAATCTGATTTAAAAACGGGCAAAAGATCTAAACAGACATTCCCGAAAATAAAACATACAAATGGCCAACAGGTAAGTGAGCAAATGCTCCTTGTTAGTAATCATCAGAAAAATGCAAATAAAAACCACAATGAGATACCATCTCACCCTAGTTAAAATGCCTTTTATCAAAAAGACAGACAATAACAATGCTGGTGAGGATGGAAACAAAGGGGAACCCTTATACATTGTTGGTGGGAATGTAAATAAATACAATCACTACACAGAATAGTATAGAAGTTCCTGAAGAAATAAAAAATAGAACTACCATATGATCAAGCCATTCCACTACTGGGTATATATCCAAATGAAAGTAAACCAATATATCAAAGATATATCCGCACTCTCATGTTTATTGCAGCACTATTTACAACTGCCAAGATATAAATCAACCTAAGTGCTCATTAACAGATGAATGGATAAAGAAAATGTAGTATGTATACACAATGGAATAATGTTCAGCTACAAAAAAGAAGGAAATCCTGTCATTTGTAGCAATGTGGATGAAACGGGAGGTAATTATGTCAAGAAATAATCCAAGCAGTAAAAGACAAATATTGCTTGTTCTCACTCATATGTGGGAGCCAAAAAAGTGGATCTCATAAAGATACAGTAGATTGGTGGTTAACAGAGGCCAGGAAGTATATGGGCAAGGAAGAGATGAAGAGGAGTTGATTAATAGGTACAAATATATGGTTTGATAGAAGAAATAAGACCTACTCTTTGATAGATCAGTAGGGTGAGTAGGGTGACTATAACTTAATCTATTGTACATTTTGAAATAGCTAGCATAATTTGAATGTTTATAGCATAAAGAAAAGACAAATATTTAAGGTGATGAATATCCCAAGAACACTGATTTGATCTCTGTAAGTTATAGGAATATATTTTCACATGTACCCCTAAACTATGTACCTCTATTATACATCCATAAAAGAGAAAAGGAGAGAGAAGAATTCTGCTCTATTCTATACAGTATTAATGTGAGAGTATTAATGTCAAGCCTTAATATGTTAATTTAAGGTACCAATATCTCCCTGATTGACATCCCCAATTCCAGGTACTCTACCAATTCCTCTCAATCCTCTAAAGTGGGTTAAAAGAAACTCTCACCAAATACCATCTCTCCCCCGCCTTCACAGCAAAATTTATTGTAAAATTTGCCTCTATTGCTTATCTCTACTTCCTCATTTTAATCCATCACAAACAGGCTTTCAGCCTCATCACTTCAATGAAACAGCTCTCCTAAGGGTCATCAAAGATCCCTATTCTTAAAAAAGTCAATGATCAAACTTCTCTGACCTTACTTTTTTAAAAATTACTCTTATCTTTTGATCCAGTTGACTTCTCCCCACCTAAAACACTATTCTCCAAGTTATATCACAGGTTTCTACCTCACTGGTTGCACCCTCTCAGTATCTTTCTCCTAAATGAGATTTCTAAAATCTAGTGTGCCACAGGGCTCTATTCTTGGCCCTCTTCTCTTTCCATTTATCCTCTCTTTCCTGGGTGATCTCATCTAGATCCAAAGCTTCAAATGGTTGATGACTCTCAGACTGAAACCTCTAGTCTAGACCTCTCTTCTGAGGTTTAGATTTCTGGAGACAACCACTACTCTACATCTCCAATGGGATATTTAATACACACTTCAAACTTATCCCTTGGTATTATCTGGGACCACTAGACTGGAGATTTGTTTTTTAAATTTGTTTCTGGGCAGTTCTATTTGTAAGGATTGATATTTCATGAATTTATTCTTTCTTAGAGGTATTCAAGAGCAAACAGAACTCTTACTTGTTTTTAAAACACACTCATTTTGTCTTGCAATTACCATATGGGTCCATTGGACTCTTTCATAAATCTAAGATATATTACAGGGCCTCAGTGATCTTATTTTTCCTATACCTTAAATCTTTCGGTAATCCATCATCCTGAAAATTATTTCATCATTATTTATCAGTTATTCCCAACTATATTTTTAAAAATCTAAAATTGTAAGAATAATAGAATTGCCTAAAAGGATGCTGTACTACTATACCCTCCTTCAGTTTTCTTATTGCATTACTCAAAGTATTGCCTCATCTTTTGTTTTTCACCTTTTATTTTAGGTTTGGGGGTAGAAGTGAAGGTTTGTTACATAGGTAAACATGTGTCAAGGGGGTCTGTTGTACATATTATCTCATCACCCAGGTATTAAGCCCAGTTCCCAATAGTTATATTTTCTGCGCCTCTTGCTCCTTTCACCCTCCCCATCAAGTAGCCCCCAGTGTCTGTTGTTTTCTTCGTTTGTAGGTTCTTATCATTTAGCTCCCACTTGTAAGTGTGAACATGCAGTATTTGGTTTTCTGTTCCTGCATTAGTTTGTTAAGGATAATAGCCTCCAGCTCCATCCATGTTCTCACAAAAGACATGATTTCATTCTTTTATGGCTGCATAGTATTCCATGGTATTTAGGTGCCACATTTTCTTTATCCAATCTGTCACTGAGGGCATTTAGGTTGATTCCACATCTTTGCTATTGTGAATAGTGCTGCAATAAACATTCACATGGATGTGTCTTTACAGTAGAATGATTTATATTGGTCTGGGTATATACCCAGTAATGGGATTGCTGGGTCAAATGGCAGTTCTGCTTTTAGGTCTCTGAGGAATCATCATACAGCTTTCCACAATGCTTGAACTAACTTACACTCCCACCAACAGTGTATAAGTGTTTCCTTTTCTCTGCAATCTCACCAGCATGTTATTTTTTGACTAATGATAACCATTCTGACTGGTATGAGATGGTATCTCACTGTGATTTTAATTTGCATTTCTCTAATGATCAGTGATATTAAGATTTTTTTCATATGCTTGTTGGCCTCATGTATGTCTTCTTTTGGGAAGTGTCTGTTCATGTCCTTTGCCCACTTTTTAAATGGGGTTTTCTCCCCTAAATTTACTTAAGTTCTTTATAGATGCTGAATATTAGACCTTTGTCAGATGCATAGTTTGTAAATATTTTCTCCCATTCTGTAGATTGGCTGTTTATTCTGTTGATAGTTTCTTTTGCTATGCAGAAGCTCTTAAGTTTAATTAGATCTCACTTGTCAATTTTTGCTTTTGTTGTGATTGCTTTTGGTGTCTTTGTCATAAAATCTTTGCCGGTTCTATGTCCAGGATGGTATTGCCTTGGTTGTCTTCCAGGGTTTTTATAGTTTTGAATTTTACATTTAAGCCTTTGATCCATCTTGAGTTGATTTTTATATATGGTGCAAGGAAGGGATCCAGCTTCAATCTTCTGCATATGGCTAGCCAGTTATCCCAGCACCATTTATTGAATAGGGAGTCTTTTCCCCATTGCTTGTTTTTGTCAGCATTGTTGATGATCAGATGCGTGGCCTGATTTCTAGGCTCTCTCTTCTGTTCCATTGGTCTATGTGCCTGTTTTTGTACCTGTACCATGCTGTTCTGGTGACTGTAACCTTGTAGTATAGTTGGAAGTTGGGTAACATGATGCCTCTGGCACTTGTTCTTTTTGCTTAGGATTCCCTTGGCTATTCAGGCTCTTTTTTGGTTCCGTAAGGGTTTTAAACTAGTTTTTTCTAGTTCTGTGAATAATGCTGTTGGTAGTTTGATAGAAATAGCATTGAATCTGTACATTGCTTTAGGCAATATAGCCATTTTAATGATATGGGGTCTTCCTATCCATGAGCATGGAATGCTTTTCCATTTGTTTATGTCTTCTCTGATTTATTTGAGGAGTGTTTTGTAATTTTCATTGTAGAGATCTTTCACCTCCCTGGCTAGCTGTAGTCCCAGGTATTTTATTCTTTTTGTGGCAACTGGGAATTCGATTGCCTTTCTGATTTGGCTCTCAGTTTGGCTGTTGTTGGTGTATAGGAATGCTAGTAAATTTTTGTACATTGATTTTGTATCCTGCAACTTTGCTGAAGCTGTGTATCAGCTGGAGGAGTTTTCAAGCTGAGCCTATGGGGTTTTCTTTTTTTTTTTTCTTTGAGATGGAGTCTCGCTCTGTCACCCAGGCTTGAGTGCAGTGGCGCAATCTCAGTTCACTGCAAGCTCCGCCTCCTGGATTCATGCCATTCTCCTGCCTCAGCTTCCCAAGTAGCTGGGACTATAGGCACCCACCACCACGCCCGGCTAATTTTTTGTATTTTTAGTAGAGATGGGGTTTCACCATGTTAGCCAGGATGGTCTTGATCTCCTGACTTCATGATCCGCCCACCTCGGCCTCCCAAAGTGCTGGGATTACAGGCGTGAGCCACCGTGCCCGGCTGAGACTATTGGGTTTTCTAGATATACAATCATGTCATCTGCAAACAGAGAAGACTTCCTCTCTTCCTGTATGGGTGCCCTTTATTTCTCTCTCTTGCATGACTGCTCTGGTAAGGACTTCCAGTACTATGTTGAATTGAAGTGGTAAGACAGGACATCCTTGTCTCATGCCGGTTTTCAAGGGTAATGTTTCCAGCTTTTGCCCATTCAGTTCAATGTTGGCTGTGGGTTTGTCATAGATGGCTCTTATTATTTTGAGGTATGTTCCTTCAATACCTAGTTTATTGAGAGTTTTTTACATTAAGGGATGTTGAATTTTATTAAAAGTCTTTTCTGCATCTATTGAGATAATCATGTAGTTTTTGGTCTTTAGTTCTGTTTATGTGATGAATCACAATTACTGATTTGTGTATGTTGAACCAATCTTGCATCCCAGGGATGAAGCCTACTTGATCATGGTGGATTACCTTTTTTATGTGCTGTTGGATTCAGTTTGCAAGTATTCTGTTGAGGATTTGTACATCAATGTTCATCAAGGATACTGGCCTGAAGTTTTCTTTCTCTGTTGTGTCTCTGCCAGGTTTTGGTATCAAGATGATGCTGGCCTCATAGAATAAGTTGTGGAGGAGTCCTTTCTCTTCAGTTTTTTGGAATAGTTTCTGTAGGAATGGTGCCAGCTCTTGTTTGTACATCTGGTAGAATCTGGCTGTGAATCCATCAGGTCCCAGGCTTTTTTTGGTTGGTGGTATTGTCTCATCTTTTGAAAAGAAGGCTGGAAATCCTATCTTTGTATTTTTGAGGGTTTCAGTAAACACGGTTGAAAATTCAGAATATTTCATTTTCTACCCATAATGGCAAAGAGAAGAAAACTGACAAAGAAAGATATTTCACAGTTATTAGATGGTGAATGTAAAGAGGCAGGTAGTAGTGAAATCTCAGGTTATGAATCTTCAGATGATGATATCCTAGATAAATTTTCTGAAACTTAAGAAGGAATGAATGTACAATATGATTTTTAAGGACAAGAAGTACTTTTAGCCAGACAGTCATTCAACAGGAAACTTCATTGTGCAATATGTTACAAGATCCTAGACCATCCCATTTAGTTAAAAGAATATGTGGTAGTATTCATTGATCTTTTTATGATGTTTATGAAGCTAAATTTACTTGATGAAGTTCATAGGTAGACAAATGCTGATGATAAGTATCTATATAAAAAGTGTGGAGAAAAAATAACTGATGTAGAAATAACAAATTTCATTAAATCGATCATTCTCATTAGTTGATAAATCTAAAAAACAAAAATACTTTTCAATTGAAAGTGTTTATCCTTTCTTCAACAAAATCTTAGCCATCAAAGTTTTCAAAAATACTGCCTTTTGACAATAAAATGCAAAAACCAGAAGTAATGATAAACCCAGAACATATTAAGAGATTCATTTTAAATCTGGAAATCAGTATTTATATAATGTATATGTTACAGGTTTGTATATAGCAATTGATGATTATATTCAAAGGACTTTTTCTCATTTTGAATATGTATGTGTCTTCAAAACCAGGAACTTACAGGATAAAAAAAATTGGGTTTGCTATGGTTAAATTCTTATTAAAGTTTCTAATAAGGTTGTTTTTCATTGTTTACTTGTGTTAATTATTTATAAAATAACTTAGAAAATGAACAGGCACAGTGGCTCACACCTGTAATATCTGCACTTTGGGAGGCCAAGGCAGGAAGTTCACTTGAGCCCAGGAGTTCAAGGCTGCAGTGAGCTATAATTGTGCCACTGCATTCCAGCCTAGGCAACATAGTAAGACCTCGTATCCACAAAACAATAAAAAAATTTAAAACTAGCTGGGTGCAGTGGCACACTCTTGTAGTCCTAGCTGCTACCTGGGAGCCTGGGGTGGAAGGATTACTTGAGCCCAAGAGTTCAAGGCTGCAGGGAGCTATGATCATGCCACTGCATTCCAGTCTGGGCAACAGAGTGAGATACTGTCTCCAAAAAAATATAAAAGTAAAAAACATAAAAATTGAAAGTAAACAGGGTATAATGGATTCAGATGGCAAATGATAATAATGACTTCCGGGGGATACTGAGAGTTAACACAGCCAAAACAGAGAAAGTGCTCTCAACTCATAGCTTCACTTCCAATCTCAAGAGTTGCCCATTTCAGCAAACAGCATTCATTATACACTTTATTATTCAGATCAAAAAATTAGGGCCATCCTTGACTCTTTCTTTCATACCACTCCAATCCATCAGTCAAATTCTACTTGCTGCCCTGAATCTCCATTGCACCCACCTGGACCCAAGCCACCAGCACAAGCAACGATGTCCTACCTGGTCTTTCTACTTCCACTTTTGTTTTCTTCTTGTCTGTCTTCCACACAGATCATAAACATCTCACTTTGAAAAACAAACAAACAATCTAAAGGTTTTCCAACACATTTCCAAAAATCCAAACTCCTTCTTATGGCCCACAAGTTCCTACGTGACCTGGTTTTTGGCTACTTCTCCAGCATTACCTCTTCTTACTCTCCCACTTAGTTCACTGTTCTTCAGCCACATTGGCCTCCTTTCTGTCCCTGAATTTATTGTCACCACATAGTTCTTTATGCTGGGAAATGCTCTTAGAACAGGTGCCCTCATGGCTTCCTCTTCCTCATCCTTCATGACTCAATTCAAATGTCACCTTTTCAGCAAAGACTTCTTTGACTCCATCTAAAAAGCTCTTGCCATACAGTATGCCATTCATAATTGGTCAATACCTATTTTATCTTCTCTATATTTATCAGTATTATTTATAATTAAATTTATCTTATTTATACACAGCTTATTATCTATCTATCCCCTCTGCAATGTAATCCTCTTAAGAACAGAATATATCTTCTTCACCACTGCAATCCTACCACCAAGAACAGGAACTAGCACTTAAAAGGTACTCAAATATCGGTCATTTAATTGACAAAATCTATGAAAATTACCATATAGTCCTTGCTGAGGACAAGATGAGAAATGTACGGGGCAGCACATGACCTCCATTCTCCAACTTAATTCAGTATTTCTTATCGAATAAGACATAGAAATGTCTGCTTATCAACCTGTTACTGTCGTATAATCTCAAACACAAATTGACTTTCAGATTAATTGTAAGGGTCAAATGGGAAATTGTAGATTTGTAAAAAAGAGATAATGATGGCTCTGCCCTCCTCCAAATTCCTTTCCTGAAAGAAAAGTCTGTTTACAGATATCAAGCAAATGAAAACCTGCCAAATTTTGATCTCTTTCAACAATCATGTTGGTTTAATTCCACTGAAAAAAAGAAATATGACTCAGAACAATATAGGAGCCAGTCAGGCTCCTTCTCTTCCCCTGACTCATGACTGCGTACTAGCGAGCCAACTTTAAGCAAACACAACCTAGTAAAACACAAAGGAGCTTGGAAAGCCTTTGCATGAATCAGCTCAAAAACATGTGTATCCAACTCAACTCTCATATTAATTCATACCTATTCTTACTAATTCCAAAAGTTTTTAATTTTCTCTTTGGTTTCTAGATATAACCAATCGGCCTGCAAATAAATGGGAACTGTATCTCCTTTTTTCCAAAAGCCCTGCTTCTAATTTCTGTTATGTTTTATTGCATTGTCTAGAACTTGGAAAAAAAAAAAAAAGGCTGTATCCGCAAGCCTCTTTATTTTATCCTATTTTCATAGAAATGACTCTATCATTTCATTATATAGCAAGATACTGGGATATTGGTTTGGACAGAAATTCTTCTTTGTTTTTCTTTAACTGAAGAAGTCTTCATCCAAACCATTAAATACTTTTATAAAGAATGAATATTGAGTTTTATCAAACTCTTTTGTGGCATTAAGATCACCATGTGGTTTTTCATTTTTAATCTAATATTCACCTACTTTTTAAATTCAATGTATAACTTATGTTATGAAATGTTCTTTTAATATCCTGCTGAATCTGATTTGCTAGAATTTTATATTGACTTTTCCCATCCATATTCATGACTGAACTAGGTCTGTATTACTACTTTTTGGTACTTTATCAAATTTGAGATTGAAATAAAATGAACTGGATAGCTTTCTATATGTATATGGGTATGTTACAAAACAGTTGGATATAGAAAATTATTTCCTAGAAAGCTTACAAGAATGTGTCTGTGAAACAACTTAGGTTGTTTTTTATGTTTGAGAGGGAGAGAGAGAGAGGATGGGTTTCTAAATCTCACTATTAAAGAAAAAATGGGGCCGGGCGTGGTGGCTCACGCCTGTAATCCCAGCACTTTGGGAGGCTGAGGTGGGCGGATCACGAGGTCAGGAGATCAAGAACATCCTGGTTAACATGGTGAAATCCTGTCTCTACTAAAAATACAAAAAAAAAAAAAAAAAAAAATTAGCCGGGCGTGGTGGCGGGCGCCTGTAGTCCCAGCTACTCGGGAGGCTGAGGCAGGAGAATGGCGTGAACCCGGGAGGCAGAGCTTGCAATGAGCCGAGATCATGCCACTGCACTCCAGCCTGGGCGACAGAGCAAGACTCCATCTCCAAAAAAAAAAGAGAGAGAAAAAAGAAAAAACGGAAGAGGTTATTTGACTATGCAAGTCCTTATTTAATCAGAAAATACTGAGTACCTCTCTCTGTGCTAGGCAAGAATAAGCAAAACAGCCATCAATTCTACCATCAAAGAAATTATGATATACTTGGGGAGAAAGAGACATAAATACCCAGAAATAATTGTTAATAGTGTTAAGTATGAAAACAAAGTATAAGGAGCTATGAGAGCAGATGGCACAGGGACCCAAACCTAGTCTGTGAAGAGTAAGGTTCAGTTTCCCCATGACATGAAACTTGAGTAGAAATCTAAGGATTAATAGAAATTAAGTGTTCAAAACACACAAAACAAACAGGACGTGCAAAGGTCCTGGTGCAAAAGAGAACAGTATTAGATGAACAGAAAGAAGATCAATATGGCCAGAGTGCAGGAGCCCAAGGGAAAAGAATGCAAGGCCTGGATGGCAAGAAACAGGTCAGATCAGGGAGGACTGGAAGACAAGTTGAAAGTATCTATCTTTATCTTGAGAACAATGGGAAGCTATTTAGGGGAATTTCAAGCAGAAGAATGACATAATCACAGTCTTCTATTTCTCTAGCTGATTTTTATATCTGCTAGGAAATTTTAGATTTCATCAAGATTTCCAAATATATTACCACACAACTCTGCATAGCAGTCTCTCACACTATTTAGGATCTCTCCCTGATCCTCTTTTTAACTTTTTAAATGATTTCCCCCGTTCTTTTTCTTTTCCAATTAGATTTGCTGTAGGTACTCATATATTATTGGGATTTTTCAGAAAGTCCACTCTCGAATTTATCCTACTGTATTTCTATGTCATTTTTATTATTTCCTTCCTCCAGCTTATTTTTTTATTTCTACCCTGACCCACTATTTATCTTTTAATGAACAAGAGGTAATGCCCAGAACTATGACATCTATTCTGGACCACACATTAATTTTTCACGTATGCCTTCTCTGGTTCTACTTCTTGTTTATTCTGTACCTAATCTCCAATACTACATACTTCAGATTCATGTTTCTGGCTATATTTTCAACAATAATATCACTATTTCCCTTTTTCAAGGTTGATAAGGATGATGATGACTATCATTTACTGAGCATTTACTATACACCAGGCACTGTTGTAAGAACTTCACATGAATCCATTTAATTCTCATTGAAATTCTGTGTAATACAAGAACAGAAAACCAAATACCGCATGTTCTCACTCATAAGTGGGAGTTGAACAATGAGAACACATAGAGACAGGGAGGGGAACATCATACACCGGGGCCTGTCGAGGGATGGGGGGCTAGGGGAGGGATAGCATTAGGAGAAATACCTAATGTAGAGATGGGTTGATGGGTGCAGCAAACCACCATGACATGTATATACCTATGTAACAAACCTGCACATTCTGCACATGTATCCCAGAACTTAAAGTATAATAAAATAAATAAATAAAAGAAATTCTGTGTAATAGATACTAATCCCTATTTTATAATGAGGTAACTGAGACAAGAGAGGTAAGGTAATTTGCCCGAGGTCACACAGCTACTAAGTGAAATTAAAATGTACGGACAGGTCATACTTGTTAGCTTGACTCCAGAGAGTAAGCTGCACTGCCTCTTATGGGTAAAAAGTAGTTAGCCTTTCTTCTCTTGAACTGAATCAGGCTAAAGACTGAGCTAAGCTACCCCTAAAGGAAGAAGACCCTGAAAACTAATTTAAAACAAGCAAAATATGCATCCCAAATAATAATTATCAACCAAATGGCTTTTTCAGTTTTGTTATTTATAATTCTATTTGAATTTCATCTACATAAATGGCTTGCATAATTCCTGTTCTTACTCATTTAGTGGCATACTGTTAACCTAATAGAAGATCAGTTTTGGTAACTCTTCTAGAGATATCTGAGGTATATGCTCTGTTTTTTGAGAATAATGTTTAATATAGAAAAGGGTCAGCATAATTATATTATTTCCTATGCACCATTTCTTATCTACTTGCTATATTATGGACATAAAGTGGCATGCTAATACTTCCCACAAGGGGAAGCAGTAGATAGCATGATGGTTAAGTGCACCAGCTCTGAAATCAGATTGCGTGTTGCTCTCTTCTCATACTAATGTGTATATTTAGCTCCTTGACAACTCACTTCACCAAGTATTATTGTTTAAAGTCTTAGCCATAAAGGCCTATCATAGCTAATTATCCCTAAAGAAGAATACAGGCATCAGCCAAATCAAACAGAGCAGAAACTCCCCAAATGGGCTATCTCCACTATGTAAGGGCTAGCTCTACATTTCCTGTTTAAAACATGCAGCTGCCCACAGGCAAGCTAAATCAAACAGACTACTCCAATAGCAGTATGTCTTCACATTCTGTTTTACCAAGTTATGTTCATTCTCACTGCTTTTATGCCAATTTGTGATTATGCAATTTAATATTTAATTAAATATTATGAAATATGAGTACAAAAAGGGTGTTTCTATGAAAACAGATAAATGTTTTGGGAAAACACTGAAAGCTTTGGAAAGGTAAATCTCAAAATGTTAGAAAAGAAAAATTGTTATAAAAAATATAAAAATCGAGTAGGATTCCATACTCAGTTTGCTAAGCTCTTGTTCTACTTTATGGAAATTTGAATTGGAAACAGGAGACAAGCATTATATGTTGTTTATGCAAGAAAGATGACAGCAGTCTCCAGTCAGTATATGCTTTAAGTTAAAAATCAAATGCTCATGAAAATTTATATCAATTTATGTAATTCCCTATCTTAATTGTCATTTTCAATTAATCAACCATTGGCTCCACTTGTATCCTATACATACAAGAGAACACTAGGTGGCATTCAGGCTAGGCTGAGCTGGTCTGCTTTCCCATGAAGAACTTGTAACATATGTGCTTATATACTTATAAAGTATATCATGCAACTGCTTACTTATAAGGGTCTGACTTTTGCGTGCACAGTGGAATGTATCAATTTGCTGGTCAACTTATTAATTCCACTCTTGCTTGTTGATGGATAATCAAAGTAAGATTTCCTGCTATATTGCTTTGGGGATACTGAAGGAAGAAAAAACCTCTTTATTTCTTTGAGTAAAATTTCTTCACTGAGTCTTTCTAATCTTGGGTTTTCCTTTGTCATGTTTTCCTTGTTTCCCCCTCATCCTACTTTAATCTCCTTTTTGGCCTGTGCCACTTTGCTGAATGGGCAAATCACCCTAGAGGTTATTTAATCCTATTCAGGTCAACAGAGAAAAAAGTATACAAAACAACAACTGCATTTGTGGGGTTTTTTCCCACTATAAAATATTTTAAAGTAGTTGCTTCTAAGAGGCTGTCATAGATCAACCTTTATTGTCAGTGCAAACTCACAGTACTGCATTCCCATCATAACTTTTCTCAATAGATTATGAAAAGATATCAAATAAAAATTAAAATTTAAGGGAACAATGAGGCTTCAGTGTGTGTGTGTGTGTGTGTGTGTGTGTGTGTGTATGTCTATGCACATAAGTTAATCCAACAAAATTAACACATAAATACTTGGCTAAATCTGATGTCCTAATGGAGTAGTTACAGTGAAGTCCCATAGAGAGATCATCAATCTTTAGAACATAATTCAGACTAAAATTCTGCAATGAAGCAGCTTTCGGATCAAAACTCCAAAAATAAATGAATGCCAAATGACTTCACTGAACCTTAATCCTAAACAGAAGACCTTATGGCTACTACATACCTTGACTTACTAAAAATTACTTCCCCTTCCTGAAAGGGGAAATTGGGTGACATAAGCAAGGTCCTTTCTTTGCAGGAAAAAAACAAAAAGGAATCAACAGTTTGCCCTGCTTCTGCTCAGGAAAGAAAGATATTGTGATCTCTTGTTCTTTATTAAGCAAAGAATATCACTCCAGAGCAAAAAGTGGTCATTTCAGCATGTCTGTAAGCAGCACTTATAATGGAATGCTTCAGAATCCCTTTTGAGAGCTAAGGAAGTAATTGTGAAGAAACGTTTATTATCCATCCACCCTCATTTACCTAACCAGTTGGGTGATTGCCAATGGAAGGTGGGTAGACAGGAGAAAAAAGTAATGTGTACAGACACACTGCCATAGCAATTAACATCACATTTATTTCTACTACATGTTTACCTTTTCTAGAAAACATGTACAAAAATAGAAAAGACAATGTTGCAGAATAAAAACCACTGCACAGATGAAATTGTTAATAGTTGGGATTATTTTCTCTTCTTAATGCCGTGTTCCCCAGGGAAATATACATATAGTTGCTTGATCATACTACCCATTTCCACCTCCAAAAAAAAAATTCCCTCCTTAATTGATGTCTATTTCCTTATAAGGAACAAAAGTCTCAAAAATAACATTGTTCCAGCAATGATCTTCCTTAGGACATTTTCGAGAACACTTGGCATCAAAAAGTGAGTCTTATGGTGTACCATAAATGAGAAGGGTGATAAAACTGCATATGTAGGGAGTTTTAAAATATATAATATTGTGTACAATTTTAAAGATTTATAAATCTGCACAGTTTTGATTATTTTCTTTAACATATATAAATTATTAAAACAAATCCAAGATGATGAAGAGTATCTGAAGAAACCAGAGAAGAAAAATAGTCAACTATCTGTATACTCTCAAAGCTGTTTACGATGAGATCAATTTTACAGGTTAAAGCCTGTAATAAGCCTTATAGAAAGTTTATCAGTCCATTCTTCAAGCTAACATAATCCTGATAACAAACGGAGTAAGGATAGCTTCCTCTAATACACATGATGGACCAATTTCATTTATGCAGATATACTGAAAAATTTTTCTTTTGAAAAGTTAAAAATTCCTTTATTTTTCATTCCTGGTACCACTACCACAATTTACAGGGCAATATACTTGATGTAATGAAAAGAAAAAGAAAAAGACAAAGCTACAACAGATAAAAGACCTCAGGAATGTACATCTAATTGACACTACATTGCATTAATCAATAACTGCACTTTTTGCAAACTGTGGCTATGACAGTCCTGAACAAGAAGGGTTTCCTGTTTAAGCTGCAATAACTTTTCTGACTATGGATCATCGTTCCTTCTGTGGCAGATTTTTACAGTTCCTCTAATGCATTTGGGAGGACTGTCTCAAAGTAAGCTGCAGTTTTCCTGACAACTCCTCGCTCTCTCTCCTACTAAGAACTGTAGCCCTTTTCTGCTGTTTTTCGAACCTTCTGCTACCATATCCACCACTTCCACCACCAGATCCATAACCACCACCATAGGGACTGCCCGAGCTTCTTCCACCAGAACTGTCCCCTTTCACGGGTCCATAATTTGATTGCTGTTGTCCACTATAATTTCCAAAATCATTATAGTTCCCACCACCACCATAGTTACCACCGCCAAAATTTCCTCCTTCATTGTAACCATCATATCCTCCACCACCTCCACCATATCCACCACCTTGGTTTCCATATCCTGGTCCACCACCACCATAGCCCCCTCTACTACTATAACCAGGACCACACCATAGTTGCCACCATCACCTCCAAATCCATTATATCCACCATCACCTCCTCCATAACTACCTCTGCTGCCACCACCTCCACCACCATAGCTCCTCCACCACCTCCAAAGTTTCCTCCGCGACCCATAAAATTGCCAGATCCACCTCCACGACCTCTCTGTGATCCAGCAGACTGCATCTCTTGTTTAGAAAGGGCCTTTTTCACTTCACAATTATGCCCATTAATAGTGTGGTATTTCTGAACAACAATTTTATCAACTGTATCATGCTCATCAAAAGTTACAAAAGCAAATCCTCTTTTTCCCACTCTGCCTGTCTTCCGTAACTTCTATGGTTTCAATTTTGCCATACTTTTCAAAGAAGTCTCTCAAATTATATTCTTCTGTATCTTCTTTAATACCACCAACAAAAATTTTCTTCACTGTTAGATGGGCACCAGGCTTTACAGAATCCTCTCTAGAAACAGCTGTCTTTGGTTCCACTACACGCCCATCAACCTTGTGTGGTCAAGCACACATTGCTGCATCCACCTCTTCAACACAAGAATAAGTCACAAAACCAAAGCCCCTGGAACGTTTTGTTTGGGGGTCTCTCATTACCACACAATCTGTGAGTGTGCCCCATTTCTCAAAATGTTCTCTTAAACTATCATCTGTAGTTTCAAAGCTCAGACCACCAATAAACAGTTTTCTCAACTTCTCTGGTTCCTTTGGATCATGGCCCTCCATTTTGAGACCAGACTCGCCTCTTCCAACTCGAGTTCAATATCGATATACTGAAAAATTTTTTAATCAGCAAACTGAATGTTGATAATAAACTCAATCTATTGGGAAAAAAAAATGCACTTGCAGATAATTTATCCAGAATCTCCAGGATCTACTCTGTTCTGGATGGATGTCGTCTCCAACGGTCTGGAAATTTTAACCCCCAAATGTTAAAATGATGAAAAAATATAGATCCAGCCCCAAATCTTCTAAGTGAATTCATTTGTTTTTTCTTAATATTACATGATTTAAGGATTGAAGCCTCTCTCTCTGTCACACACACACACACACACACACACACACCATAAAAGTAATGCAACACTTATAAAGGATTTATTTGCTGCCTCAAAGTAAGACTAAACGAGGAAATTCACCACTCATGCATTATCTGCTATTCCACTGTGACGTCATTCTCATCAATTACGATCAGCAACTTCTTATCTATTTTGCTTAGACTAGGCATCTATGTCCTCATTAACTTTTTACTATCCAGCATATCACATTATTGCCCCCTGATATTGCAAAATATTCTTTTTTTTTTTTTTTTGAAATGAAGTTTTGCTCTTGTTGCCCAGGGGAGTGCAATAGCGTGATCTCGGCTCACCACAACCTCTGCCTCCCAGGTTCAAGCAATTTCCCTGCCTCAGCCTCTCAGGTAGCTGGGATTACAGGCATGCACCACCACGCTGGGCTAATTTTGTATTTTTAGTAGAGATGGGGTTTCTCTATGTTGGTCAGGCTGCTCTTGAACTCCCGACCTCAGGTGATCTGCCCACCTCGCCTCTCAAAGTGCTGGAATTACAGGCGTGATCCACTGTGCCCGGCCTCTTTTTTATGTTTTATTTTTTAGCAACTAATGTAACATTAAAAATGCATCGAGGGCCGGGTATGGTGGCTCATGCCTGTAATCCCAGCACTTTGGGAAGCCAAGGTGAGGTGGGAGGATAGCTTGAGCTCAGCCTGGGCAACATGGTGAGATCCCATCTCTTAAAAAAAAAAGGCATTTAGATCATAATACCATAAATCATTGCTTTAAAAGAAATTAGGGTTACCTACAGGAAGAAATCTCACTATTAATCTGAGGAGGCATGTCACAGCAACCAAAGAACTCTGATATTAGTTTATAGGACAAGAATGCAGAAATACTGCCACACACAAATTATTTATCAATTAAAAAACATTTCGTATCCAATATTTAACGGAATATCTGACAATTCTGCTCTTATACTGGTGATATAATGTGAAAGGAGAAGGGTAGGTTCAAATTTCCCAGTTACTTCAACTCCCAAACAGTAGCCTCAGTGAAGAAAGGATCTTTATTAGAATAATCATATTACTCCACTCAAAAGAGAAGGCCTATTCTAATATTATAACCTAAGCCTTGTTGTAACATACATCTTCAAGAAATATTTGAAGAGAATTAGTCAAATTAGCTGTACGTGCTCACATAGAAAGATCACCAAAAAGCCCAGATATGACTTTCAGCCTAGATAATTATTCTAGAAACTCTGATAGCCTCCACCATGTACCACTGCCTTGAAAGAAGCTTCTTGGCTCTAAGACGGGTTAAAGAAAATAATTAAAAGCATTATTTGCCCATTATTTACATCTGTCTACTTAAAATATAATGAATATTACCAAAATTAGAATAAGACATTCCTATCATAGCTTCAGCTTTTATTTTTAGTCATTTAGTGGTTGCCAGGGGCTAAGCAGAAAAGTAACTGCTAATGAATATGGGTTTCCTTTGGGGTGATAAAAATGTTCTGGAATTATATATTGATGATAGTTGCACAATTTTTTTTTTTTGAGACACAGTCTTGTTCTGTCACCCAGGCTGGAGTGCAGTGGCGTGATCTCGGCTCTACTGCAACGTCCGCCTCCCAGATTCAAGCAATTTTCCTGTCTCTGCCTCCCAAGTAGCTGGAATTACAGGCACATGCCACCATGCATGGCTAATTTTTGTATTTTTAGTAGAGACAGGATTTCACAATTTTGGCCAGGTTGGTCTCCAACTCCTGACCTCAGGTGATCCACCTGCCTCAGCCTCCCAAAGTGCTGGGATTATAGGCGTGAGCCACCGCTCCCAGCCGCACAATTTTTTTTTAATTTCCCAGTTTTATTGTGATTGCTATGTTTTTAATATTTATCCCCTCCCAAAGTTACGTTGAAGTTTAATTCCCATTGTAATTGTATTAAGAGGTGATACCTTTAAGAGGTGATTAGCCCATGAGGGCTGTGCCCTTATGAATGATTTAATGCTACTGTCTCAGAAGTAGGTTTCTCATAAAAAATGAATTTGATCCCCTTTCCTTTCCCTTGACCTCTCTTTGCCCTTTTGCCATGGGACAATGCAGCAAGAAGGCCCTTGCCAGATGCCAGTCCCTGACTTGGACTTCCCAGTTCTAAAACTGTGAGAAATATATTTCCATTCATTATAAATGACCTAATCTCAGGTTTTCTGTTACAGCAGCACAAAATAGACTGTCATAGTTGTAAAATACACATAACATAAAGTTAACATATTAATCATTTTTAAGTGTACAGTTCAGTAGTACTAAATACATTCACACCATCATGCAACCATCATCACTATTCAAAACATTTTTATTACACCAAAATGAAACTGTTTACCCATTAAATACTAATTCCGCATTCTATCCTCCACTGCACCCCTGGCAACCACCATACTACTTCCTGTCTCTATGATTTTTGACTACACTCTATACTGCATAAGTAGAACCATATAGTATTTGTCTTTCTGTGACAGACTTATCTCAGCATAATGTTCTGAAGATTCATCCATGTTGTGGCATATGTCAGATTTTAATTGTTGTGTCCTCTTGCTGTATTGAACCATTTATTAATATATAATGTCCTTCTTTGTCTCTTACAACATTTTGATTTAAAGCCTATTTTGTCTGATAACAGTATAGCCACTCTTGCTCTCTTTTGGTTACTATTGCATGGAGTATCTTTTTCAATCCTTTCACTTTCAATCTATTTGTGTCTCTGGATCTAAAGTGAGCCTCCTGTAGACAGGATATAAGTGAATCATGTTTTTCTAATCCATTCTGCCAATCTCTGTCTTTTGGTTGAAGAGTTTAACGCATTTAAGTTTAAAGCATTTATTGATATATACTTCTGTCATTTTGCTATTTGTTTTCTATATGCTTTATACATTTTTGTCCATCATTTCCTGCATTACTGCCTTCTTTGTATTTCACTGACTTTGTTGTAGTAAAATGTTTAAATTCCTTCCTTATTTCCTTTTGTGTATATTCTATAGCTATTTTCTTTGTGGTTACTATGGGGATTACATTTAACATGCTAAAGTTAAAACATTCTAATTTAAATTATTACCAGCTTAACTTCAACAACATACTAAAACTCTGCTCCCATAACAGCTCCATTTCCTCCCCTTTTGGCTGTTGATGTCACAAAATTATATCTTTAGACACTGTGTGGCCAAAAACAAAAACTAATAATTATTTTAAATGTGATAGTTTCTTAAATTATGTAGAAAAAAAATGTGGAGTTACAAACCAAAGTGACAATAATACTAGCTTTTGGACTAATGATTGTTTTTCTTAATGTATTACTCTTAAATCATGAAGAAAACAAAAAAAGTGGGGTTACAAACTGTTGTTACAATAATACTTGCTTTCATAATTACCCATGTATATACCTTTATTGAGATCTTTATTTTTTCATACAGCTGTGAGTTACTGTCTAGTCTTCTTTCATTACACTCTGCAGTACTCCCTTAAGCACTTCTTGCAGGACAGATCCAGTGGTAATGAAATCCCTCATCTTTTGTTTATCTGAGAATGTCTTAATTTATCCCTCACTTTGGTAGGACAGTTTTGCCAGACATAGAATTATTGGCTGATAGTTTATTTCTTTTAGTACTTTGAATATGCCAGCCGACAGCCTTTTGGCCTCCAAAGTTTCTGATGAGAAATCTGCCAATAATAATATTAAGGATCCCTGGTATGTGATAAGTTGCTTCTCTCACTGCTTTCAAGATTCTCTGTCATTCAAAAATATGATTTTTTAAGAGATAGGGTCTTGCTCTGTTGCCTAGGCTGGAGTGTGGTGGCATAATCACAGCAAACTCCTAGGCTCAAGCAATCTCTCATCTCAGCCTCCCAAGTATCCTGAGTAACTGGGACTACAGGTGCATGCCAACACACCTGACTCATTTTTTTTATTATTATTTTTTAGAGAGGTGGGTTCTCACTATGTTGCCCAGGCTGACCTTGAATTCCTGGCCTCAAATGATCCTCTCACCTCAGCCTCCTGAGTAGCTGGGACTGTAGGCACAAACCACCACACCTGGCTGTCAAAGTATGATTATGTGCCTTGGTGTGGGTCTCTTTGGGTTCACACTACTTGGAGTTCATTGAACTTTTTGGATGTTTATATTCATGTATTTCACCAGCTTTGAAAAGTTTTCAGCATTAAGCCTTCAAATATTCCCTCTTCCCCTTTCTCTCCCTCTTCTCCTTCTGGGACTCCAACAATGTTTATGTTGGTCCACTTGGTAGTGTCACACAGATTCCTTAAGCTCTGTTTATTTTTCTTCAGTATTTTTTCTTTCTGTTCCTCAGACTCAATAATTTCCATTATTCTCTCTTCAAGTTTGCTGATTCATTCTTCTGCCTGCTCAAATATGCCTTTAAATTCTGCTAATGGATTTTTCATTTTAATTATTGTATTTTCTAGCTCCAGAATTTCTTTTTGGTTTCTTTTTAGGTTTTCTGTTTATTGAGATTTCCACTTTGTTCATACATTATGTTCTTGACTTTCCCCACGTCTTCCTTTAGTTCCCTAAGCATCTTTAAGACAGTTGTTCAAAGTCTTTGTCAAGTAGATTTGACATGAGGTCTTTTTCAGGAAGAGTTTCTGTTGATTCAGTTTTTTCCTTGGAATGAGCCATACTTTTCTGTTTCTTTGTATGCCTTGTCATTTTTATGTTGAAAACTAGAATCTAATAATATGGTTACTCTGGAAATCAGATTCTCCTCTTTCCTCAGGGTTTGCTGGGTTTTGTTGTTATTTCTATTTATTGTTTTTGTCTTGATTGGTATTGTCTTTGTGCCAATGATCAGCCTGAAATGTAAACTTAAGGTTTTCCCAGGTCTTTTCCAAACCTGTGCCTTTCCCTGGGCATGCACAGTCACTTTCTAATTTTTCCTCACATATGCCATTGTTTTTGAATATTCTAGCCTTTCATGTCTGCTCCCAAAAAGAGAAAAATGAGGAGGTAAAGGTGCTAACCCTTTAAATCCCCTGGAATCACTTCAGCTGAAGGGGGAGGGGACTGCAACAATGGGGGTAGGTATACAACAAAGGCTGCCATCCTCTCTCTGCACCTCTGTGAGCAGAAATAGCAATCAGAGCACAGATCCCCAATATTTGGAGGACAAGGTGCTTTTTGCCCACTCTAGCTCCCATGAGCTGTGTGAAAACTGTTTCTGGAACACCTGTTGGCACAACTGCCTGCCATGGGGCTGGGGTAGTGGATGGGTAGCTGCTACCATGCGAAGAGCTGTAACTGACCAAAAATAACCACAATTAGATCCAAATCTTCTCCCTGGAAAGTGAAAGCCTTCAGTAGACTCCAGAGATCCAAAATAGTTATATCAGACAGATTCTGCCAGTGCAGTTGTTGTCTAGGTGAGGTAAGACCTTCTGATGCTTCCCACTCCGTCTTACCAAAATCCTCTTCTGATAGTTGCATAACTTTGTGAATACACTAAAAACCACTGAAATGCATACTATAAAAGGGTAAATTTTACCATATGTAAATTATACCTCAATTTTTACAAAATGAATAAATATATAAAACATATAGTCTGTCTGTAAGAAACTTGTTTTCATGATATAAACACTTTTCTTAAAAACAATGTCACAACAGGTAACCAACAATTTTTATCACATTTCAATGTATTAATCAAACTTTAGGTTAAAAGGGACTTTAAAAAGAAAAGTTGCAAACTAAAACAAAAACTACGGATGGGATTGTACCAGTTACTCACAATATTCCATTAGGGTAAGTAACGAATCATTGGTACATTCTAAGCATCATAAATGATCTTGGTTAAAGACTTATTTATACAAGGTAAAGATTATAAACTTTTAAAATAAGCTTTATAAACTTCTGATCAAGAGTAAAACTTCTAATGAGGAGTCGTCTGCTAATTTTTACTCTGTACCACAATAAATATCCAAAACCTAGTGTATGCTCTTGTTATTACTCAATTCCATTAATTCCCTTCTAGGAAAAAGAAAGTAATTCTAACCAAAACAAAGCTTCCTGCTAGTCTTCAAGAAGGTAGACATTACTATATTCTGTGCATTAAAAATTTTCAACTCTAATCAGAACTACTGGAACTCAGAACCATTGCACATAATAGCTTAACATCTTACTAATTCAAATTAACAGAACCAGCGGGCTGTATAAATTACTACTGTAAAATTATGTGTGAATTATTAATATATTAAAATAATGTTATTATTCCTACTAACAGAATAATTCGTTTTAATTTGAGCAAGGCATACTGAATTGCTAAGCCAAGAATCTGCCTAGGTCTATCTCATTAAGTCAACAACTATTAGCTGAGTAGTTACTATGTCCACAACATAGTGATGAATAAAAAGATGTTAGGCTCCACTCAAAGAATTTACAATATAATACAAGATGGAAATGCCCAGCTAATATAAACTGAGGGCAAATTATAAATTTTGAGGATCTTATACTTTAACATATATGTTATGAAGAAATCATTAAACAATCTAAACTATCTACTGTATCAGACAAAACTAGCAGCTGTGAGGCTAACATAATAGTCAAGATAAGGATGATGAAGAATCTAAACTAAGGCTATGGAGCCAGTTACAGTAGCTTGTAATCCCAGCAACTCGAGAGGCTGAGGTGGGAGGATCCCTTGAGCCCAGGAGTTTTATATATATATATGTATGATATATAATACATATATAAACTCACTGCTATGATCATTATATATACGATCATTGTATACATGACATATAATATGCCTGTACGTTATATATATATGAAATACATAATGATCATATATATATACACATATATATTTTTGAGAATGAAGACTCTAATGGGTTAACCAATTTTTTTTGCAAGTGACCTTGGTATGACTTATCCACAATAAAACCAATTCTTCAGTAACACATATGGTAGACTAGATACTGCCAATGTTTTAGGCTTAGAAAATGCTTTTAATTTTTTTTTATTTCCCCATGCTGTGTTCACTGCTTTACATATGTCTCTGACTGCCAAAGAATTGTTAACTAATCGGCATGAGATTCATTTTGTTAGTGCACAGCTGGGTACTTCCGTCATACAACATCTGCTTCTCAACATATCTTCTGCCTTTTCTTCATCTATCTCAAAACAGTTTCTAAAAGTTGTCACAGTAAAGTATATATATGCTCTCTCTCAAATATTTGGAAGCTGAACCTGATAATCATTATTATGTTTATTACTCTACTAAATTATAAGTGGCTTCTGAATGACTAAAAACCATCTAGTAAATCTAAGGATCTAGAAAATCTGGCATTAACATTGATTTGCTTGAGAAAACACTGGAAGAAAATTTTTAAAATACAAAAGTAAACAATTATTCGATTTGTAAAACAATTTAGTTAAGCCAAAGAATGAAATCATGCAATAATCAGATGTTAATTCTCTACACATATAGATCTCTAAGCTCTCTGAGTAAAGACCTAATGGAAAAATAACTGCTTCAACATGTAAATATTAAAAAGAAAATTAATACATATGAAGTACTCATAGGAAAGAACATACTTCATTCTGCAACCAAGACGAATCTTCCATGTTCTTAACTTTTTTATTATAGAGGGACTAATCAGGCAACTAATTATCCATGTCCTTAGCTTCTGCCTTTTTACTGGGGATGAGTGTGTATTACTCTAGCATCCTATCAAGGTACAGAATGGTAAAAACCCAAACATAGGTCATTCAACTCATGATTTAATATATTCTACTCTGAATGTTTGTTTTCAAATTGGTTGGCAGTCAAAGTATTTCCCTAAAGGAATCATATATAGTGGTATTTTATAGATCTCAGGCCAGTCCTCAAAAGCCAAAATGTAGTTGAACTAGAGAAGCAATAATAGTACACAACCCAAACATCCATTATACCAGTTTCTATGGCAAAATTCATCCCAGAACCCAAGCGAGCATTGGGTAACATATCCTCCCAATCACTGGCAACGCAGCAAGAGCTTCACAGTTCAGTTTTCCTCTTCTCTCCCAGTCAGCCCAAAATCAACAGGGTGAGAAGGCAGAAGGAGATCTAATAATTGTGGAAGGCTCCAATAATAGGAAGCTGAGGGGTAGAAGGCAGAACTATAGCAGATCCCTTTGTTTTCACTGAGTCTGGTAAGAGTGAAAGGGGAAATCCCAACATGAGATATTAGGGGTAGAAAAAGTGGCCTTAAGAATACTATCATCTTCCGGAAGTTGACATTGAAGCTATAGATCTCCAAAAAGAGCAGGAGACAAAAAACTATCAGAGGGACTCCAGCAATGTTAAGGGGTTTCTTTGTTATATATCTGGTAGTGGCGGTTGTCCACTTGGTTTTGTTGTTTGATGTGTGTGTCAGGAGGGTAGGAACAATCAGAAGTAACAGAAGCAGCATTTTTTTAAGCATTCTTAAGCTAATGAGATAAGAAAATGCCTGTAAAGCCAATTTTGTAAAATGTTAGCACTTAAATATAAGGACATAGCTGAGCTACTCTTAGTCTTTATGTGATATGGATTAAAACAATGCACAATGCTTACTTATTAACTGCTTCAGACTAATGAAATGATAAGCATACCTTGCAATGGTTTTCAGTGCTATGTCATCACATAGCATCATCATCACCACCACCACCAGAACTGTACAAGACACTTCTGTAACTTTATATGAGGGAGCAATGTGCTCATCCCTAGTAGAAGAATAATTGTTGATCTAATCACAATCAACTTGTTCTCCACTTTTCCAGTGTTTTTCACAGCTTAGATAATGGCAAGACTGGAGTTAGGAGAGCAGCTAAGCTATTACAGTAGTCCATGTAACCAATTCCAGCCAGTGAGATACAAAGGAAACATCTGGAAAGGGTTTTTTCTCTTCTAATAAAAGATATAGACACAGATGATACCATTCCTTTTTCTGCTTTAAATGTAACACCTGCAACTTCACAGATATCCTAAGACTATGAGAAAGAAAGAAAGAAACTTAAGTCATTGAAGACTATCTCCAAACTTTTTATTATGTGAAGCCATTTAAAAGTTTTTTTGCTAAGCCACTGTAAGCCACTGTAAGTTTTTCTGTTGCTTGTAGCTATGATAAGATCAACTACCTGTTGATCAACTTATCTGTTGATCAGATAAGATACAACTAGCATCTTATAAAGCATCTATCATGTGCCCAGCACTGCACAAAACCCTCTAATACATTATTTCATTTAATTCTCACAATAATCCTCTAAAGTAAATAATGATAACAACCACATTTTTTAAAGGGGGGAAACAGAGATTTATAGCGATTAAGACACTTGTCAACATTAGTTAAATGGTAAACTAGAACTCAAATCCAGGTCTGTATGATGTCCAAGTCCATGTTCTTTACATTACACAAGATCATATCATCAATTACACTAGTAGTAAAGAAACAGCACAGTAAAATGAAATAACCGGAGACCGTAGAGTCAAAACAGGCCTTGGTTCGAGTCCTGGCTCTAGTATTTAATAACTGGGGAAATTAATTAATTTCAGTTTTCTGAACTATAAGATGGAGATAATATGTAATAAAAATATATACTAATTATGATAGTATGTTCTTACAAAATTTATTGTGGCAATTGAATTTATTCCATTGTGTCTAAAACAACACAATTAAGCACATTCCCTGGCACATAAGAGACACTCAAACTTTAGTTTCCTTTCTCCTTTCCAGTCTAACAATTGAGTGTTCTGTCCAAATCATGAAGAGAGGTGAAATAATCCATTTATGTTCTCACGGAGCTCAAAGTCAAGGGAGGTGATAAAACACTACAGTATAGTCATCTTAAAGGCATACATCAGATGCTATAGGAGGAATACAGAAAAGGAGGAAGTGTAATAAACTGGCTTCAGGAAATAACCTCTGAGCAGGCTAAAAAGAGCTTGCCAGGTGATAAGAAAGGGAAGGGCAATAGCAGAAATATGCTCTCAGTAGAGGAAACAGTATGTGCAAAGGCACAGAGGGAAAAGAAATCTGGAAATACAGTAGTCCCTGCTTATCCATGATTTCGCTTACCAGTTTGTTATCCTGAAGTCAATATTGGTCCAAAAATATTAAATGGAAAATTCTAGAAATAATGCATAAATTTTAACTTGCACACTGCTCAGAGTAGCAATCTCGTGCTGTTCCACTCTATCCCACCCAGGATGTGAATTATCCCTTTGTCTGGCATGTCCATGCTGTATATGCTCCTCACTCATTAGTTACTTATTAGCTTGCTCTCTTATCAGATAAACTGTCACGGTATCACAGTGCCTGTGTTCAAGTAATCCTCATTTTATTTAATAATGGCCCCAAAGCTCAAGAATAGTGATGCTGGCAATTTGGATATGCCAAAGGGAAGCCATAAAGCACTTCCTCTTAAGTGAAAAGGTAAAAGTTCTCAACTTAACAAGGGAAAAAGAAATTGAATGCTGAGGCTGCCAAGACCTACAGTAACAATGAATATTCTATCTGTGAGATTGTGAAGAAGGAAAAAGATATTTGTACTAATTCTGCTACTGCACCTGATAGAGTTTAGATGTTTGTCCCCTCCAAATTTCATGTTGAAATGTGACCCTCAATGTGGGAGGTGGAACCTAGTGGGAGGTGATGAGTAACAAGTGAATTCTCACTGTATTAGTTTACGTAAGAGCTAGTTGCCTTAAAGAGGCTGGCAACTCTTGATCTCTCTCTCACCAGGCAACACACCTGCTCCCCCTTTGCCTTCCACCATAACTGAAAGTTTCCTGAGGTCCTCACCAGAAGCAGGTGCTGGTACCATGCTTGCTGTACAGCCTGCCTAACTGTGAACCAAATAAAGCCTCTTTCCTTTATAAATTACCCAGCCTCAGGTATTCGTTTATAGCAACACAAAATGGACTAATATAGCACCTCAAACTGCAAAAGTTACAGCCATAGTATGTGATAAGTGCTTAGTTAAGATGGAAAAGGCATTAAATTTATGGGTAGAAGATGTGAACAGAAACGTGTTCTGATTGCCAGCAATCGAATTCAGTATTATGCCCAGTTTCAGGCATCCAATGGGGGTCTTGGAACATATCCCCTCAGGATACAGGGGGACTACTGTATTTCAGGACTATAAGTAAATAGGAACAGTTGGAGCTAGTAATGGGGAGTGATAAGAGAAGGGGGCTTGTTGCTTAAGCCCATAAATTGGAGGCCAGCCTGGGCAACATAGCAACAACCTTGTCACCCCAGCCTCAAACAAAAAGATTGCTACATCAGTCTTGCAGAGCCAGGCACAGTGGCTCATGCCTGTAGTTCCAGCTACTCAGGAGGCTCAGGTGAGAGGGTCACTTGAGCACAGGAGTTCCAGACCAGCCTGCGCAACATAGAGAGATCCCTGTCTCTATATATTCAAAAAAGAAAAGAAGAAGGAGAAGGAGAAGGAGAAGGAGAAGGAGGAGAAGGAGAAGGAGAAGGAGAAGGAGAAGGAGAAGGAGAAGGAGAAGAAGAAGAAGAGGAAGAAGAAGAAGAAGAAGAAGAAGAAGAAGAAGAAGAAGAAGAAGAAGAAGAAGAAAAGAAGAAAGAAGAAGGAAGAAGAAGAAAGAAGGAAGAAGAAAGAAAAATGAAGAAGAAGAAGAGGAAAGGAAGAAGAAAGAAGGAGAAGGAGGAAGACGAGGAGGAAGGGGAAAAGGAAAAGGAGGAGGAGCATTAATTCTATAAGCTTTTGGACTGATAAGAGTAACTGATATATATAGTTTAAAAATAATGTATTATTCAATATATACAAAGATAGTAGAGAAATATTTTTGCCAGTGGGAAACACAGCTAAATAACTGAATGAAAAATTATTAAGTAATCCTTATTTATGTTCTACCTTCTTTCCCTTTCTATTATCTAGGGAGAAAAAAACTTAAAAACACAAATTACTTATAAGATAATGAGATGGGCAAGAAAGAAAAAAGGAGGAGAGTAAGGGTCTAGAAAAATAAAGACATTTAATTAGTTATGAATTACTGAATTAGTAATCAGTTTAAAAATAACATGTACTTGCTCTAATTCCAACTTTACTATTCTCATTTAACATTAATAGATAAAGATGAGTTTAGTTCCAAGCCTGTTTTGGAGGGGGAAGGGGAAAGAAAAGACTGAAAATAAATATTAAAACTTATAAAATATTAATATTAAATAAAAGTATGTAAAAACTAGGCTAAGCATGGGAGTGGGGCAGATAATCAAAGAAATAAAGGGAGATAAAAAATATTTTCCAGGCCGGGTGCGGTGGCTCATGCCTGTAATCCCAGCACTTTGGGAGGCCAAGGCAGGCGGATCACAAGCTCAGGAGATAGAGACCATCCTGGCTAACACGGTGAAACCCTGTCTCTACTAAAAATACAAAAAATTAGCTGGACGTGGTGGCACACGCCTGTAGTCCCAGCTACTCTGGAGGTGGAGGCAGGAGAATTGCCTGAACCTGGGAGGCAGAGGTTGCAGTGAGCCGAGATCAGTGCCACTGCACTCCAGCCTGGGCAACAGAGTGAGACTCCGTCTCAAAAAAAAAAAAAAAAAAAAGACTGTCTTTAAAATTTGGAAAAAAAGAAAACAGAATAACAGAATTGTAAGAGTAACTTCACTTTAATATAAGTTGTGCAGCTACAATTCCATTCTCCAAAGTGCTTTGACAGTATTAAAAAAAAATGATGTTTATTCATTAAAGGAGCACCAAAAGAGAAAAAAGAATCATTTTGCATCCTCCATGAACTATTAACATTACCCAGCTCAATGGTTAAATAATATCCTTTCCATTTTAATTAAATGAAAAAAATTAAACCCCAAATGTCCTAACTTTTGCTTTTTGAATACTTTAAACCTCCTTGCTGATCTACGGATTCATTTATTATTCACATTTAAATAAAAACACAGAATAAAATTCACTTAGGCATGTAAATATATGAGCTACTCTGTATCATCTCCATCATTCTTACAAACAAACTGCCCATTAGAGAAATCTTTGGTTTTTATCTCACTAATGTTTTCATGTCTTAATCTGGTCATCTATATACAAAATATATATATAGAGAGAGAGAGAAGGCAATTACATTATTTCACTCATGGAAAATTATTTCTTACAAAACACACTGGAATTGTAAAGAGAGATTAATTGTAAATTAATGGGAGAATGATTGTTATTCAGCCCTGTTCTGAATTATCAAATTATAACATCCCTATATCTGTAGTTAAGATAATTTATAATATGTTATAATTCTAACAATTATTCATCATTTTGAACTATTCAGGTATTAACTAATTCATCTGACATAACTTTCCTAAGATGCACATGTTTGTATTCATGTTTTTCAATAATCATTATTTCTAAATACTGAATTCAATCCTCACAAACTCACTGCAACAATATATGACACAAAGATTTAGAGTAATAAGCAGATGCTATAAGTACCTTTAAAAATCTTTCATTTATGAAAGAGCTACAGCCTCATGCTTTCAAATCAAAATATCAGAATATTATTTGCTAAATATATTTTATAGAATGGTCAAGCTGGATGCTAGAAAAGGTTAAGTTCCTTGCAGTTCTTTGCTGTCCCTTTTTCCACCTGATTTATACTCTAGTCTTTTGTAATATTTCAAATCTCACACAGAGATTTAAATATAAATTAAAGACATCCCTCCACATATCAGCTGTGTTGAATTCCTCTTCATAATACTAGCACCTTGCACATATGATAAGGACTGAAACACATTTATTAAATGGATGACTGGCTGAACCAAGAATGAATCAGTAAATAAATAAATGATGTGACTATGACATAACATATTAAGAAGAATCTTGCTATTAATTATTTTAAGGTAATAAACCACTTCTCTAAATTTTCCTTAATTTCATTTTTCAAAACACTTCAAGTAGGTTAGCAATTGTGAAACTGACACTTCCAAATTTGCACATTAATATTTTTAAGAGTAAAATGAAGAAGGAAAAGAGAAAGTAGGTATTGTGATCCACAATGAAAAAATTTACTTAGGCTGAGGGTCAAGAATTCATGTAGCCATTTAAAAGTCAGTCAAAAATAATCATCTTTGGTGAAATTCTATGAAATAGAAAACCAAAGAGGCTATTACTACAAACGAACGCTTATTAAGTGTCCACTATGTATTTGGCATTGTGCAAAACACTAAAATCTAATTTCCCGTGAGTAAAAGGAATTTAGAATTTCAACTCTGAATCTTAAAATACGTAAGACATACTGCTAACGGGGGACAAAAGTGAATAACCAAGAAAAGAGTTAACTACTAAGGAAAATAGTATATTAACTTAAACATACTTGGTATGTAAAACATACATATTGCATAACAACTAAATATGTAACTATAAAAATCAAAAGTGATGACTAAAGATAAAAATTTTGCAAGAATATAACATTAAAAGGCTCATGGATAAAAAATGGTTTGGGGCCAAAATGAAAAAACAAGGCCTTGCTAAAAAGCAGAATGATACTAAACTTGCTAAAAAGCAGTATGATTAAAAATACTGCACTTGCAGTAAGTTTCATGAATGCAAGAACCTTCCTTATCTGTTCTGTTTACTTCAGCACAGTGACTGAAACAGTAGGCATACAATAAATATTTGTTGAACAGCAAAAGATAAATAAGAAACTGATCCTTGTCTTCAAACACCTTACTTAGGAGATAAATTTTTAATCACAATTCAACATTAACCAGTGTTATAATACAGTGTGTTATAAAACATAGAGAGGCACAGAGGACAGAGGAGATTCTCTCAATAAAGAGAGCAGCTGTAAAAACTGAATGGTCTTGTTCCATCCCTTGAATTTGGGCTGACCTGATTTGTTTTATTCACAAATTATTTAGGGAATGCTTACTAAGTAAAAGGTGTTGTTCTAAGCACTGAAAATAGAGCAGTATAACTAGTACGCTTTTTGTGTGTGTGTGTGGTGGTGGTGGTGGAAATAAGGTCTCGCTATGTTGTCCAGGCTGATCTGAAACTCCTGGGCTCAAGCCATCCTCCCACCTCAGCCTCCCAAAGTGTTGAGATTACAGGCATGAGCCACCTTGCCTGGCCTATCAGTGTGCTTTTAATGATTAACTCACAACCCTCAAATGTAGTGGCAAACAGCAAACACCATTTAGCTCATGTTGACAATTTGTACTAGATTCAGCAAGTGGTTCTTTTGGTTTTGGCTAGGTTCATTTATGCATTTGTGGTCAGAAGATAATCTGGTATCTTCTGGGTAGCATAGTACAGCTACCAGGGTACAGCTCTAATATCACAAATCAGGGCAATGAAGGATGAATTTGGAGCTGAGAGGCAATTAATTGGTAACAGGCACATGCTCCCATTTCATCTCTCAAAAGACTTTAAAGTGGCCACAACTTTTTAAAAAATCACATCCAGGAAAGAGATAAGAATAAAAATAAGAAAATACATAAGTAATCAAATTAAATCACAAATTGTGACTCAACATCTGTGTGATTAAATTTCTAAATAATTATGATTACCTGTGGGGTTTTTAACGGGGCATAATAAGAATTTAAAGCTCCTCTTTTAAAATGGGGCTGTTATTCTCAACTACGTACGCAAAGGTTACAAAAAAAAGACAAAAGAATATACCGTGTTAAGTCACAGTTCTCTAAATGGTTTATTATTATCTATGAGTTTGTATTTTCCAAAATTTTTTCACATAATTATTATTACTTTTTAAATTAGGGAAATTTTTAAAAATTGTTTTGAAGTTTAACTGGTCACTAAATATCAATGAATGGGATTAAAGCTGTATAGCCTCTTATGTAACAGGATTCTAAATTCCTTTGAGAGAGCATACATTAGAAGGAAATCATTTCTGCAAAGTAAATCCTGAAGTTTTAGGTTATTTCCTAATAGCTATGGATTTAGAGAGAATAAACCAAATGTTAATCCCTTCAAATGTTATGACCTGCACCAGCAAATTTATAGTGTTCTATTTAATGACTCAGGAGTACAGCTCTAAATGAAAACAAACAAATGAAAAATCTCCTAGAAATAAAAAATCAGCCAGAGCAGGAGATCTGATCATAGTTGCCTCTCTGGTTTTATAGAATGCACAGACCCAGTAGTACCTGAAGGTAGAATCACATCACCTCTCACAAGCTCAACATAATGCCAACTGTCAGCCTCATGTTCCATCTCCCACAGGTTCTTCACTGAAGAAAATATCACAAATGGCCATTAATAGAGGAAATTATGCTTACCCTCATTAAAAATCAAGGGATGCAAATTAAAACCATACATATACCATTCTATGACCACCAGGATCAGAATAATAACAATAATAATGTTTATTTATTATTATTATTTGTAGAAATGGAGTCTCACTATATTCCCTAGGCTGGTCTTGAACTCCTGGCCTCAAGTGATCTGCCTTGGCCTCCCAAAATGCTAGGATTACAGGCATGAGGCACCGTGCTTGGCAGAAGAATTTTAAAAGTCTAAAATACCAACCGTGCAAGAGGATGTGGAGCAACAGAAACTTATACCTTATTGATATGGTAGAAATTCTACATATTTATGGTTACAGGGTACAATTCTGTCTTATTATCAGTATTAAAAATATCTTCTCCAAATTTCTGATTTGCCTTTTTTTAATAGTGTCTCCTGATAAATAACTCTTTAAGTTAGCCAAATTTATTTTTTTCCTTCATGATAAACATAAAATCCTTCCTTTAAAAAAAGAAACAGCCTATAGTCCCAGCTACTTAGGAAAATGACTTGAAGGCAGGGAGTTTCAGTCCTGTCTCGGAAACATATAAAGACCCAATTATTTAAAAAAAAAATAACAAAAATTTAAAAACAACCCTTCCCTATCCTACGGTCATAAACAAATGCCCTTATATTGAAAATTTTAGTTTCGTTCCGCACATTTAAGTGAAAAAGTATAGCATAGTGGTTAAAAGCATAGACACTGGAGCCAAACTACCTGGTTAAAATGTGGCTCTGCTACTGTGACCCTAGGCAAATTACTTGACTTCTCTGTGCTTGCCTCAGTTTCCTTATTTTAAAAAATGAAGGTAACTAACATGATAAAAAGAGTAAATGTATATAAAGTGCTAGAACAAGGTCAATAATATGATATGTACAACATAAGTGTTGGCTATTTTTATTAAGCCTTTAATTTGCCTGAAATGGATTTTTATATAGGGTGGGAAGTAGAGATTCCACTTCATTATTTCCCATGTAGATAACCAATTGTCCCAGCAATATATAGTGAACAGTTTATTCTTTTTCCACAAACTTGCAGTGTCACTCTGACATACATTAAGTTTCCATAAAGGTCTGCTTCTGTGCCTATATTCTGCTTCACTAGTCTATTTATCTATCTCTGTGAAGCTACCATTCCATAAAATTATAAATTATTGACATCAGTAATATAATACTACATAGTGTAGATCAAGTGCCTGCTCCCTAACTTGTTCTTCTCCAAGTTTCCAGGATAATTTAACCTCTGCAAATTTTAAAATAAGTTTCCAAATTTCATTTTTAAAAACCACAGGAATTTTTGCATGAAATTGCATGAATTTACAAATCATTTTGTGAATAAATGACATAATTATGATATTCAGTCGCCCTATCTGAAAATATTTTTTCTCTCCATTTAAGATTTTTAATTTTCACTCAATAAAATCTTATTACCTTCTCTGAAAAGATCTTACATGTCTGTTCACACTTACATCTTGATATACTTTTGTGAAATTATAAATATTGTCTTTTTTAAAATAGATTTTGGTTTTAGGTTTACTTAAATACTATTTATTTTTAATCATTACCTTATATCCAACATCTATGCTAAACTATTGATTTTTCTGTAGACTCCTTGGACTTTTCTACATAGACAATAGTATCATCTACAAATAATACCACTTTGTTTCTTCCTTTCCAACTCTTATACCTTTCATCTCTCTGCCCTGTGTCATTACACTGGCTACAATTTCCAACTGAAGATATATTTTAAATAACTTACAAATAAGTTATATATTAATGTCTAATATAAAATAGAAATAGTGAAGGCAAGTATCTGTTACCCAGGCTGTAGCACAGTGGCATGAACATAGCTCACCGTAACTTCGAACTCTTGGGCTCAAGCAATGATCCAGCTTCAGTCTCCTGAGTAGCTAGCACTATAGGCATACACCACCATGCCAGGTTAATGCTTTTTTATTTTTTTGTAGAGATGAAGTCTCACTCCATCGCCCAGGCCCCAGCCCCTTTTTACTCCAAGTTTCCAGGTTACCTACTAGGTCTGTGTATGTCCCCAGGTTATCCAGTGGTTTCAAAGCTCGCTAGCTTCCCTAGTCTCCTGCTCATTCATTTTTGTAGTTATCTATTCATTTAAAATGACCCTTTGTTGTCATGCCTTTTTAAATCAAATATGTTTTAAATGTTTTATAACTGATTCAGTGAGCCATATTATCAGAAAAATAAACCAATTAATGTTTTCTTGACTGTTCAACCTAATGCCATAAGTCATATGAAGCTTTTGAACATGTCCTAGCTTAAAACAACTGTTGTAGAAGTTACTTTAGGATAGTCTATTCCAACAGGAAAATTCCTTTAGAACAAGAATTTAGTAAGTCAGTTCATTTGGTTGATGAAGAAATCAAAGACATTTAAATGTAGAGATACTTCTATTAGAACAATCAGCCAGATAACTGATCTAGTACGAACACAATTTGAGAACTATTTTAAAAACATGAGATGATTTACTTCAATAGTGTTCTATTTAAATCAGAACAACTCACTTTCCAGTCATATATCATGCATCATGAGTTATACCAAATTAAACAGCAATTCTATTGTAATTATGTCCCCAAACACCTCTTTTCATATTCTAAAAAAAGTCACAAAGCCAAATGCCATATATGACTTTGTATAATATTACTCAGACATTTCAGCCAAAAAGTCTCAGTTTACAGTAATAGAGGGCCTCACTCATGAACTACAAGAACAATGGCTCCATATCTGATCAATGAGTTCTGTTAAGTATAATGCTTCCATTTATTTGCCAAAAATTTGAATACCTAGTATGTGCCAGGCCTTGTGCTAAGTACTAGAAATGATAGAGCTGTATGTAATTTCCAAAATCAGCAGCTACTCCAACCTCTTCCCTGGTCCTAACACCTTCATAGACTCCACTCTGATAAAATAAGAAGAAAAAAAGAAATGTATTTATTCACTTTTTTTCCCCTTACTTCTATATTATATGTTAAAATCCTACCCTGTGGTTTGCATTTGTGGCCTGAATAACTGATATTCAGAATTATCTGGAAAAGCTTATTTGCAGAGGTGCAGATAAAGGAATGGCAGTGTTTCACTAAGTGTTTCACTTAGTGTTTCTGAAACACTAAGGCCACTGTTTCAGAACCAGTTGTTTAGTTAGGAAAAGAACCAAGTCAACTATCCAGCCTTTATGGTGAGGCAGGAGAATAGGGTCTGGAGGCAGGGAACCTAAGGCCAATTCATGCTGACTTCCCAGAACTGAATTAAAAGGAACACCCTACCTCTCCACATCCAAGTAACAAAGGGATCAGAGGCTACTCCCTTTGTAATACCCCTACTTTTTCTGCAGTTGCAGATGAAAAATGAAAGTACCTCTGACTGGTCTTTTCCTGCAACCAAACTGGTCACGGGCCCAGTCTTCATTTGCATAGGAGTACAGCTTTGTAACTTCACTTCAGCCTCTGACTGGTCACTTTCCGCAACCAATCACACGTTTGCATAGGGTGTAACTATGTAACTTCACTTCAGCCTCTGATTGGTCACCTTCACAAGCAATCAGACTGATTGTGGGCCACTACTTCATTTACATAGAGTGTAAACCAAGTTACCAATGGGAAACCTCTAGAGGGTATTTAAACTCCAGAAAATTCTGTAACAGGGGCTCCTGAGCCACCTCCTGGAGCCCACTCCCACCCTGTGGAGTGTACTTTCATTTCAATAACTACATGCTTTCGTTGCTTCATTCTTCCATTGCTTTGTGCATTTTGTCCAATTCTTTGTTCAAAATGCCAAGAGCCTGGGCACCCTCCACTGGTAACAATAGCTCAATATCACTTTGGATTTCTTGTTGTCACGTATGCAGCTAACAATGTAAACAGTAGTAAACTGTGATGAAAAAATGCTAGTGGACATTGACAAGGTGATTCCAAAATTTATATGAAAATTTAAATGATTAGCAATAGCTGAGGCAATAGCCAAAAACAAAGTTGGAGGACTTATACTACCACTCTGATTTATGATAAAGTGACAGTAATTACAAAAGTATGTTCTACAGTAAAGACTGACAATAGAATAGAATAGAGCTGCACTGTCCAATATAAGAGCCACAAGACACATGTGAGTGCTGAGCACCTAAAATGTAGCTAGTGTAATTAAGGAACTGAATTTGTAATGTTTAAATTTTTAATTAATTTAAATTCAAGAACTGATAAGTGATTCAGTTACTGGAAAACTCTGAAGTATGATTTGGACAAATTTAGGCATATGAACCTACTTATTCAACTGTGATTGTATGAAACCTAAATACAGATCAAGTATTTCTGGTGAAAATTTAGAGTCTAACTTGAGACGTGCCACACATGTTAAATTTATGCCCAATTTCAAAGACATAGTACCAAAACATGTAAAATATCTCATTAATAATTTCCTATTGATTACATGTTAATATTTTCACAGGTAGGGCTCAATAAAACATGTTATTAAATAAAATTCATAAATTTCTTTTTACTTTTTAAGATATGGTCATTAGAAAATTTAAAGTTACACATATGGCTCACATTTGCGGCTTGCATTATATTTCTACTGAACACTATAGTGGTTCAGAAAGAGTTGGACCAGTTGCCACTGGTATAGTGAGTCCAGAAAGAGTTCCACATATAGAGACCTGATTTATAAGAAAGGCAATACTGCAAATGTGGTGAGCAAAGGATGTCTTTTCAATAAATAGAGCTGAATGAACTAAAAATCCATATGGGGAAAAAATGAATCTTGAGCCCTCACATAATAAATAAAAATGCCCAATTCCAGATAGACTGTGTATCTAAATGTGAAAGTCAAAGCAATAAAGCTGTTAGAAGAAAACAAAGAGTATCTTCATTACCTTGGGCTTGCCAGATATTTCTAAGCAGAATTCAGAAAGTATTAATCATTTTTAACAACAAGTTGAACTACACTAAAATTAAGAACTTCTCTTCATCAAAAGATACCATTAAGAGAGTGAAAAGGCAAGCCAGAGTGAGGAAAAAAGCCATTAGAGCAGAGAAAGCACAAAAAATGGAGAATATGAGGAATGGGGACACACACACACACAGAACACATTCATTGTATATACTTTAATGCCTCAACATTTGACTATTGCTTTCCTGTTAATATGTTCCACTTAAGAAAAAGTTCAAGTAACTAAAGTTTACCCATTCAAGAAACAAAATTTTAGTGAGCCAATTTTGATTCATTTTAAAAATAGTTATATACATGTATTTCTTGTTGTTGAGTTATCCTCAAAAAAAAAGGCAGCGTTGGAAAAAGTTACCCTCAAATTAAAATTAATAAAATATTTTAAAACATGATTGAGACTTTCAGTCCTGACAAGCTAGCTTAGACTGATTTCTCTTGTTCTTCGCCTGTATATACAACTATAAACCCAAGAAATACTGCAAGAGACAGCCAAAAGAAAACTTTGGAAGGTACGGTAGTAAGAGGACAGCAAACTAATTTGGGATTTCAGGACTATATGTGCCCTCTACTCTACAGAAGAAAGACAGCCAGTCTCAGCATGACCCAACCCCCAATTTGGTACAGAAGGCAGTCCAGGTAGGCTCATTCCTCCCCAGGATTGAACAGGAATACTTTCAACAACACCAGGTAAAGCTGACAAGCCAAAGGCAAGAGAGTTTATGACTGGGAAGCTTGCTAATAAGCAGCCAGGGGAAGCAATCTCCTTCTCCCACAAGGTCTGAGATTCTCTTGTCCCACAAAGGGAGACTGGGTTAGGGGGCCAGATGGCACTGGCAAGAGGGATTCCTTCAAAAGCGTCTCTCCTGAGATGCATCTTTGGCCTCAAAGGCCTGAGACTCCCTTTTCACCCAGAGGTGGTCCAGCCTGGGCAAAACCCTTCTGCCTCCTCTGGCAGTACCAAGAGGGAACCATGGGAGCCCCAGTGGTATCAGATAAACTTCACAGATCAAAATAACATCACAAAGACTCTGGGACTTAAACATCATTGAAATCACAGCCCACAAAATGTGGCAGGATTTCATGCTAAACCTAAACAGGGTGACTGTCTGTAACAAGTAATATATGTATACATACACAAATATATAAAGAGAGGGGGGAGAGAGACATATATATGATCATATATATATATATAGATAGATACAGATATATATAGAGAGAGTAATAAAAGGGCAGAGTTAAGCTCTAACATATTAATAATTACCTTAAATGTAAATGGTCTAAACATACTCATTAAAAGACTAAAATTGGCAGCATGCATACAAAAAAGATGAACAAACTATAGGCTGTCTACAAGAACTTGGTCCAAATTCAACATTAAGTAAGCTAAAAGTAAAAGGATAAAAAAAATTATATCATGTAAACATTTTAAAAAGCTGAATTAGCTAAATCAACATCTGCTAAAGTAGATTTCAGAGCAAAGAAAATTATTAGAGACAAACAAGAATATTACACAGTGATAAAAGGGTCAATCTACTAGGAAAACATAATAATTCTAAATGTGCATGTACCAAATAACAGAGCCTCAAAATACACGAAGCAAAACCTGACAGATTTGAAAGGAGACACAGACAAGTCCACAATTATAGATGGGGACTTCAACATGCTGCACTCATCAACTGATAAAACTACTAGAAGGAAAATCAGCAAGGTTATTTTGAACAGCAAAATTAACTAACAATTTAATTGACATAAATAGAACACCCCACCCAACAACAGCAGAATATACCTTTTTTTAAGCACCAATGGAAAATCCATCAAGAAAGGCCATATCTTGGGCCTGAAAACAAACCTCAGCAAATGTTTTAAAATTGAAATCATAGATTGTGTTCTCTGACCATAATGGAATCCAACTAAAAGTCAATGACAGAAAGACAATAGGATAATCTCTAAACATATGAAAATTAATCAACATACTTGCAAATAATCCATATGACAAACAGGAAGTCTCAAAGGAACATTTAAAAATACACAGAATTGAATGAAAATGAAAATATAAAATCAAAATATGTGGAATGTAGCTAAAGCAGTGCTGACAGGAAAATTTATAGCATTAAAAATTTATAGTAGAAACAAGAAGAGGTTTCAAATCAATAAGTTATTACCTCAAGAAACTAGAAAAAGAAGAGCTAAATAAACCCAAAAAAGCGTAAGAAAGGAAATAAAGATAAAAGCAAAATGAATGATATTGGAAATAAAAAATCAATTAAACAAAAAGCTGGTTCTTTGGAAGGTTTTTAAAAACATCAAAATTTAGTAACCTCTATGTAGGAAGACTAAATAGAGACAAAAATAGAGAAAATACAAATCACCAATGTCAGGAATGAAACAGGGTCTATTACGACGGATCCTGCAGTCATTTAAAGGATAATAAAGGAATATTATGAACAATTTTATACTCATAAATTCAATAATTTTGAAGAAATGGACCATTCCTCAAAAACCACCCAACCAAGATGAAGAAAATCTGAATAGTCCTATAAACATTTTAAAAATTGAATTTGTAGGCTGGGTGCAGTAGCTCACACCTGTAATCCCAGCACTTTGAGAGGCTGAGGTGGGCAGATCACGAGGTCAGGAGATGGAGATCATCCTGGCTAACACGGTGAAATCCCGTCTCTACTGAAAAATACAAAAAAATTAGCCGGGCGTGGTGGCGGGCGCCTGTAGTCCCAGCTATTCGGGAGGCTGAGGCAGGAGAATGGCTTGAACCCGGGAGGCGGAGCTTGCAGTGAGCTGAGATCGCGCCACTGCACTCTAGCCTGGGCGACAGAGCAAGGCTCCGTCTCAAAAAAAAAAAAAAAAAAAAAAAAAAATTGAATTTGTAATTTAAAGGCTTTGAAAAAAGAAATCTCCAGGCCTAGCCTATTTCACTGGATAATTTTACCAAACATGTAAACAAAAATTAATACCAGTTTTTTGTTTGTTTTGAGATGGAGTTTTGCTCTTGTTGCCCAGGCTGGAGTGCAATGGCGTGATCTCGGCCCACTGCAACCTCCATCTCCCAGGTTCAAGTGATTCTCCTGCCTCAGCCTCCTAAGTAGCTGGGATTACAGGCGCCTGCCACCACACCCGGCTAATTTTTCATTTATTTACTTATTTAATTTTTTGTATTTTTAGTAGAGACGGGGTTTCACCATGTTGGTCAGGCTGGTCTTAAACTCCTGACCTCAGGTGATCCACCCACCTTGGCCCCCCAAAGTGCTGGGATTACAGGCGTGAGCCACCACACCTGGTCCCAGATTTACATAACGTGCTAATCTCTTCTAGAAAATAGAAAAAGAGGGAACGTTTCCCAACTCATGAGCCAATATTACCTTTTAATTTATGGTCACATTAAAACCTTTATATGAATGCTCATACCAGCTTTATTCATAATAGCCAAAAACTGGAATCAGTCTATGTCTTTCAACAAGTGAATGTTAAACAAAAATACTACTCAGTAATGAAAAATTGGTATAATTGCTACATGCAACAACTTGGATGAATGTCAAGGAGATTATGCCATTCCCAAAAGGTTATATATCACATAATTCCATTGAGATAACAGTTTTGAAATGACAAAATTATAGAAATAGAAAACAGATTAGTGGTTACTTTGAGGTGTATTTCTGGACTGCTCTTGTTTTTGCCCACATAATGTCATTCTTCCTGGATGTGGGGTAGGAAGGAGGGGTGGCAAAGAGGTGGGTATGGTTCTAAAAGAGCAGTAATAAGAGGGACGCTTTTGGTGATGGAACTGTTCTGTATCTTGTCTGTGGTGCTAGATACACAAACCTACAAAAATGGCAACATTGTATAGAACTAAATATACATATGATGTCAGTGGCGGCCCATGTGGAGTGGTCACTGCGAGGATGCCAGCTGCAGCGGGGGGCGGGGGGGCAGGCGGCGGGGGTGGCTGGAGCTGCACACTCCTTGGAGCTGGCAGGGGCTAGGAACAGGTGATCCCAGCAGGAGTCCTGCGCCCTACTGAGTTGGCAAAGTGGGAGCCCGCACTCCCTAGTGCAGGTGCCGCCCAGCAGCAGCTCCAGACTGGGTATCCTTGCGCTCTTGCAGGGCGGGAAACCCCCTGCCCCCGTGGGCTCAGAAGTGCCTGCACCTGCTCCCTGGCTTCTCCCTGCCCAGGCTCACAACTAGGCCGGGTGTGCAAGCACTTGGGGTGGCGCTGACACACCAGTCCCCGCCCCCACCCCACCCGCCACCTCAGTCCCCTCCAGAAACTGCTTCTGAGGCTGAAACTTTGGATGCCAACAAGCATGGAAGGGAGGCTCCTGGCAGACAGATTCCCAGGCGGGAAAGGGACGGTCCCTGGTGAAACCTCACCTTCAAGCAAGGGAAGGCCTGAAGCCTGGAGGCCGGGCTGCCAGTACCGGGTGGAGTCTGAGACTAGGAGTGAGAACTTCCTTGATGCCTTTTGGCCAATGGGATGGTGCTTTTTCCAGGCCTACCCATGGCTGCGCATGGACCAATCAGCACACACTTTCTCCCTTCTGTGCCTATAAAAACCCCCAGACTCAGCAGGGCCCAGTGGCTCACGCCTGTAATCCCAGCACTTTGGGACGCTGAGGTGGGCAGATCATGAGGTCAGGAGATCAAGACTACCCTGGCTAACATGGTGAAACCCCGTCTCTACTAAAAATACAAAAAATTAGCTGGGCGTAGTGGCGGGCGCCTGTAGTCCCAGCTACTCGAGAGGCTGAGGCAGGAGAATGGCGTGAACCCAGGAGGTGGGGCTTGCAGTGAGCTGAGATCAGGCCACTGCACTCCAGCCTGGGCAAAAGTGCGAGACTACGTCTCAAAAACAAAAACAAAAACAACCCCCCCCCCAAAAAAAAAAAAACGAATACTTACCAGGACAACCTGCCTGCAGATAGGAACTACGCGCTTTGGGTCTCTTCTCCACTGAGAGTTGTTCTGTTGCTCAATAAAGTTCTTCTCTGCCTTGCTCATCCTCTAGTTGTCCACATAATCTCATTCTTCCTGGATGTGGGACAAGAACTCAGGACCTACTGAATGGCAGGAGCCAAAGGGGTATGTAACACATTCTTGGTCGGCTCACCAAGCTGTGGGCAGTGACATACTCTCAGACTGCAGAAGTGAAGGGTGGCAACCCTTCTGGGGGCCCAGACCTCAGGATTCCCCAAGCCAGAGTTTCTGTAACACTATAGCCCTCCCGCCCTCCACCGCACCAGGCAGCCACACATGCAATGGGAAGTAGCGGTGGGGCCGGATCAGCCCAGGAGCTGCAAGCCAGAGCTGGGTAGTGAGACTGAAAGAGCTATAACACAATTGGGCCAAAACATGCCCCCCGAAACATGCCTCCCCCACTCGCCACACTGAGGGCAATAGGGTTCTGCTGTTCCTGGTATCTCTCAGCTTTCAGGCGCCACCACGTTCCCTTATCCAGACACTAGTGCCCGCAGCAGAAGCTGCTTGCGGTATGTCTGGTATAGATGCACCCTTGCACGGAGCAGGCGCCTGTGCCAGCGCCGGGAGCTGCCTGCCCCGCCACCCTGCCCCGCAGCAGCTGGCATGCCTGTCTGTGCGCAGTGGCCAGACCCCACACTCGCTCACTCACATGCCCCTCACCGCTCTGTCCTGGCTCACCCTTGGCAGGTATGGGATCCGGGCAGGCATCATGAGCCAAACGCAGCCTGACAGGCCAAGTGGGCAGAACGAGCCCAGCAGGTGCGAGCAAAACTCAAGTAGAGGTGCCACCGGCACAGAAGTTTCCGGCTAGTGAAGCAACACCCTAAGGATGCTGTCACACATACACATGCACAAATGAATAGAAGTAAAACTAGGGAAATCTGTTAAGATTGGTGGTATCAATGTCAATATCCTGACTGTGATATTATACTGTAGTTTTGTAAGAATGTTACCATTGGTGCAAACTAAGGGAAAGGTATACAAGATCTCTATTATTTCTTATAACTACATGTGAATTTAGTTAGCTCAATAAAAGTTCCAATTAAATAAAAAACAAGAATTGCTATCTAAGCTTACTCCCTTACAGTCAGTAAAAGGGTAAAGAGAGAGAGATGGGCAGGGCATGTTTTACATAAAGTTTTAAAGTCAGTTCACACTAATGATAAGAGGTGAAATTCCAAAAACAACATGAATTCTAAGAAAGCACTCAGTCCAGCATCCAGGTCACCAAATTCCACATCAGACAATCAGTAAGCAAAGCCAAATCCAAACACATATAGATTGAAAAAAAAAAAAATCAAGGTGGTTTCAGACATTAGCGTATAGCAAGAATCCAAGAGCAGTCCAGAAATACACCTCAAAGCAAATACAGAAGTAATTACAGAGCCATAGTCCCTTATATCTGGTTCCTTGTTTTAAGATTGGCTACTTCCTACTGGCTGTAGATAAAACAAAAGATCAAGTTTATGAAGAATCATATATTAAGAGTATGGTCCAAGTACCTGGTACAAGCTTCACATAACATTTATTAAAATACTGAAGAAAGGTAGGGAATAATTCATGAATGAATACATAAAAGTTGATGGACCCTCATCCCATAAAAAGACACAATCACAGAAATTTTGCATGCAGCTTCAGAGGGTTCTTGAAGGCTCTAAAGCCTGGATTTTATGAAACCTCGGTTTAGAGTCTGCATTTTGAGGAAACTAACGAATTAGGTCACTTGCCTCTTTAAAGCAGAGAGTTAGATGAGACAACTTGTCAAAGCCCTTTCTAATACTATTACTTAATGATTTATACTCTGGTCATATCCTCAAATGGGACTATCTCTTTTTCACTGTCAAATGAATAGCACAAAATTTTTAACTTGACATTGGATTTATCTAAGAGGACCCTTAAGCATATTTACCATGTGGGACAGGCTTGAAGTATAAGGAAGAAGCTACAGAAACCATGGAAATTTTTTGTGTATCATTAGTAAGTCATACTTAAATAGAAAACATGAGGCACAACAGCCTCAGGGAAAAAAGGTAAATACCATGATGCTGCACTATGCCAGACTGGTTAGAAAATATGTTCAATTTCACTCTGTTTCAGCAAAAATACCTTTCAAGAAAAAAATACAGTTAGCCCTCTCAAAAAAAAAAAGTTTTAATCTATAAGGTCATTAAAAACGTATGGAGAAAACAAATTTGCTACATAATACATTATGAGATGTCTGAAAGTACATAAACTTTTTCAGCTCTCCCAATGCAATATTCACTGACTACCAGCTTATAAAAGCCACTCCCCCCATGTACAGACATTTGACTTGTATTCCCTGAGATACAGAAAAGCTTTTTGAGTCTACCTGAAAGTGAACTACTAACTAGATCTCTCAACTAAAACTACTGAAATTGGTTCATATTGGTTGGTTATAATCAAAACCATGAAATATTCAACACAGATGAACGGACGCTATGTTCCTCACCTAAAGCCTTCACATAGGCCTGTTAAATTCCAAAAAATTTTTTTTCTCCTATTTGGAAAAGTGTAAGATTAAATATTCAAACTCCTTTCCACATAACTTTTTAGGAATGCCATCCATTCAAATTGTTAAAAAGTCTGAGTATTTTTCACCTGAATGGAAGAATGAGTCATTCAAAACAAGTGAAAATATATTTAACCCAAAAGAACTTCATCAAACAAAAGTAGGTTTGATTGTCTAAGCAGTAGGTTCCTAAATCTACAGCCCTTGTTTTCAGTCTTTCTTTTAGGCCTTATGTTTACTGTTGTATTGAAAGGGGGCAATAAAGCAATACAGCAACTAATGGAGTAAAAGTTGAATTCCTTAAGGCAGGGATTGTTCCATATCCAAATTATAATAGCACTGAGCTATGCATAGAGAATCATTTGATCTCAGGGTTGGCAAGGGTCTAAGGCTCGTGTAGACCCACCAATGTTTATAGATCCTATCTACAACAATTCTGGGAAGAGGTTGTTCATCCTCTATTCAACACTGCCAATGTCTAGGACATGCTGCTGCTTTCTGAGACTGCCCACTCCATCCTTACAGCTGATGGTTAGAAAGTTCTCCCTTAATGTGAGTACAAATCTGTCTCTGTAATTTCCACCCACAAATTCTAATTCTATCCCTTTGGACTGCACAGTATCATCACAAAGATCCTTCTAAGAGGGTAGTAGGAGGGTCAAAGTGAGAGAAGGAGATGTGACAACGGAAGGAGAGGCTAGACTGATAACGCTCTGAAGATGGAAGAAGGGGCCATGAGCCAAGGAATGCAGGCAGGCTCTAGAAACTTAAAAAGGCAAGAAAATGGATTCTTCCCTAGCGCCTCCAGAAGGAATGCAGCCCTCCATACCCACTTAGACCTCTGACCTCCAGAACTGTAAGATAATAAATCTATGTTGTTTTATGCCATTGAATTTGTGGGAATCTGTTACAGCAGTAATGGAAACCAATCACTCTCTTTGCAAACCAAGAAGAAAAAGATGTCTCCAACCACTCTCCAAAAATACAAGGTCTTGCTCTTGGGATATTCCCAATCTTTCTTTTTTCTAAAACTCCATGCTTTCTCTTCCTCCTAGCCCTGCACTCTACACCCCCAGCCCAAAAGAGCCTCTTACACTTTCTCTCCAACAAAGATGCCTAAAGCCCTATCCATTTGGTTTACTTGCCCTCACCAAGCATAATCACAAAGTTCACTGCTCAATATCAAGTTGAAATGAAACAACTGTTCAGAACTCTGAACAGTTCTGATCTTCTAAAAGATAAAAAGGCCTCATTCCTCTATTCCTCCCAAACTGAGTAATAAAAATATAAGTTAACCTGTAGAGTCCCCAGGTTTTTCCCATCTATAAGGATTTAAGAGTACAGAATGTAGATTCGATAAATGACTTCTCAATTGAGACTTTCAGTCATATGACTCCTTAATTAATAAAGCTAATGTGGATATTGAAGATAAAAGTAGAAAATCCCTATATAATGTGTATGATTAAAATTTCCTAAAAATGGGCCCCCTAAACTCTATATTTACTTTTACTTATCATGTAAACTATTTACATTATAAGAATTATAAAAATCAAAAATCAATTAAACAAGTACTGCATTAGTTAAGCCAAATGTTTTTACAAAATATTTAGTTATATAATAGCTTTATCTGCCAACATTAATTTCTTCCAGGAAAACAATGATGTAGCAAAAAAATAAGTGTTTGATAAATGTACTGTAATATATATTGTTCCTGTAAAATTCACTTTAAAATCTTTAAAGTTGTTCTACAACACTTCTGTTCATAGATGCTAAAGTTTAGTGTACTAGTCATTATATTTTGGAATTTTATCAGATATAAAATGATTCACTATCATATTCTCTCATTAATTTTCTATACATAAGTGCAAACAGGTGTCTAAATACTCTAATCAAATATATATTTATTGAGGACCACTAGGCACAAGCCCTATGTTAAAGACAGCAGGAGATTCAAGCACATGTAAGAAATGGTCCTCAAACTCCATGTGCTTTCCATCTTGTGTAAGAAGATGGCATATTTATAAATTAAAAAAAGAGAAAGAAGAAGACTACAAGGCAGTATTACAAATGAATAGCATAAATAGTTAAATCCCCTAAACGAGGTCAAAAGGGAGTGCTCTATGGAATAGAATGGTCAAAGATGTTGAAGGTGGGACTTGATTTGGGTAAGACTCAGAAAGAAATGGAAAAGAAGAAGATACCAGATTAGTGAAATAGCACAAGTAATGGCTGGAAAGCAAAAAGCATGTTCAGAGAAAAGTAAGCAACCAAATTAGACACTGTGGAAAATTTCAAGTAGGGAAGTAGAAAAAGATAACAGGAAAAGTGGGTTGGGGACAAACTACACAGCCTAACAAATCACCCATCACAGTGCATTTGAAGTTATCAGACACTAAAACCTTTTAAATAAATGATAAAGGTCTTGAATGCTAGACACATAAGTTTACATTTTCTGTGGTAAACAACACAGATCCCACTGAGCTTTCTGAATAAGAGAAAAATTTACACAAAACTGAAATAGCAGTAGTATACAAGATAAAAAACAAAAACAAAAGACTGAAACCAAGGACCCCAGGTCTTAGGTCGAAAAAGCCCAGACAAGGAAGTGAATATGAAAATAAAAATGAATGGATGAGGATATAAAAAATATTATAAAGAAAGAAAAACTGATAAAACTTGGTAATTAGGTTTTCTTTCTTTTAGGAAGAGGCTTTAAAGAGTCTAATATTATTCTAAAGTATTTGAGTCTAGGTGACAAGAAAAACACATTCAGAAAATATCTATTACCTACTATGCCAATCACTGAGTTAGATGATAGGGATCAAATAATGATCAAGACAATGAAGCACCTCAGTGAGACTTACAGACTAACGGGACAGACAAGTAACTATCAGTTATAATAGTGTGATAAATGCTATGAATGAGGGAAGAAACATATACAGGAGGAATACATAGCCCAACACAGAGATCATGAGAAGAAACTGATTTTAGGCAGAAAATTAAATGGGAAAAAGGATAGGGGAGGAGGGAGTAGGAAAGTAAAAGTGTAGATTTACATTAAGTCCTGTTCTTAAATTGCTCAGTTAAATACAAGAAATTCAAATTAAGCTACCATGAGCCCAGGAGTTCAAGACTGCAGTGAGCTGTGATGTCACCACTGCACTCCAGCCTGGGTGACAAAGCAAGACCCTGTCTCTGAAAATAAAAATTAATCTATCAGAAATCAATAAATGTGGTCCCCAATTTAAGACGTGGCTATACTCCAAAATCCACTTCTATAATAATTTGATTGTTTAAAACTGAAAACTTTTATTTCGTTGAAATACATTATAAGGTGAAATTGCATTCTCAAAAGATCACCAACCTACAGGGAGGAACCAGGGAATTTTATGGGGGATTTTTGAAATCTGTATTTTGATTGGGATAGTGATTATATGACTCTATACATTCATCAAAACTAATATAACCATATGCCTAAAATAGATGAATTTTATTGTATGTAAATTATACTCAATAAATCTGACACTTTAAAAAAGGTCTAAAAGAACAATGGAGAAGTGAAAAAAAGAAAATAAATGAAATTTTAAAATAAAAGTTTTTTAAAAAATCAATTACTAATTGCTAATTCAATGACAATTAGTCAAAGGTGATTCAATAGTTACTTAATATTATATTAGAAACAAAGTATATGCTAATATCACCCTTACTATTTATAGTACTTTATTTATAACCACTCTCCCAGCAACAAATACTTTCTTAATAAATATGCAACTTTGTCGTTTTTATTTGAATAGAACTCTAAGCATTCCATTCTGAATTTGAGAAATAAGTCTTAATGCTCAGGTTCTAATCTGAAGTCCATATTTATATCATCATTGCAACCAAACCTATTTAAAATCTAAATCATATTCCTCCTTAAAACCAGCTCTCCTTCATAATCTCCCTTATTCTGTCATTATCTGTATCTCAAGATTTGTTAACTTTGATACCTGATATCTCTTCCTCATCCCAGGCATCAGTTCTACCTATCCTGGGAAATTTGACTCTTCCTTTAATGGTTTCCACGCTAATCTTTAACTCTTCTAGTGTCTCTTACACATCAGTGCCAGATTAATCACATATTCCCTTATTAATTATATATAATTAATATATTTATAAATTATATATAATTAATATATAAATCATATATAATTAATATATATTATTAATTATTAATTATTAATTAATTAATAATTAATATATATTATTAATATATTAATATAATATAAATTAATATATAATTAATATATGATTGATATATAATTAATTACATAATTAATTACATAATTAATTACATAATTAATATGTGTAATTAATTACATAATTAATATGTGTAATTAATTACATAATTAATATGTGTCATTAATTACACATAATAATATGTGTCATTAATTACATAATTAATATGTGTCATTAATTACATAATAATATGTGTCATTAATTACATAATTAATATGTGTCATTAATTACATAATTAATATGTGTCATTAATTACATAATTAATATGTGTCATTAATTACATAATTAATATGTGTCATTAATTACATAATTAATATGTGTCATTAATTACATAATTAATATATGTAATTAATTATATAATTAATATATATAAATGTTTTTGACCCCCTGCTCAAAAACATTTGGCTACTTTCACTAGCTTTAGGATCTGACTAGCTTTCAAATCCTCCATAATCAGACCGAATACTATATATACAGTACGACTTTATAAATATAAAACGCACTCATTTAAAGACTACAGAAGGTGCAGCTATTGGGAGAGGGAGTAAGGAGATAACATACTAAAACTTTTGAAGCTTAAAAAGAAGTACAAAGCATATTCTGGTGAGAAACAGACCATTGTCATTGGTGTAGGAGAGAATAACTGGATGTGAGGCTGGAAGAGTAGGCTGGGTCCACACTTGTAAGATTTGCATGCTAAACTGAAGATTTTAGTTGGCAATAGGAGATATCATCATGGATTTGGAAAAAAACAGGAACGACTAAACAAAAGTGATGCTCAAGAATCATATTGGGGCTGGAGTATAATAGGAGCGGAGAGATAGAAAAGAGAGGCAAAGGAAGATCACAGCCATCACAAAGCAATCTAGGCAGAAAGTGATAGGAAAAAAAGGAGAAACTATTCATTCTCAACTATTGCTGGTATACACAAACCTCTGAAAATAGCCAATTAGTGTTAGATGTTCTATCAGGCGTGGGGAATGGGGATGGTTACAAAATTCATCCTCACAGTATCTGAGTAATTTCTGCCAGTTTTAATCAGTCTGGAAAGCAATGGCATAGACAATTCAAAAACACCCAACATTCCTACTTTCCTTTAAATGTGAATGAACTTTTGGCAGAAAGACTGCTTGAACTATAATTGCTTACTTTATTAGTATTACTTCTGCTACTAAAGGTCCTACTGGCAAAGCACTTAGAAGAAAGCTACTAAAAACATTATAGGGAAGAGGATCTGGAATTTAAAGTTGCTCTAGTTTCTATAAATGCAAAGATTTGCCTCAGATTTACATTATTTGGTCTAGTAACACATTTATACAAATACTGTGAAACTTGTAATGATAATAATGTCATCTCATTAGGAAAATTATATACCAAATTTCACATAATAATTGGAATTAGTGTTACAGGTATAAAAGGAACTCTAAAGTCTTTTATAATATCCAGCAGTGTCTTACACATAAGCATCATTTATTTAAATCTGCTTTAGTAATATATGTTAGCTTGGATTGAAATAAATTAACCCACCAAACAGTTTTATTATTAATACTAAGTAGTAAATGTAACTATTTTATTTTTTATTTTTATATCATGTTTTGTAATTTTTATAAAATAAAATAGAAGACTCAACATTCTTTAAAAATTAATTTGTATTCCAAACTACCATCAGAGAATACTATGAACACCTGTACGCAAATAAACTAGAAAATCTAGAAAAAATAGATAAATTCCTGGACACATACACTCTCCGAAGACTAAACCAGGAAGGTGAATCTCTGAATAGACCAATAACAGACTCTGAAATTGAGGCAATAATTAATAGCCTACCAACAAAAAAAATCCAGGACCAGACGGATTCACAGCCAAATTCTAACAGAGGTACAAAGAGGAGCTAATACCGTTCCTTCTGAAACTATTTCAATAGTAGAAAAAGAGGGAATCCTCCCTAACTCATTTTATAAGGCCAACATCATCCTGATACCAAAGCCTGGCAGAGACACAACAAAAAAAGAGAATTTTAGACCAATATCCCTGATGAACATCGATGCGAAAATCCTCAATAAAATACTGGCAAAACGAATCCAGCAGCACATCAAAAAGCTTATGCACCACAATCAACTTGGCTTCATCCCTGTGATGCAAGGCTGGTTCAACATACACAAATCAATAAACGTAATCCATCAAACAAACAGAACCAATGACAAAAACCACATGATTATCTCAATAGATGCAGAAAAGGCCTTTGACAAAATTCAACAGCCCTTCATGCTAAATACTCTCAATAAACTAGGTATTCATGGAACGTATCTCAAAATAATAAGAGCTATTTATGACAAACCCACAGCCAATATCATACTGAATGGGCTAAAACCGGAAGCATCCCTTTGAAAACCAGCACAAGACAGGGATGCCCTCTCTCACCACTCCTATTCAACATAGTGTTGGAAGTTCTGGCCAGGATAATCAGGCAAGAGAAAGAAATAAAGGGTATCCAATTAGGAAATGAGGAAGTCAAATTGTCCCTGTTTGCAGATGACATGATTGGATATTTAGAAAACCCCATCGTCTCAGCCCAAAATCTCCTTAAGCTGATAAGCAACCTCGGCAAAGTCGCAGGATACAAAATCAATCTGCAAAAATCACAGGCATTCCTATACACCATTAACAGACAAACAGAGAGCCAAATCATGAGTGAACTCCTATTCACAATTGCTACAAAGGGAATAAAATACCTAGGAATCCAACTTACCAGGGATGTGAAGGACCTCTTCAAGGAGAACTACAAACCACTGCTCGATGAAATTAAAGAGGACACAAACAAATGGAAGAATATTCCATGCACATGGATAGGAACAATCAATATTGTGAAAATGGCCATACTGCCCAAAGTAATTTATAGATTAAATGCCATCCCCATGAAGCTACCAATGACTTTCTTCACAGAATTGGAAAAAACTACTTTAAAGTTTATATGGAACCAAAAAAGAGCCCGCATTGCCAAGACAATCCTAAGCAAAAAGAACAAAGCTGGAGGCATCACACTACCTGACTTCAAACTATACTACAAGGCTACGGTGACCAAAACAGCATGGTACTTGTACCAAAACAGATATATAGGCCAATGGAACAGAACAGAGGCCTCAGAAATAATACCACACATCCACAACCATCTGATTTTTGACAAACCTGATAAAAACAAAAAATGGGGAAAGGATTCCCTATGTAATAAATGGTGCTGGGAAAACTGGCTAGCCATATACAGAAAGCTGAAACTGGATCCCTTCCTTACACCTTATACAAAAATTAATTCAAGATGGATTAAAGACTTAAATGTTAGGCCTAAAACCATAAAAACCCTAGAAGAAAACCTAGGCAGTACCATTCAGGACATAGGCATGGGCAAGGACTTCATGACTAAAACACCAAAAGCAACGGCAACAAAAGCCAAAATTGACAAATGGGATCTAATTAAATTAAAGAGCTTCTGCAAGGCAAAAGAAACTACCATCAGAGTGAACAGGCAACCTACAGAATGGGAGAAAATTTTTGCAATCTACCCATCTGACAAAGGGCTAATATCCAGAATCTACAAAGAACTTACACAAATTTACAAGAAAAAAAACAAACAAAAACCCCACCAAAAAGCGGGCAGAGGATATGAACAGACACATCTCAAAAGAAGACATCTATGCAGCCAAGAGACACATGAAAAAATGCTCATCATCACTGGTCATCAGAGAAATGCAAATCAAAACCAGAATGAGATACCATCTCATGCCAGTTAGAATGGCAATCATTAAAAAGGCAGGAAACAACAGGTGCTGGAGAGGATGTGGATAAATAGGAACACTTTTACACTATTGGTGGGAGTGTAAATTGGTTCAATCATTGTGGAAGACATTGTGGCAATTCCTCAAGGATCTAGAACTAGAATTACCATTTGACTCAGCAATCCCATTACTTGGTATATACCCAAAGGATTATAAATCATGCTACTATAAAGAGACATGCACACGTATGTTTATTGCGGCACTATTCACAACAGCAAAGACTGGGAACCAACCCAAATGTCCATCAATGATAGACTGGATTAAGAAAATGTGGCACATATACACCATGGAATACTATGCAGTCATAAAAAAGGATGAGTTCATGAACTTTGCAGGGACATGGATGAAGCTGGAAACCATCATTCTCAGCAAACTATCACAAGGACAGAAAACCAAACACTGCATGTTCTCACTCATAGGTGGGAACTGAACCATGAGATCACTTGGATACAGGGCGGGGAACATCACACACTGGGGCCTGTCGGGGGTGGGGGGAGGGGAGAGGGATAGCATTAGGAGAAATACCTAATGTAAATACGAGTTGATGGGTGCAACAAACCAACATGGCACATTTATACCTATATATCAAACCTGCACATTGTGCACATGCACCCCAGAACTTAACGTATAATAAAATAAATAAATAAATAAGTTATTTCTATGGAATTCTTTCACAAACAAATTGTACATTTTCTGTCTTCTCTCTTTTTAAACAAAGCATTCTTAATTGATTTTAACTTTCCTTGCTTTATATTGTGCTATACTGGTCTCCAAGTTCACTTTTATAGAAAAAAAAAAAACCAAAAAATTAATTTGTATTCAAGATTCAGAGAAGAAATCAAGGAATAAATCAATTTCCTTCAAAGAAGCGAGTAAGTTTTGTTTAATTTCCAGCAAAATGTGTAGCTTATTTAATTCAGCAGTTTTTTAATAATCATCGTGACTTAAAACATATCATTTCTAGATACTCGATAGTTAGAATGGATTATCTGGGAAGTAATCATTGGCAGTAATTCCCAATATACCAGAATACATATGAAAATCTACCTATATTCACCTTATAAAAACGGCCTAAATTTGCCTTCTGAAAAAAAAAATACAGTAAGAGATGCCTACTAATACTATCAGAAGTAGTCAGAGAAAATATAAGACTTAAAAACAGTAATTTAACAATAAGGCATTTTATGGATCCTAAGATGATTTGTGTATGTGCCAATTTAAAAGCCTCCTGTTTTCCACTAGATTAAGGTCAGTGTATCCAAATAGCTCAGCTTTATTACTGAAACACTGCCACTCAATAAACAGATTAAGTTGCTAAGAATAAATTATATATTAATGTTTTACATCTGTCAAGTTTTTAAATACTTTGGTAACTTATTGGTAGCTTATCCCAGGTTTGGTTTTGGTTTTGTTTTACTCACCAACTCAAACTTAAGACTGATTCAACTTTTTAAAATGGAAATATCAACAGTTCTTGTTCTATAGCCAAGATTACTTCTACTTTTACACAAGATCCATCTGGCTGTCTAGAGGACAGAAACAGGGTAGTGAGGAGTTAAGTTCCTTTTTTACATATAGTACTTTTTTACATACAGAATAAAAGGACGCTATCCTATGTTTATCAAAACAGTTACCTATGGCAAAATTTTAGGTGTAGGAGACAAAACAGAACCAATCACCTATAGCTACTAGGCATCCTCACTGGGCCATGTAACTACTTAGGCAGGGTTAACATAACCTGGGATATCATAATTGTTTATCAACATGACAGTCATTGCTGTGAGATGAGGCCTGGAAGTTTCCTGTATAGTTAACAATCCAGCAAATAATCCAAAATAACAGATGACTATTTGGAACCAAAAGAGGAAAAAAAAATCTTTTTTTGGCTACAAGATCTAACACTGCCAATAAAATAATAATAATAATAAAGCCCCAAAGACTGAGACAATTTAGTATGAAAAATGTAAGAGCTCTAGAGCCAGAAAGATACAATGTAACATTATCAAGATCTCCCAAAAAGTTCACATTTTTTGACCATGTATTCACACGTCTAGGACGGTCACAGCCAAAATAATTTAAAATAGTAAAAGAAAAATAAAATTAATTATTATTATGGCTTCTGGGTGGTAAATGGTTAGTAGCAATTTTTTGTCCTGATTCTTTATGGAACTTTTGAATACAGAACTGTGGCAGACCTAGGATTCAAATTTAGGACTAAGAACCAAAATCCAGGCTCTAGACCTTCTTCTAATATAAGAGGCTTCCCAATGCCTCAAAAGAATTGTCACTCAGAAAAGATGAAGCTGACTTATATTTCAGTATATACAAAGAATCTCAAAATGCAGGGTATTCCGTAATGAATTTATTTTGAACAACAAAATACTGTTACAGAGGACTCTGGTAAGAACACAGAGAAAAACAACACATGGAGAAAGACCATCTTCAGGCAAGAGAAGTGGAGCTGCCTGAAGAAATGTGGTGATAAAAGACGAGGCTAGGAACCACTAACATCTTCCTCATACTTTCCAGAATCATTTACATTAGGCAGAATACGTTTAACGGCGTGACTTGCAGAAAAGTTCCTACAGCCTTGCTTGAAATTCTGTTATTTGGGGTCACACAGGAAGTTAAGAGGAAAATATCCCTGAGTAGGTTTAGCAGTGATAATTCCTCACATCAGTATAGTATAACCTAGTATAGAACAGATTAATCAAATAACTTTCCTGACACCCACCTATTACACAATGGAAAAATGCCAAGTGATAGTGTGTGCCAATAAGAAAGGATGCTGAGACTAGACAGTCAGGAGACAGTGTGCAGACACAGAAAAGTAATACCAAGAAGTAAAAATGAGAATGGGATAGGAGAAAAAAAGTAACAAGGTACCAAATGTTAATTTCACTTTACAATCTTACCTATGTTGAACATGACTCACTGGAGCACTGACCTCCTGGGCCCAGGTGATTCTCTTGCCTCAGCCTCTCATATAGCTGAAACCACAAGTATGCACCACCACACCTGGCTAATTTTTTAATTTTTTGTAGAGACAGGGTCTCACCATGTTGCCCAGGCTAGTCTTGAACTCCTGGACTCAAGCAATCCTCTTGCTTGCCTCCCAAAGTGCTGGGATTAAAGGTGTGAACCACCACACCCAGCCAAAAAGAGAAGATTTTTAAAAGTAAACTTCTAGTTGAAAGATATATCCCAAATAAATTCAAATTGATGTCAATTTTGGTCTCCTCTACCTTTATACTTTTCTAATTCTTACTAACAAGGAACTAAATTCCATTCCATTTCTCTTTTTCCTTGTCAAATTTGGGAGAGTGAACTGGAAAAAAAAAGAAAAAAAAAAAGAACAGATCCTTTTTTAACCCATGTGTGTTCCTCTTGAAACTTTCCACCAAAGAGAAACTCTTCTTGTCAAAGGTATAAAGATGCCTTCCAGTATAGAAAGTGTTTACAGATTAACTTAAATTTGCTAAGTTTTTTTCAGCATCAGTAATAAATAGATCAATTTTATCACTACAGTCTGCTGGGTAGGTCTAAATTACTGCACTAAATAGCTATAAAATTAATAATAATATATGGCAAAGTACAGAACTATTTAGGTATCCTGGGGGTGAAAAATACAGAAATAAAAAGTAATAGATTAATCCTAGAAAAATCTCTAAAGGAAATAAATTTAGGACTGGATTTTGAAGATGTGTAACAAATACTTTGGCTGTAACTGAGTATTCATATTAGGTACTAATGGGAAATGAGTTTGGGAAGATATGAGCTGAGAGAGTTGTTGGAGGATATTAAATTTTAGAACAGAGAATGACCACTTCAAGGAAAGAACATAATGCTCTATTGGGTTAATTTCCTCAAAATCCAAATTCTCAGAGCTCAATAGTGAAAATGTTTATTTTACAAGAAAGCATAAAAATAATATCAATATGAGACAATTAGTTTGACTTTTAAAGACAGACAATTAGTTTGACTTTTAAAGACAAACATGTCTCATATTTCTGTACCAACTTAAGTCATTAACTTCCAGGTTGGATACCAACTTAACTGATAACCTAGCTAGTTAATTCCATAGGACAGAAACTAAAACAGCTTATTTTCACTCCTTGGAAAATAAAGTGCTTACACAAAGCAAATGAAAAATCTGTTTGCCCTTCACACTACTAGCTATTGATTCAATTCAGTAGCCTATGTCAGTCATATGCATAAAATTTTAACAAGGAGGCTGAAGTTTTGCCTAGATTGAATAAGCTTCTCTTCCTTTCTGAACTTCAGTTTTTATTATATTTTTAAACAAACATACAGCAAAAAAAGAGAAATTTCAGAAAATTGACACAGAAGTCAAAGGCTGAATTACTTTGAAGTACGGAACTTGAATCATTCTCTTTTATGGTATCTGGGCCTTGCATGGGGCTTAGTGCATAGTAGGTATGCAAGGCACATTTGCTAATTAAAATCCAAATGCCTTGCCAATAAGAGGATTAATGCTTGGAAGAATCCCAAGCTACCTTCCTGAACCAAACATCTGAAAATGTTCCAATTCTACAACATTAGAAGGTACTTTCCAACAAGTCCTAAGTGCCGTGCTAACATTGTAATCCAGTCAAATGCAACTGTAGTACTACATCTTTTGCATTTTTGACATAGAAATTTGGGTCTAAGATATTTTAGCACATAAACGAGTTCGTGGGAAAACTTGTCCCATTTCCAAATTTCACTTTTATTCTTACAAGCTAAAATATAATCAAATTAGAGTCCTGAACTAATGGTAACCTGCATGCTGATCCTAGATTCACCAGTAACTAGCTATACGACCTTGAGCATATTTTTCTCCAAGGTTTAGTTTTCTCATCTGTAAAATTAGAAAAACTGGGCACTTAAAAGCCTTTCTTGTGGAAATGCATTGCAATTTACATTGAAAGGCATAAAAAAAAAAAAGACAGATTGATGGATGGAGGAATAGGTTAATGTATAATAAAGCAAGTACAGTAAAAAGTTAAGAAAATAATCTTGGTGGTAGATATATCTCCTTCACACAAAAAATCTGATCACTCCACCCAACCTCCTGTCTTTCCTATTCCTGGAAATAGTACCACCACCAGTTACTCAAAGCAAAAACCTAGAGGTTCTCTTGAAGTCCTCTCCCTTCCTTACCTGCAATCAATCAGTTAAGTCTTATTTAGTTCCTCTTTAAAAACATATCTCAAATCTATCCACTTCATTTCACTGCCACTATTCTTATAAGTCCAAGCCATCATTTATTTTCATCCAAACTAAAGGGTTTCCCTTCTTCCACTCTTGCCCTCCTTCCACATCACAAACAATGACTTTTTGACATACATACCAATCATTCTCCAACTTTATACTTTCCAGTGGCATTAAGAATAAATAAAATCCAAACCCCTTACTGTGGCTAACAGACCCCCACTGGTCCCCGTCTACTTCTTCAATCTGATCCCTCTCACTTTCACCCCTCATTTAGTTGGTGCCAGCCATATCAGCCTTTCTATTCCTATATCGAACCAGGTTCTCATATTTGTGTTTTACAATTCTCTCTGAGTAAAAAATTTTCAGAGGGCAGATGCCTGCCTCCCAGTCATTCAACTCACAATGGACATGTCCCCTCCTCAGGGATGCTTTCCCTGGCCACCCAATCTAAATAAACTTCACATTAAAAGTGCTAAGGAAATTCTCATCTGCACTGTAACACATTTTTTCTACCTATCTCCTGTAATCAGAGGAAATTTTTTTTTTTATTTACCTGTTTTTAGAGACAGGGTCTCACTATGTTGCTCAGGCTGGTCTTGAACTCAGGCAGTTCACCTGGTCTCAAATCTCATGAGTAGCTGGGACTATAAGCCTGTGCCACCACACTCAGCCTTTAATACTTTAATATTGGATTAACATGCCTCAATTAGATAATTTTTTATACTTTAATAAGAAATTCCAAGAGATTATTTGCTTTTCAAAAATCTATTTTCTTTTTTTTTTCATTTATCATCTTATGAAAGAATAGAAAAATCCAATTTGAACCAGTTTTTTTTTCCTTTTTTTTTTTTCTTAGAGATAGGGTCTTGCTCTGTCATCCAGGCTGGAGTACAGTAGCACGATCATAATTTACTGCAGCCTCCAACTCCTGGGCTCATGTGATCCTCTTATCTTAGCCTCCTGAGTAGCTGGAACTACAGGCACGTGCCACCACACCCGGCTAATTTTTTTTTTTTTTTTTTTTCTGTAGACAAAAGGTCTCACTGTGTTGCCCAGGCTGGTCTCAAACTCCTGGGCTCAAGCAGTCCTCCCACCTCAGTCTCCCAAAGTGCTGGGATTTACAGATGTGAGCCATCATGTCCGGCCCACTATTTTTTTTTAAGATGATTTTTTTAAAGATGGGGTTTGGTTTACTAAATGCAATCCAGTTCAAATCTCTAAAACAAGGGCACCAAATTAAAAGTAAAATATTATCTATCTTGAGGCCAGGCTTCTGGAATATTTTTAAATCTAGAAACAGAAAAAAACATATATACGGATGTTCTGGGGGTAAAGAGCAGCTCCTGAATATGTAAGCAAAACCAAACACAACAGAAAAGAGAATACCACTCTGGGTTTATACCTAACTCCTCAGACTGAACAACTCACAATGGAGAAGTTAAGAGCACTGCAATCAGCTGACAGGATCTATACAAGGTCAGTTTTTTCTTTGGAAAGCAGAGAAGCATGGGAGAAGCAATCGGAGTACAGAGAAAACAAAACTGCAGAGGGAGCAAATCAAAGGCAGCAGAGAAGTTGAGGTTGTGAGCCACAGACACAGACAGTCCAGATCTACAGTCTGCACCTTAGCAGTTACTAAAGGCGTAGGCAGGAGCTACAATAGTAAAGAGACAGATATCACCAATGCCCCAGTATTGTACAAGCAACTACAATAGTCTCCACAATGTTTATACATGAAAAATATTACTGAATTTTTAAAAATGTATTTATAAGTGGCATTCCTCAAGACAGCCTTCAGTCTTTTTTTTTTTTTTTTTTTTTTTTTTTTGAGACAGTTTCACTCTGTTGCCCAGGCAGTATGCAGGTACAAGCATGGCTCACTGCAGCCTCGACCTGCCTGGGTTCAAGTGATCCTCCCACTTTAGCCTCCCAAGTAGCTGGGAATACAGGCACACACCACCATGCCCAGTTACCTTTTATTGTATTTTTTTGTAGAGATGGGGTTCCGCCATGTAGCCCAGGCTGGTCTTGAACTCCTGGGCTCAAGCAATCCACTTGCCTTGGCCTCCCAAAGTGATTTCAGGCGTGAGCCACCACATCTGGCCTTTCAATCTTATTCTAGTGTAAAATGTGTTGGGAGAGGGAACTTGGACTAAATACTTACAAGTTACGAATACCCTGCTCTGGAAATTCTCATATATCACACTTCACCCTGCCTTCTTTAGCTTATTTATCTACATCAGAAAATCTGAACTCAAACTTTTAACATACTGCCTCTTTTTCATGAGAAGATGGCACATAAGCATAAATAAATAAACAAAATTAAAAGTAAATAAAATTCCAGGGTATTCTATTACAGCTGGCAACACACAGAAATTCGTAATTTCATATAATTCCAAGAGCAAGAAATAAAATAGGGCTGAATCTCATGAAAACTAGGCTTGTAGGATGATTCTAGAATGATTCTAGACCTTGGGGTGAAGAGTTTTGTGGCCCTTCCCTCCAGTGCTCTGCTATTAACACCACTCAGTTCTACATCATGCATTAGGTTTTTCTCATCGTTTCACTCATAGTTTCTTCTCCCATAATTTTAGTTTGTACATGGTTTCTCATGACCTCTCCAACTTTGATTCTCCCTCCCCGCCCCCACAATCAGTGTGATATGTTCAGGAAATGCCAACAACTACCACCATAGTCAACTGTGATAACAGTGAAAAGGGAGCTGGGAAGATATGCACAGTAGCAAACCACTATATAGTGTTTCTACCATACAGATATAGTAGATATAAAGAAATTCAAAAGCATAGATAATTGTAAAATGTGGGCAAATAATTAGGAAATAATTTGTTTTGAGTATTTATCTTTGTTTTTATTAAATTATTATGCAACTTAATTCTTAAAAATGGCTGTTTGACAACTCACAAAATTCTTGAAAATTTAACAATTGGTCTTGCAAAAGAATACAGCCAACTCACTTCAAAACCTCTCAGCTGAAGCTCCCACCCTTAATTGGAAATTCTTTCCTTTTTGTCTTAGTTCAAAAGACAATAAGCCCCACTCATCTTTTTAAGCTACAGAAATCACAGGTTGCTGACCAGCCAATAAACTGGTTGCTTTGGGTGAGGTGCTCTCCCTGCCTGTGGCTTGCAGGGGAGGTTGACGTCAAATGATATCAAACATAGATGTCTCAGCAGCAGTTATGGGAGGTGGGAGAGATACAAGCTAACCTAGGACAAAAAGTTACTACAGATGTTAAAATCCCTTGGCCCTATGATTATTCCAACTACAGGCCATTATGAAAAGAGAAGCTCACAGAAATGACAATGAGCCATCAAGAATGGGCTAAATTGTAATTAATATACTATGTTTAAGAAGATGAGTGCCTGGGAAAGGATCAGCTATCACTCAGCGACTTCCTCCTTGTAGTATGCCTTCCTGAAACGCAGAAGTTGGAAAACTAAAAACTGTCTTTTCCAGACTCCTTTATAGCTAGTATTCTGGATGCAAATCTGATTCCACCATTAAGATGCAGGACACAAGATATGGAAGGCAGAAGTAAAGCAGAGCCCCATTGGCCTGTAGCTTTCAGCAGCTTTCAGCTTGTACACAAGGTCATGAACATGTCAGTATCCAGTCTCCAGCTTTGAACTAAAACAAAAAAGAGAGAATTTTCAATTAAGGAGTAGAACCGTCAGCTAGGAGGTTTTACAGTGATGCAATGGAGTTGGCTGTACTCTCTTGCAAGGCCAATTATTAAATTTTTATGAATTTCACAAATCAGTTGTCAAACACAGCCACTATTAAGAATTTAGTTGCATAAAATTACAATTAAATTATATTAAAAACATAATTAATCATTTTCTAATTATTTTAGAGACAATGGCAAAGGCAGCAGGGACCAGATTCATCATAACAGCATCTAGTCACCAGTTCACGAGCATCAAGGAGAAGCTGTCACAGCAATGGCCAGATCCTACATTCCAGACTTCCAGCAGTTACAATGTTAACAGCAGTGGCTGCCCTGATCACCTGGATCACAGCTACAGTAGCATTTTCTTGCCACTGTTTCAGTAGCAACCTCCTGATTGCCACTTTCCTGACTCAAGCAGAGGTGGCAGCTCCCACTGTGGACTGTTTCAAGGTGTCCTGGAAATCATTCTCAGAGGCTCAGTCTAGAGCCCAGCCCTCCAGCCCTTTCAAAAGATTCCCTAAGCAATTAATTCCCTGCATTATATCCCCTTCTGTTTCCTGCACTGAACCCTGACTGATATTGCAAAGGAGTATGTGGTAAATGGATTGCAGAAAGATTTTTTCATGTCCACATTCATGCTGTTCTTCCACTGACCTACAAAGAGCCCAAGCAAGACTCCATCATTCCCATTAGTCTACCTAACAAACATAGTTTCCCCAGAACTGCCACCTCAATCCCCTTTCTTCAGTTTTGCCTCACAGGGAATACCTTGTCCTCTGCTGTGGCCAGCTTTACGTGGCCTGAGACATCTTCTTGTCCCGCACCCAGCAAGAGCACAATCCCTCTTCTCAGTTATGCCATCACTGCAGCCGAACAAGCTTGAGGACAGTGAGCCAAAGGTATCCTTGACAGTTCATCTCCCACAACCCTGAGTGTCCTCTTGCCCTAAAATTTATCTTCCCCCAATGCATCCCCTAGTCACTCAAGGAAAAAAATAAAAGCACAGCTGACTCTAAATCAGACTTGTAGCATCAGCCCCACAGAGAGAGCAAGAAACAGTGTTAGCAGTCTACCATATAGCAGGAACTATTCAGAAACATTTTACTGAAAGCATTGTGAAGAATCTCCGATAGGAAAAATGATTTTTCAAAGCTAAAGCTAAAGTAACTAACCAAAATAAATACTTAACTATTCAGCTATTATACCAGCTAACAATTTTGACTGTGTAAATCTTAATCATAAGTTACACCATTATAAAGGCTTAAAATGCCCTGAAAATCCATGGCATATAATGATTAAAATTCTTTCCTGTGCTGCAGGTTCGGGGATACCACTGCCTCTAACCACATTCATGCACACTGATGGCCTAACAAACTGAGTCTAGCACATTACACTTAGTTCCAAGAGAATGCAGATTTCATAAAGAAACAGAATATGTTTAACAGGTCCTTTTTTCGCCAATTTTCTACACAAATTCTTATGCCAGAAACTAGAACAATGAAAGGAACTAAACAATCTGAGTTCTAGTCTCTGCTCTACCATGCTTATGCTATGACTTCTGCCATTGCTAAGCCTCGAATTGTTTATCCATATACTAAGATTGGATTGCTGTGTTTCCTTCCACTCAAGTGACTGACTTTAGCCCAGAGAGAAAACATAACAGCGTAAACACTTAAAGAATAAGAGGTTCCAACAATCCACAACCTGCTTTACCTGCCTCTTCAAAGGATCCATCTTAGGTGTGCAATACTCGAAGTCTAGAAGGAGAAAGGTCTACTTAAATGCAATGAGTTATTCTTTTACCTAGCTTAGCTAAATTTTATTCAAGCAAAGTGTACTTTTGTGAGAAGGGTCTGCATACTTATAAAAGATCCCTAATTCTAAAGTACGTTCCTTTCTACATTCACCAGAACATTTTCTAGGCTCTCAGTAAATGTGCTAACACCTTCCTGGTGAGTGAATTACAGAGGAAGTAGAAAGGAAACACAAGAACAAAATATTATTTCTAATATGCAATTTTCCCAAGTATATTTATCCTAAAATATGTATCTAATATATTTATCTGGGCTTTTACATATTATAGAGAATATTTTCCGCAATAAAAATATTCTGCTGAAAATATTCTCTTACAAATGTAGCAAGAATACTAACTTTCTGCTTGATTAGCAATTCTTGGAAATAACTACTTTATCATGCAGCTTAGCTGTACAGATTAAACTGCACGGCCACAAACTCTGTTTTGAAACAGAACCAAGCAGTGAAGCCTTTATTGTAAGTACTTGCCCAGTGTTTTACTGCATTTAACACCCACGCAAACAATTCAGAATTGTGCTTTTTCCTTTTACTAGAAAAAGGAAGACAGGTTTTTTGGATATAATGAACTAATATTCTATCCAGAAAGTAAAGAAAGACTCAACGCTGTGTCAGTTCATAATTCTTCCTGTGAGTCTGTGTGAACTTTCACGTGTTAATCTCTCTAACTCAATTTTCTCATGTGTAAAGGAAGATGATAATATCTGACTCATAGAGAATAAAAATATATAAAGTTCTTTATAAGAAAACATGAATGCTAATATATACATCCTTATAAACCAAATAAGACAGGTATAAAATGCCCTGACATGGAAGTTATTACTCTAAATGACAGCTAATATGTTGTGATAAGTCCTCAATATTCCTATTAGAGTAAGGTTGTCTAAACTTAGGGTTGTCACCCAAGGGAGGCTGAAGTGTCATTTCAGTCATCAGCATTACATTGTGAGATTGCTCTAGTTAGCAAATCTAATTCTATTCAAAGGAAATTAAAATTTTCACTAGCATGTGCATTCTAACTTAAACACTGAAATTAGTGAATAGAATTCTTAGCTAAAATTAATAATATTTTGACAAAGTGTTCTGCTGAAAGCTACCAAGTTGGATTGAGATACAATTCTGTGAACAGAGGTAATAAAGACTATATCATTTTACTAGATTTCATGGCTTAATTAATCAATATATGGAATTAATATTGGAGAACTCTAATTATTACAGGCTTTTGAAGTAGAAGCAGTAATTTTCCAAATATGGTCTAAAGTCATCCGAAGGGTGCCCAAACTAATCTAACAATACAAAGTACTTGCTATGATGATTCTTACTGGCAAATCACACCCAATTCCATGAATGTTCATTTTTATGTACAGTAAGTGCATTCACCAATAATCTACCAACATTTAATATTCACTAAAGATCCAACTACCAGATGACACTTGGCAAAACTACAAAACTCCTACTGTGCATGGCATATATAAACTCAAAGTTATTACTAAAATTATTATTTTTATGGCACCAAAGCTGAAGACATTGATACAGTAATAGAATATAAAAATAGTATGAAATGTTATTTGGAGCACCCACCCCTCTCTTTCAACTGTCTACCCCTGCTCTGAGTACCTCTGTTCTCCCAGTGGAGGCTATAAAAAACTTTAAAAAGGGGATCAGATTTTATCCTGCAATATCTGCCAAATAACATTTTTGGTAATTAAACAGTTACCACATGACACCATACTTAAGTAATGTTTCAAAACTCTTATATACCCATTTTATATAAGAGTCAGTGAAGTAGTTCCTTTCACATAATTTCCACGAAATCATGGTTAAAAAGTATTATTAGGGAGCCCTCAGAAATACTACAATAATGACATTGTCTCAATTTGTGTTTAAAAAGACCATTGTTTTAAAAGCAAAACACCTTGGAAAGTAATTCGTTTAGAATTTCATTTTCAAAATGGTAGAATAAAATTGTTTTAAAAACGTAATTGTTTAACTAGGCTAATAATATTTTTCTCAATGCCAAAGACTGTTAATCTTCCAAAGTATTCCATCTCCCTAAAAATCAACAGCATTGATTTTAGAGAATCTTATTTAATTTTTTTAAAGAAAATTAAATAAAAATTACAAGAAATACTTTTAAATTGTGCACATTAAGGTATCAGTATTTCAATTTTTTAAAGAAATAACTTTTAAATAAAAGCAATTTTTTATTTAAATATTTGAGTAAAAGCAGTGCCTAGAAATCAAATCAGTTTTGGTTTACAGCCAATATCTGTTTTTCTAAAAATGATAGTTTTATGACAACTGTGTACTACTTCTGGCCTCCAAGTAAGAGAGATTAAATGTTTTAAAAGAGATCATTTCCTGTAGTATTGATTCCTCGGCATCCCACCCTTTCAGGAACTCCCCCTCCCTTACGTCTTGGGGTTCTGCTACAGTTATTAATCATATTATGCTATTTATACCCAGCTGCAAGGGTAGACATGTCCCCACGCCTGACCAATCATGGCACTTCATTGTCCTCTCCTCTCTCTACAATAATTGGTCCAAGAGATGGGCACAGGGCCAAAGTCCCTGCATGAGATTTGTTATTAGACTCCAAAAAGATGAGAAGCTTTAAGGACCCTGTATGACTTCGGGGTTCAGAGCTACCTTCACCGCTACACTGACAGTCTAGCTGAGAAAAAATCCAACCCAGAAGAAAAGAGAACCAAATAATAATTCTAATGACCAACACTTGAGAACAGAAGTTAGCTGTTACTGATCTATGCCTGGATTTTAATGTATGTAAGTCAATAAATTTCTTCTTAGCCTACATTAATCTCAACAGCGTTTCTGTCACTTGCTACAGAATTCTTACAAATACAGAAACTGATATGTAAATTAAGATTTTTTTCTTTCCTGCTGAGATCTAAGCTATATATCACAAGATACTTGCTGCAAACTAGATAACCATATCCAAAGAGTAATATATCTCTGGAACTACTCCATTAAAGTGAATTTTTAAAAGTTATTTTATTGGAGGAAAAAGCAAAGCCAATTTAGCTTAATTCTATTTAAGTTCAGAAAATGAAGCATTAATAAATACTTGTTTTTTTCCTACCTTGTAGGATATTTTCCTTTCATAAAACTACTTCTGTTAAATGCCATTATGTATAGTAAAATCCCATTTTTCATAGTCATGTGTAATTCCCAATCAGAACAACGAGATACAGGCTTGCCTCTCACAAACTCCCCTGAAGCCAGAAAATAATAATTACGTGTTTCAAATTATGTGCAAAAAAACCAGCAAAAGCAAAGAGGCTAAAATGCCAGAAAGTTTTAATTAAGTAGATCGGTTACCGTTCACATTGTATACCCAAGACAATAAAAAGGGAAGCCTCCAAATAGAAAAGATCTTAATTATTAATAAATTTGAAACAAAATTTTTTCCAATTACCACTGCATGATATTTTTTAAAACCAAACCCTAAACTCCAAACAAATTATGGCAAAAAAGTTTAACCCTTCATAACCCATACAGAGTCTCTAAAACAATATCTCTCAGTATGTGTTAATAAAACAAGTACCTAATCACCTATAAGGACAGCGTGTCCTTTCTCAGGTATTTAGATATGTCATAAGTCAAATTATGGTCCTCAAAATGTAATCTATGTTCCCCTGGCCATGTTGGGATGACTGAAATGGGTGGGGGCTGCAGGTAAGTGGGTTGCTCCTGGAAACCACTGCAATGCAGCTGAGTGGCTGCATCAGGATAAATTGCTAGGGTTCAGGGAAGAATGGAGATATAATGATGCCACCCTTCTCACTGGAAGCCAGTCGGCTGTGGCTGTAACAAAAGGGAAGGCGGGATTAAGATGAAAATATATTTTTCAATTCCCTTTTTCCTAGGCTAGCAAATTGTGTTTTCCCATAAAACTGGCTAGACTTCCAAAACAACAAAAATAGGGCTATTAACCATAAAGAACAGAACTAATGGTACATTAAGGGTTAAATAAAAATATTCATAGTATAACATTATGAGTGGAATGAGGCTGAAGGCAGAAATAGCATTAAGCACCTTAGAGCATTATTTCGAGGAGATAACACATTTAAAAAAAACTTACAGGAGACTATTCATAATGGAACTACCTATACATTTAAACAATTAATATGATCTTCCCTCTATTTTCCAATTATTCTATAATGTGGATTTTGTGCCCTTGTACAAAATAATTTCCAATTATTCTATAATGTGGATTTTGTGCCCTTGTACACAAACACACACAAAATTATTGAGATGGACCACACTGTAAACCTTTCTGTATGGAACGTTTTTGCCCTGTGTTTTTCTCCTCCTCTGCTTCTTACCTACTACTGGAAAGATCCTAATTCCACTCAACCAAAATCTGTCATCTTTCAAAACCCAAACAAGTTCAAAATTATTCACAATTCATTCCTCAACCACTCAAGTCAGAAAACAAGGGCAGATGGCGTGGATCCTACCAAGATATTAAAAAGAAAAAAAGAAAAGAAATCATTCTTTCACTTCATGTACACATTTAATTTCCATAAATTCACTGTACATACCTAGATGAGGATAATTTCTTAGAATTAAAAGTTTTTTTGTAAAACATATCTTTTTAATGCAAGCAAATTACTTCTTCTGGTATTCGACCAAAAAACTGCAATTGGTTCCAACATGGGTGGAAAAGTGGCATTTGGACTCATCCTACAAACAGTACAATATAGTATTTTATGCACAATTTAAGGGCTTTTTGAAAAGACAGTTTTGCTTATATTTGATTTCCCTCTTTTTGTGATGACTTGAGAACCCAAATCCTTTCTAAAATGCAGCTCCACTACTTTTTCGAATAGCACACTATGCAGCCAGTTAGTCTCATTTTCACCAAAATTCATACTAAGACCTACCTAAAGAGTTTTAAACACTGGCAGAAAAGTGAAAAAGGCAAAACCCTTACTACAGGTATTCCTTACCAATGAGTCATTAAGCTCCCACTAAACTGCCAGCTTCTTGAAGACACACAATTTCTGACTCATGTTTATATCGCCAGTGCTAGCTCCATGCTGGCACTTGGTGGGTGCACCACTAAGTATTTGCTGAGGGAATGAATGCGTGCCAGTAATAGGACTTCTTATTTTTTCTGTATTAAATAAAATATGCATCTTTTCTTGGAAAACATTCTGAATAATAGTTGTTCTTCAAAAACAAAATATTAGCAAGATATTTTGTTAGCAAAATTAGCTAGAAGAGCAATGAATGGATTTGCCTCTTTCCCTACAAACATGTCTCATAACACCAGCTTCTAAGTTTCTGAAACTCTTACTTTAGACAATAGTTTTAAATTCAGGGCATTCACTCTATCTACCAAAATGTAGTATTTCAAGAAAATTATTGCTCAAAATTTCAGAAGACAAAAAATAATTTATTAAAGGCGAAACGGTTCTAGTCTTCAATACCAAAACACTTATCTTTTGTCAAATCACACACACACACACACACACACACACACACAACCCTGACATTCACAGATTTTGAAATTGGTAAATAATACTGAAGTAATCCATAAAAACAAGATTCTCTTTCAACATACTCCCAAAACACTAAGTCCCCCCAAAAATTACAAAGCACTTAGGGGTTACATAGTAAAGACTCTGTATGAAACTATCACTTGAGAAGATTAGGCACTGACTTCATAAGTCAGACACTTGAATGAATTTAGAAGATTTGTTTTGTCGCCAGTTTACATAAATTAGCAGAAAAAAAATCACAAAAATTTGTCTCTCAAAACAAAAGGTTTTATAAAGTATGTGCCAGGATCTCAGAGGAAAAATAATGTATACGTCCCAGGAACACAGAGTTATGTTACATGAAAATCAGTTTTAGCAATAAACTGAATAAAATTTAAAATCATCTAAAAATCAAATGGCCAAATGTTAAGTATTTGTTTGTACCAGTAAGATAGCAAGAAATTAAAGAATTATTAAAATGCCTCAACCTAGGAAAATAAAGTTTTACAAACTAAATTATAAAAGTCTGGGGGTGAGGGCAGGATCAATAAAGTACCCAAAATGATATACTAGAAAATGATATACAAGAAAAGTTAACAAAAGTATGTGTGTGTGTATATACATATACATATATGCATATAATATATATATACACACACGTATATACATATATACATACTGAGATATTTGGATATAGTACTCTTAGAGAATGATGGAGAGAAAATATTTTTTAAGTACAAAGATGTTAATGATATAATAAAAGTCATCAAATATCATGCAAGCAAATCAGCTTGCAATTGCTAAGGTGTAAGCCCATTACTCATATGAATTGAAGGTGTCAATGAACAGAATCCAAAACCTGAACCCCTGAGTTATTAAGAGCTTTAGGGAAAAAAGAAAAAAAAACTACCAAAATTTGAAATAGGAAATTTTCAACTTCAAGGTTTATCAAAATGTAATGCTACTTTCCCTAGCAAAGGGGCTTGGCTTGCTTCTTTTTCTATTGTTTCTAAAATAATCTCTAGGTCTCTAGATTTTCTTGTTTTAAAAAAGGTACGAAGAAATGTATTGTAAGCCTGGGAGGCTAACAATTAACTCTAAATTCTCTTACCTTTCCCATCCTCATATAATACAACCACCTAAACAAAACTCATCAAAAATCCTAAATATCCCACTAAAAAAAAAAAAAAAAAAAAAAAAAAAAACTAACAAAAAGATTCAAGAGATAAGAAAGGCACAGCATTATTTTTATTTGAATAACATAAATATTTCCTATTTTAAAGCATCCAGTAGTGTTTCTTCACCAACAGGAAGTGTATTTCTAGGAATTAGCCCATTTTAACAAAACTCCCTTACAAATTGGATGTCCCAAAGAGTCAGCAGTGAAGACTTTTACCTACCTTTAACATTACCCAGGAACTGTTTCAACTTGGTTTTTATTTAAACAAACTATAACATTGTTTCCTATGATTTCCATCCCTGGATACACTACTTGCTTAGGGTAGTTGAATGTAATGTGTGCATATGGCAGTAGACAATGATTTCATGTATTTATTGTACCGATACTTAATCTCTGGAATAAAATACACATAATTTACTGAAACTTACTGAAAGCAAACTGCTGAAATATGAGCTTAAAGGTGTATGAAGAAGCATAAAACTCTGCACAATTAGAGTCTGGGGAATTTCAGAACAAAATTCACTACTTGTATATTAATCAGAATAGAAATGGTTTAAGAATATATACTCTGTAGTAAAATCAAAGAAACTAAACCTAGTCATAGTAGTATATCACAAAACAATTTCACCAGAGGTCCAAAGTTCAACTTTACTACTGGGAAAAGACAAAGTTCAAACTCAAATGACAACTTTTCTCTTTGCAGAAAAATAAACAACAGGGTCATAATTAAGAAACAAGTAACTAATCGAGCCAAGCAATAGGTGAAACCAAAGATTCTTCTATAAGCGGGCAAAGTACTGACTACTAAGTACTACACTAAAACAATAAGAAACTACCTAATTGATTCAGGAAAAGCTTCAGATTAGAAACCATATTTTAAAGAGTAACTTTCAATTCTCTATTAAAGATTATAACAACAAAAAAAGGGAAAAAAAATCAAAGCTAAAGACAGTAGCTGCCAGAAAGATGTTAAGTCACCTGGCTGATAGTACTGGCTTTGGGAGGGCGACCCTTAGCACCTAAGTGAAAAGAAGGCTAGGAAGAATCAGTGCTACAAAAGCCATGTTCTACAACCCAGCTCATCCTTCTGCCATGGACTTTGTCAGAAGACAATATGAGAACATTTCCGATTAGTATTACATCTTACAAAAATGGTTAAATTTTACTCTTTCACTGTGCTAGTCTCTAAATGTCATGTTATGAATATGGTTTAATAAAAAGCAACTAGTCAAGACAAGAGAGTGCTAAGTACACTTTACAATACCTTATTAAATTGAAAAATCAATTTCTGTCACAAAGTTTAGATAAAAGCAAAAAATAAAACAATGTTTATGGCAAGTTTCTTTTTAAATTCCCTTACTCTATTTTCATCCTTTCCAAAATGAATCACAATAAAGAATCTTTGTCTCTTCTGAAAATAATATTTGTTTTTAATCAAACTCAAAAGTTCTACAGATAACCTCTTCAAATTCTTAATTTCTAGTATTTAAAGTCTGTTTAACCTGCAAAAATCTTGCTATTTTATAACAAATGTTGCTTTTAAGCAAAGCCATTTAAGAAAGCCATTTAATATAATACCTAACATGAGGCTATTAAGAAGCTAAGAATACTATTTTTAAAAGAGATTAAAAATTTTAAATTACAACCTGCTTAGAAACAATATTAATCTCAAATAACACAGACATAATGGTATCTTGAGAAATTACTGACACAAAGTGTCTCTTCAAAAAACAAGTGTAGTATTCAGAACTTTATTACTAATGACTACAAAATGTTCTGTGGCCATTAATACGTTATTCCCTTTATTTTGGCTAAATCTTTAAAATAGAACAGTGTCTGTGGCTGTCAAGAGGGCAAAACTGTATTACTCTAATAATGTCAACTACATACGGGGGCATAGGATGTTTATTCAACACAGTTAATATTACTAATGCTCTAAATCTTGAATTATTGTTAAATATAATATAGAGGTTGAGAAAAATGTATAACAGGTAGATTAGACTAATGTTATGAAATAGCCATCTCTTCAGTCTTCTAAAAAAGATCACAATAATTTAGAATACACCAGCTTCCATGTCAATATATCAACTTTAAAATTTCTAAAAATAAGTTATATTCTCATCTATGCCCTAACGAATCAAAACAAAACACAAAGAAATGATGCAGATGTTCTCACTATTCACTAACTCATGGGATTTGAACTAAGATTTGGCAGCTAGACTAGTAAATGCTGTCTATATAGCCTTTTGCATATTACAGACAGTGCCTGACTAGCTGAATTACAGCCCCAAAAGTCTTTCCTCTGCCTTTCACACATGGCTGTAAAAGTTAGAGTTAAGAAAAAAATTTACAAATTCTCAAAACTATACAGAAAAAGCTGTTTAAAGTCTGCCAAAGTTTTAAAAAATTAACAACAATAAAAAGAAAACCTCACCACATAAACCCATACACTTAAAATGAATACGATGGAATACGCTATAGAAAGAAAATCTTAATTATGACCTTAGGAGCATGTGAGTCTGTGTGTATACATATCCACAATACACAGACATATGTAAACTGCACCACAAACCATCAAGCCCCATTAAGCTCAAGGACTATTAAAGATATATTAATATTTCCAAAGCGAGCTGCTGAGAAAGAAATGAGAAGGAGATAACATATTAAATTTTTATCCAGAATTTTCTAGCATTTTGCCATCAAGGGATGGACTGCTACCTAGCCCAGGTAACAATTAACCAGCCCATTATATTTTGATGCACCGTATACTCAGCAGAGCACATTAAGGAAAAACAGTTTGGTTTCTAATAATGTTACAATCACAATTCTCTCTCCCACAAACATCTAAGACGACAGAACCACATTCTATCTATGCTGAAACAAAACCAACAATGCTGTCTATAACAAATTCATAAGAACTACTACATACTATCAGATCTCACTGTATGCTGTCTCTGATCAATGCTTTGAAACTGACGAGTATGCCATAAACATAACGTGCTTTGCAGCAATTTTTACTAGCATAAAAGATACCAGGGCAACAGAGGCTCCTTTAACCTACCACTTCAACAAAATTCTGTAAAATCAAAAGCGTTACAGAAGCTTTCACTCCGCTAGGCACCTAGGTCTTCCTGCAAAACCCAGACTCTATTCAACAGCTCCCTGCAAGAACACACCAGTCTGCCACATATCACATATTGTACCGTCATCGGTACTCAGACACCTGAACCACCTGGACTGACAGAGTTAGGCTGTCAGCTCTGAGATGTCTGCTAGAGTGCAAGAAACACTGAAGCAGCTAAGCCCTTCCAGGTACACCAGGTGGTAACCTTGGCACCAAGTGCCTCTATAGTAAAGTCCCTTTTTCCCTGTTAGAAGATGCGTAAGATCGTTCCAAAGAAAATGTTACAATCCTAAGGGCCTTTTTGCACAACACAGGAAAAGGCTGGCCTTCTCTAGTCAAAAACTCTTGTCTGCGGGGGGAGATGGAGCTACAAATGTAGGAAACCCAGCTTCTAGTCGCAATTCTGTGACAGCTAGCACAGCTAGCAGAGCAACCGCGCCAAGCCAGAGCTCAGTTTTCCCTTCGGCAAAATGGGACTCACCAACGCCACCCCTCCCCCTCGTCAAGGAGTCTGGCACACCCTAGAGGTCTAAGATTACCCGGGACAATACGCGGTGGGGAGGTGCCGCCGCTCCCAGGACGCCCACCCTGAAGCCCCTCTCCCCAACACCCCGAGACAGATACGCAGGGCCGGCGTACCTGGTTTCACAGTCTTGAGACGGATGGGCTCGCGGAAGTGGCGGATGACAGCCAGGGTGTCCCGGTTGGTGAGCCCGCTGACAGGCGTCCCGTTTACCTCCAGCAGCACATCGCCTGGGCTGGGCGCCTTGCCCGAGACGACGCAGCAGGTGCCCCCGCCGGGCTCCTCGCGGAGCCGCCCCAGGTAGGGGAACTCGCCACGCTCCGCGCCACCGCGGATCTCCGCGCCGAAGTCGCCCGGGGGCCCGGCCCAGGACACGGCGCACTCCTGCACCTTGCTGAGCCAGTGCTTCTTCTTCTTCAGCGTCTTCGACATCCCGAACCCCGCTGCACCATGGGGGAGACCCCGCGCGGGCGGCCGGGGCGCCGCTCCGGCCCCGTCTCAGCCCGGGGGCCCTGGGCGGCCCGCGCAGCCCGGTAAGGGGGGCCTCGCCGCTCCGGCCCCCACCCCGCGACCACAGCCCGCTGGGGGCCCGGCCGTTCCCAGACGCGAGACGCCCCTTGGACGCCCCTCCCGGCTGCGCTCCCCGGGGCTGACCGGACTCCGCGAGGGCCACCGCGGGTTAGGCTGAAGAAAGGAAAAGGGAATTGTCCCCAGGAGGTTCCAGAAGGGGCTTCGGGCGGGGTCACTGCCGCCGGCTGGTCCCTGGGCTCAGCGCCCGAGCGGCGGGAAAGGCTGAGGCGGGGGGGCGGGGAGGTGAAGGGGGAAGAGCCGGGAACGGGAAAAATCCGTGGGGGGCGCGCAGAAGCGCGCGTAGACCCGTCGCGGGATCGATCGTGGCCGCTGCGGAGCTGTAGCGCGGAGACCAACGCCTGCCCAAGCTGCCAGGAAACTGCCGCTTTCAAACCAGCCGCAACCTCCTCCTCCTCCCTTTTCCCTTCCCCCGGCCCTCGCCCATCCCTCATCCAGAGCCCCGCCCCCTCCCGCCGCGCGGCGCCCGGCGCGCTGCCGTCACAGGCTGGGCGCTTGGGAACGAGCCCCGGCCCTGGACTCTCGCGCCAGGGATTGGCCCCCGGCGGGCAGGAGGCGGACCGCCAACGAGAATGGGGACCACTGGTTGGTCGGTGCGAGTGGAGGAGGCGGGCACTAGAATGACTGAAGTTTAGAGAGGGTGGAAAAAAGAAGTTTGGAGAGTGAGGGAGGGCGCAGAGGAGGGGCAGGGGAGTGGAAGGGGCTGTAGGTCGCAGGGCCGGGAGAGGCCCTCTGCGCGGCGGCTGGAGCCGAGGAAAACTCGAATCCGAGAGGGACCGAGCTCCCCGAAGTGGGGGCGTGGCCGGCGAGTTAGGCGGAGACGCGGGCGGAGCCTCTGAGCCTGTGCGGGGCGCAGAGAGGGGCCGGTGTGCTTAGATTGGAAGACAACGTGCGGAGTCCTGAGCCGGCCGAGGTTCCGGGGCCTTTAGGGTGGCCTGTTACAGCCGATAGTTTGCATTGAGTGGATATTGCTTGTTCATTCGTTCATTCAACAGATGTTACTGAACGCCCATTGAGGCAGGGCTTCGGAGTCCGGTTGATGAAAGATATTATAAAATAGAGTCCGGCACTGCTGTATGACCTAAGACAAATTAGACAACCTCTCTGAGCCGCAGCGTCCTCAGTGAAAAGTGAAGATTACAGAAGATGTACAAAATAACTGCATAGTGCCTGACAGTGGGTGGTTGCCTCTTAAAGTTTGGTAGCTGCTGCTGCTGCTGCTGATGACGATGACGATTTTGTGTTAGATATTGTGCTAGGTACTGGGATTCAAGGGTGAAGAAAACAGAAGCCCCGCTATTGAGGAGGTTACAGTCTAGTGGGAGAGACTGAGAAGTAAGCAGACTGCCTGAGGTGAGGGAGTGGGGTGGAGGTAGAAGGTGGATTATTAAGAACTAACCTGGTAGCCAGCAGATCTGGTTGGAGTCCTGACATGCTACTTACTTGCTGTTTGACCTTGGCCAAATCTCAGTTAAAGGAGGTGAAGGGAGAACGAACATTAAATAAAAGATATCGTAGATCCCTTCCAGCTCTAATTTTTCAGAAATTTCACTTGAGCTTTCTCTCTTCCCCGGCTTGACTTACACTCTTCCCTGTCTTTGGAATGCCCTTCATCTCATCTCTTTTAAAACTCCTATCCGTCCTCATCCCAAATGCCGGCTCTTCCAGGTAGCTTTCTCTGATTTCTTGCCCTCAAGTGGAAAGTGTTTTCTCTGAGCTATGATCTTTGTTTCACTTTTGCAGCATGACATTTATTTGTGTAGTCTCCTGTCTCCCTTTAATAGTAGGTGAAAGCCCTTATAAAACTCCACACCTCAGATAGACTGGACCAAGCTTCAATAGCTGCAGTGATTTCGTTGACACCATTGTATCAGTCAGGGTCCTGGCAGGAAACAAATGGCATTTTGCAAAGATGTGGGCAGGGTGTGGGAAACCACAAGAGAAGCTGGAACCCTGAGGCTACAGCTCCTAGATCTGTCCAATCGGGAAAGAACAGTTACCGAAAAATCCAGACACACAGGGCCACCTGACAGGAGTCTGTGACCTTCAGTCAACGGATGCAGTCAGCCTAAGTAAACACCCAGCAAAGGACCTGGGGGATTTATATCTAACTCACCACCCTCCTCCAGTCTCCTGCTGGTGCTTGTCAATGGCCAAGTCCAACCAGACGCCAGAGGGCAAGGGAGGCTTTTGATATAGTTCATATCAGTCAGTTTCAGAAAAGGAAACAGTGCATCTGAGGGGAAAATATTCAGCACAGACACCATGTGGATGGCTCAGATTTAACCATATCTGAGACAAAGCTTGGAGTATTTTTTTTCTAAACTACTACCTATACTAATGGATTCCTGGATAAAATCTCCATAACCTACACATCATCTGTTTTTGCAGGAACTCTGGGAAAACATCTTTCTGTGTCTAGATTGCATCTGTTAGAATGCCTTTGGCCTCAAGGAACAGAATATTTGGCAGTAGCTTAAAGCATGAGGTCATTTACTATATCTTCAATATAAATTTCAAGTGCAGATAGTTTCAGGGTTAGTTGAGCAGTACAATCATGTCATCAAGGACCCAAGCTCTTTTTTGTGTTTGCTCTCTGCCATCACATGCATGTGAGCTTTTGTCTCCAGGTTTGTCACCTCTTAATTGCAATGTGGCTGCCATAGCTCCAGACATCACATCCACAGAGGTCACTGCACAGAGCAGGAACGGAAGAAAAGGAAGTGCTGTCCCCCATTTTTATGAAGGAGAAAAATATTTCCCAGACTTTAGAATCTTCCTTATTGTCCAGAAAATGGTCATATGCCACATCAGACCAGTCACTGGCAAAAAGAGATAGGATTGGCCACAGTTCATTAAATTGATCACAAGTCACCCCTAAACAAAATGAGTGTTCTGACTGAGAGCAGAAAAGGGGAAATAGTTGCTAAGTAGGCATCCAACAGTGTTTGCCACATGCCTCAACCATGAATAAGTTGTATTCATTCTTGGGCAGAAAACTGCAGTGGTTCAGAGCTTGAGCAAATCAGACTGCAAATCCCAGCTTTTCTACTTACTGCAAATCCCAGCTTTTCTACTGCTAGCTCTGTGATCTTGAGCAAGCTATTTAACCTTGCCTATCCTCAATTTCCTCATCCACAAAATGGGTTTGATGACAGTGTTTACCTGAGTTGTTGTGAGAACTGTATGAAGCTATTTGAGTCAAGTAATTTGAGTCAAGCTATTTGATAACATAGGATGCAGCATAGAGCAAACAGTAAATTTTTATTTTAGTTTGTGCTAAATTGTACTATCTTTGACAAAGCTAAAAACATTGTATTAAATTCACCCATCTTAGTAAGCTTTGGTTCAGTTTTTAAAATATTCTAGAAATAAGCTACCCATGCTATTGAATTAATTCTGGTAGGATATTATTTTGGCAATTATTACATAAAGGGGTCATATTTTAAGCTTCTATCTCTAAAATGACACCTAATTAAATAATCGTATTGTATTCATGTTTATCACGACTTTCCAAAAATAATGGTTGGTTTAATAGTTGTGATTTCCATTGGGGAATATTAATAAACCAAACAACATGGAACAAAAATAATAAAAATAAATGAGGCAATTGAATTTGGTGATCTCCAAGGTTTCTTTGGGCTATCCCTATCTAATCTATCTAATCTATAGAGCTAGAGATAGCTATGTGTGTTAGGCCATTTTTGTGTCATTATAAAGAAATACCTGAGGCTGGGTAATTTATAAAGAAAAGAGGTTTAGTTGACTCACAGTTCTGCAGGCTGTACAAGCATGGCGCTGGTATCTGCTTGGCTTCCTGGTGAGGCCTCAGGTAGGATTCAGTCATGGTGAAAGGTGCAGCAGTGGCAGGCACATCACATGGTGAAAGTGGGAACAAGAGAGGGTGGAGGTGCCACACACTTTTAAACAACCAGGTCAGGTGTGAACTCACTCATCGCCAAGAAGACGGCACTAAGCCATTCATGAGGGATCCGTCCTGTCCCCATGATCAAAACACCTCCCACCAGGCCCCACCTCTGACACTGGGGATCACATTTCAACATGAGATTTGGAGGGGACAAATATCCAAAACATATCAATATGTTTCACTATGGAAACTTTACAAGTTCAGTCCCAAGATGGCTGCAGAGGCTCCAAGTATCACATCCACACACAATAATGGCTAAAGACTGAAAGGAGGGAAAAGGATATTTCCTTTCCTCATTTCCTTTTTGTAGATCAAGGAAGCCTTTCCCCGAAAGGCCTCCAGCAAGACTTCTCCTCTAGCTTCTTGGCCACAGTTTCCCAAATTTCCTTTACTAAATGAATCTTTGCCAAGGGTAATGAAATATCTTATTACTTATCCAGTATCACCTCTGGTACTCTGAAGGGGGCCCTGCCTCTTGGCTGCACAACATAGGGACAAAACTTGGCGGGGAGGGGTCTCTTAGTAAATACAGGGAGGGGAGATTAGCTTTTGGGTAAGCAACTCACAGTGTCTGCCACGTGTACACTGCATTGATTTGCTTCTAATAATTTTTTTTTAAGCAAGGTGGAAAGTTTGTTTTGTTTCATAATATTGTGCCTAATGTTTCTAATGACAGTTAAGTAAACCCACTCCTGACCGTGCACGGAGGCTTAGGCCTGTAATCCCAGCACTTTTGGAGGCCAAGGCAGGCGGATCACTTGAGGTCAGGAGTTCAAGACCAGCCTGGCCAACATGGTGAAACCCTGTCTCTATTAAAAATACAAAAATTAGCCCGGCATGGTGGCAGGCACCTGTAATCCCAGCTACTCAGGAGGCTGAGGTGGGAGAATCGCTTGAACCAGGGAAGCAGAGGTTGCAGTGAGCCAAGATTGCACCATTGCACTCCAGCCTGGGCATTGCAGTGAGGCTCCATCTCAAAAAACCCACTCCTTTAAGTAGAAAACTTCAGAGTGGAAGTATAAATTTCCCATTTTTGGAAGTGACCCATACTTAGTTACTTCTTTGTACAATCAGGGATGCCTCATATGGTGGTGCAATTCAGAGTCTATGTGAGTAGTGCCCTGGAGTTGTTCATGGCTCTGTGCCAAAGCAATGGAGGGGCAAATGTTAGATTTCGTTTATATTTATATTCTCACTAGTTTCATGGAAACCTGAATTTCTAGTAAGAATAAATCAAACCATCATTATGTAGATGAAGTCATTCTCAACTATTGAGGTGGCAGAGGGTGGAGAAGAGGTGGAGTGGACAGATGGAACAAATATGCGCCTTTTATACAGAATATAAGAAAATGTGTCCTGTTTTTTTCCCGCAGATAATTATAATAAAATCATCTTAAGTTGTTAAAATTCTGATTCACAAAATCTTTCACTGGGTTAGAAAATATTTATATTTACACATATAATGGAAATAATATATGTAATGTAGTCCAATATTAAGAGCTTAGCCAAATTCAGTATTAATGTTCTACTGTACTTTATATTTTGTTAGTGTTTTTATTTGCCTAGGTTATGGGCCAATTTGTATGCCAATGCTAAAGTATGCTCAATTACAAAAGCAATAACATGGAAATTTTTATTTCAGTTAAATAAACTAATTCATTGTTTAAAATCAGTATTACTGTGTTTCACACATAAACATGCATTTTTACCCATAGGTGCACTTACCTACAAATGACCAAATGAATCCAGCCCAAATTCAGAGAACAACAGGAACATTAAAAATCAGTTTTGGCCAGGCACAGTGGCTCACACCTGTAATCCCAGTACTTTGGGAGGCTGAGGTGGGCTGATCACCTTAGGTCAGGAGTTCAAGACCAGCCTGACTAACATGGTGAAACCCTGTCTGTACTAAAAATACAAAAATTAGCCAGACGTAGTGGCGGGCACCTGTAATCCCAGCTACTCGGGAGGCTGAGGCAGGAGAATCGCTTGAACCCAGGAGGTGGAGGTTACAGTGAACTGAAATCCTGCCATTGCACTCCAGCCTGGGCAACAGAGCAAGACTCCATCTAAAAAAAAAAAGAAAATCAGTTTCAGTGCCAACATGTTTTGGAAAGGGGAGTTAGTTAAGCAGTTAGGTGTCAAGTTCGTCTAACAAAACAGGACAAAGAGAACATTGAAAGAAATGGAAAATGCCAAAATGCCCATCTTTCTAAAGGCCACCTTTTCCCCAAGGCTGGCCTGGATTTCCTATAGGTGGATGTCATCTCTTCCTTCTCCAGTGTTATTTCTATCTATGTGTTTTATCTTTTCCAGTAGACCTCAAGATCCCTGAGGGCAAGATCTCTTTTTGGTTCATTTATGTATCTCTCATTGAGCTGGGTGCTTTGTCTTTGGTATAGTTAGCACACATTCATTTACAGCAATGAACAGATTTACAAGGTCCTTCCTTTCATAGGGAAGAAGACAGTAAACCTGAAACGAGTAAATTATCAGGATAGGCTGGGCGCGGTGGCTCACGCCTGTAATCCCAGCACTTTGGGAGGCCGAGGCGGGCGGATCACGAGGTCAGGAGATCGAGACCATCCTGGCTAACACGGTGAAACCCCGTCTCTACTAAAAATACAAAAAATTAGCCGGGCGTGGTGGCGGGCGCCTGTAGTCCCAGCTACTCGGGAGGCTGAGGCAGGAGAATGGCGTGAACCCGGGAGGCGGAGCTTGCAGTGAGCCGAGATCGCGCCACTGCACTCCAGCCTGGGCGACAGAGCGAGACTCCGTCTCAAAAAAAAAAAAAAAAAAAAAAAATTATCAGGATAATTTCAGGTAGTTGGCCGGGCATGATGGCTCATGCCAAGGCGGGTGGATCACTTGAACCCAGGAGTTTGAGACCAACCTAGGCAAGATGGCAAAACCCCGTCTCTACAAAAAATACAAAAATTAGCCAGGCGTGGTGGCCCATGCCTATGGTCCCAGCTACTCAGGAGGCTGAGGTGGGAGGATCACCTGAGCCATGGGAGGTCGAGGCTGCAGTGAGGTGTGATCGGGCCGCTCCACTTCAGCCTGGGTGACAGAGTGAAACCCCATCTCAAAAAAAAAAAAAAAAGATAATTTCTGGTAGTAATAAATATAAATAAAATAGAATATGAAACAGAATAAGTGTAAGTGATTGGGTGGTTAAAAGTAGACACAGGCTTCATTAGATGGAGGACTTAGAGAGAGGGCTTCAGGGAAAGTAACAGTTGTGATGAGACCTGAATGACAAGGAAAAGTGAGCCATATGAAGATACAAGTCCAGCACGTTCCAGACCTACACGAAGAACTTAGGTAGGCCTTTGTCTGAGTGAATGTAAGGAACAGAAAGAGTGCTGGAGTGGGGTTATGGAGGAGAGAAGGTAGGAAATGAAATCAGAGAGGTAGGCCAGATACATAAAGCTTTTAGGTCAAAGTAAGGAATTTGGAACTTATTCTGAGCACAGAAGTTTTAAAGAGAGGAATGACATAATCTGGTTTACATTTTAGGTCTGATTGCTATGATTCTGATTGCTATGTTGAAAAGGATGGGTGGGGGTGACAGTGGAAACAGAGAAGGCAGATAGAAACCCAGAATGAGAACCCAATGAGAGATGACAGTAGCTTGGACCAGGGTAGAAATAATGCAGATGAAAATTTGTTGAAGGCACTGTGGTAACCAGAAATTATAGCTTTAATTTTCTAGACTGATCATAGCTAAAGAAACATACATTACAATTGTACTTAATAAGGAATTTTGTGGAGTGTAATTGTTTTGTTGAAATGTCCTGTCCCAGTGAGATAACGAGGAGGACAATAGAAAGTAAAAAGTTAGGGAAAGTTCTTAATTAAGTTTAAATTTATACAGGTTCTTTGTTTTATTATGTTTATTCAGAAGAGCTTCCAGAGAGATGTAATGTTAATTTCAAGGTTTTTGTTTAATCTCTTAAGAAAGTAACATCCAGTCAAAGCACATGGATGACTTAAAGTTTTTGAAACAACATTTATTCTATAGAATGTGTTATATGAAGTAGAATTTGTTTCTTAAATTATAAACTAACTCGCAAGCCTAGTTTTTTAAAACAGCTCTGACACCATATAAAATCATTTAGGTTATTTGACTAGTTAGAAAACTTCAAATTTTTGAGTCTTATTTTCCCATTGCAGACTGGAAGCCAATAGTGCCTGTGGCAGATTCCAATAGAAAGCACAAACTGAGGCTCCTTTACTTCAACAGAAGGAAAATTCTCATTTACTTGGCTAAACTTAGGTGTAGTGCTTCCAAACACACACTCCCAAAATTTCACAGTAAATATGATTGGAAAAACACCACATGAGCTTAAAGTAAACACACGCCATTCAAAGACAGGATACTGTGGTCTTTCTTACACTAACAACTACTGACTTAACAATGGTTCCACGTATGATTTTTCAACTTTACAGTGATGCAAAAGGACTATGCATTCAGTAGAAACCATAATTCAAGTACCATCCAACCATTATATTTTTCACTTTCAGTACAGTATTCAATAAATTACATGAAATATTCAATGCTTTATTGTAAAATAGGCTCTGTGTAAGATGATTTTGCCCAACTGTGGGCTAATATAACTGTTCTGAGCATGTTTAAGATAGGGTATGCTAAGCTTATGATGTTTGTTAGGTTCAGTGTATTAAATGCATTTTCAGCTTACCATATTTTCAACTTACAATGGGTTTAACCAGGATGTAACCCCATCACAAGTCAAAGAGCATCTGTACTTAAAAAGGAACCAAAGTAAGGTCTATACTGAATTGGCCTTCATTCAAAAATAAAGAGTAATCCAAAAGAAAACACACATGTGCCCAACAGCTATGTGAAAAAATGCACAACATCATTAATCATCAGAGAAGTGCAAATTAAAATCACAATGAGGTATCACCTCACACCTGTCAGAATGGCTATTATCGAAAAGATGAGGCTGGGTGCAGTGGCTCATGCCCATAATCCCAGCACTTTCAGAGGCCGAGGTCAGAGGATCACTTGAGCCCAGGAGTTCAAGACCAGCCTGGCAACGTAGTTAGATCTTGTCCCTACAAAAAACAATTTTAAAAATTAGCCAGGCATGGTGGCATGAGCCTGCGGTCCCAGCTACTCAGGAGGCTGAGGTGGGAGGATCACTTGAGCCCAAGAGGTCAAGGCTGCAGTGAGCCATGATTGTGCCACTGCACTCCAGTGTAGGAGACAGAGCGAGATCCTATCTAAAAAAAAAAAAAAAAAAAAAAAAAGAAAGGTAATAAGCGTTGGTGGTGAGGATATAAAGAAAACCCTTGTATACTGTTGATAGGAATGTAAATTAGTATAGCCACTATGGAGAACAGTATGGAGGTTCCTCAAAAAAAAAACAAAAAATAGAATTACCATTTGATACCATATGATCCAGCAATCCCACTTCTGAGTGTATATCCAAAGGATTTGAAATATCTGCACTCATGTTTATTACAGCAATGTTCACAATAGTCAAGATGTGGAATCAACCTAAGTGTTCATCAGTAGATGAATGGATAAAGAAAATATGGTGTATAGATAGATAGATAGATAGATAGATAGATAGATAGATAGATAATGAGTTAATACTATTCAGCCTTAAAAAAAAGATGGAAATTCTGTCCTTTGTGACAACATGGACGAACCTGTAGAACATTATACTAAGTGAAATAAGCCAGGCACAGAAAAACAAATACCACATGTTCTCATTTATATGTGGAATATAAAACAATCAAACTCATAGAGTCAGAAAGCAGAATGATGTTTACCAAAGTCTGGGGGGTGGGGAGAATGGGGAGATGTTGGTCAAATGATACACTGTTTCAGTTAGGCGGGACATAAATTATAAGTATTTGAGGTGATGGATATGTTAATTAGGTTGATTCAATCATTCCAGTGTGTGTGGCTGTGTGTGTGTGTTATATACATATTATATATATACATATCATAACATCACTTTATACCCCATAAATATATACAATTATAACTTGTCAAAATTCAATAATCTCTTTTAATAGAAAGTGATCTTTCTGGGTTTGGGATGAGGGAGGGAGACGAATTTCAGTCCAGAATCAGGGCAACATTCTAGGTAACATGGGTTCTGATGAGGTGCTTCTATGCTTAGAACCCAAAATTAATCTTAGCGGATTTAAATATACATTAACTGTCCAGCCACAGTCTGATAGGCACAACTTGGACAAAGAAAGTGACAGAGTATATCAACAGCAAGCCTTCAGAACCATTCATACAAATGATACATGGTTAATTTTCAAGTTTGCCTTTTCAGCCTTGGTGTGTTTGAGAATGTTTAAGAGTTAAGAGATTGAAATTTTCAAGTTGCAAGCTGCTATGGACTGAATTGCATCCTCCCCAGATTCATATGTCAAAAGCCCTGATCTCCAATGTGGAAATAGGTTTTTTGGGAGGTTATTAAGATTAAATTAGCTGATAAGGGTGGAGCTCTAATCTCATCTCTTCCCCCACTCTCTTCCTCCCACCATGAGAGGGCACAGAGAAAAAGTCAGCTGTCTACAAGCCAGGAAGACAGCCATCACCAGAAACTGGCGACGCTGCCGCCCTGATCTCAGACTTCCAGCCTCCAAAACTGTGAGAAAATAAATTTCTGTCATGTCAGCCATTTAGTCCATGGTATTTTGTTATGGCAGCCTGAGCTGACTAAGACATAAGTAGTTAGAGTGATCCTTTCCAAAAAATGAGTGAGATCTTGTCTGTCTTTGCTTAACACTGCATTGTGTTACCATTTCACTCTGAGTAAAAGCCTTTGTTCCTACAGTGACCAACAGGCCCTACCTGATGTGGACCATTTTCATCCCCAGCCATTATCCATGTATCTCTCTAATTTCATTCATTACTGCCCCCTATTCTCCCACCTGACTCCAGCCCAACTATCCTGGCCTTCTTATAATTCATGCTATATGCAGGTATGCTTCTGCCTAAGCTCTCCCTCTGCCTGGAGTGCTCTTCCCCCAGATATCTGCATGGCCGATTCCCTCACCTCCAAGTCTTTGGTCAGATGTCACTTCTCCATGGCCTGTACTCTGACCTTCCTATTTCAAAATGCAACATTTTCCCAACCCCTAACCCTCCTTATACAGCCCTCTCTAGCTTTTCTTTTCTTTGTCCACAGCATTTAACCCTTTCTAATATACTATACAATTTATGTGTTACATCTATTATTTTGTCTGCTTCTACTCTAGAATGTAAGTTTCAAGAGGGAAGGAATCTCTGTGTTTTGTTCACCGGTTTGTTCCTGATGTCTAGAAGAGTGCCTAGATCATAGAAGGATCTCAATAAATACTTGTTTACCCAAGTACTTTCAGACATTTTAGCTATACTAGGTAATTGAAACTTCATGATTTTAAATAATTCAATCTATAATCATCCTATGAGGTAATCATTATATGCCTACTTGTAGTGGGTCAGAAAGCTTAATATAGTCACTCACAGGTTTCTCAACATTAAGTGTGAATCAAAACTTGCATTCAAATATTTATGCTCCACATCTAGCTTTCTTTCCTATATCATGGTAGTCATTTTAAGACATTTCATAGTGGAACAAAACGTTAAAATACCCAGGTTAAGAAACAGTGATCACCATTACAACTGCATCAAAATGGTTACAATTAAAAGGACTGACCCTATTAAGTGTTAGCAAAAAATGTAGACTTGGGAAATCCCATACACTGCTAATAAGAATGTAACATGGTTCAACCACTTTGGTAAACTGGTAGATTCTACTAAAGTTAGCATATGTGTACTCTATGACCCATCAGTTCTATTCCTGGGTATATATCCAACAACAATGAATACGTATATCCTCCAAAAGATCTATACAAGAATTATTCATAATAGCCTGAACCTGGAAGCAATCCAAGTGTTCATTATGACTAGAATGGTTAAATAAATCTTGGGATATTCTTACGATAGTATATACTATACCGCACAGCAAGGTAAGAAAAAACTAATCTGCACGTAATAAAATGGATAAATATCCCAGCACTTTGGGAGGCCAAGGCAGGCAGATCACTTGAGCCCAAGAATTCAAAACCAGACTGAGCAACATGGTAAAACCCCATCTCTACAAAAATAGAAAAAATTTGCCGGGCATGGTGGGGCATGCCTGTAGTCTCAGCTACTTGAGAGGATGAGATGGCCGGATCACCTGAGCCCAGGAGGTTGAGGCTCCAGTGAGCCATGATCACACTACTGCACTCCAGCCTAGACTACAGAGTGAGACCCTGTCTCAAAACAAAGCAAAACAAAAAGATAACTATCACAGGCATAATTTTTAAGCAAAAGAAACCTGACACAAAGATCACTATGTGATTCCATGGATATGAATTTCAAGAATGGGCAAAACTAATATATGGTGATTGAGGTCAGAGTAATGGTTTCCTTTGAGGGAGTATTGACTGAAGGGGGCACAAGGGACCTTCCTAGGGTTCTGACAGTGTTTTATATCTGATCTGGGTGTGTTTTACAGAGGTATAAACATATGTGGAAATTAATCTGATTGTACACTTAAGATTATACATTGTACTATGTAAGATATATATGTAGATATATATATCAATGGAGAGAGTTTTTAAAATGAATAGTATTTATCGATGAGGAAATAATGGATTAAATGGTTACAGAACCCTGGTTAGCCATGAAAAAAAATGTTGATCCTTGGGTTAGCCATGAAAAAAAATGTTGATCCTTGATTCGTACCATATTCCTTACTTAAAAATAAATTTCACTTGATCAAATATTTAAATATAAAAAACCCAAACAGTACTAGAAAAAAGATGCTAAAATTAGTTCGTAATATTGGAGGAAGGCAGTCTTTCTGGTCAAGACACAGAACACAGGATAATCTTAAGAAAAGTTTATTAAATTTGATTACAAAAAATTTAAATGTATATATTACCAAATAATTACCATAAACAAAGTTTAAAAATAAATGACATACCTTTTATTTCTTGGACCTATGAAATAAATAAGTAAAAATGACAATCTTGGAACAAATATTTATAATATTGTTGACAGAGGCAATTTTCTTCTTATACAAGGAACACTTATAAATCAATAAGCAAGCAAAACAAAATAAATAATCCAGTGGAAAAACAGGCTAAATGTGATTATAGAAAAAAACGGATTTTAAACATATAAAAAACATCAGCCTCATTTTTAAATAATAATAAAATTCCATTTTTTACCTAACAGATTAGCAAGGATCAAAAAGTTTGATAATATGTTGCTGAGATGAGACTATAAATTAGTATAGTTCTTTGGTGGGCAACATGCCAGCATTAAAATTTTTAAATTTTCAGTGCAGTTTCACTACTAGGAATTTTCAAAGACATATACTAGCATGCACATTGTAGCACTGCATGTAGTAGAGAATGTCTAGAATAGAGGCTGGTTAAATGAATTGTGATGTATACATTCAACAGACTATTATGCAGGATGAAGTAGAGCTTCACATGCTGATGTGGAAAGATTACATAAAATATATTTTAAAGGTATAGAATTTTTTGCTCCTATTTGGAATAAAAAGGGGAAAATAGTGGATATACATATTTGCATGTACATGCCCATGTTCCTCTGAAGGATATATAAGAACTGATGGCTGTAGTTGTCTCTGGGCAATGTGACTAGGAGACTGAAAAGGAGAAATGTTTTTTCACAAAATGCCCTTTGCACTGTGAATTATTAGTAGTAGTATTAGTAGTAGTATTTTCACTAAGTGTATATACATTACATGAAACTGAAAACATTATGTTCGAGAAAGAGTGGGGACGTGGAGTGAAAGGGAGGAGTTGGGGGAGAGGGAAGAGCAAGTGGTAGAGGAAAAAGAAAAATAATCAAGACCTCCACTTCTACATGTCCCCGCATCACCTAGCCCTGTGTCTTACAGATGGTGTGCTGAATAAATAAAACTCTCTACTAGTCTCGAATCTCGTCCAAGCCTTAGTTCAATGTTTTTAACGTAGATTAACCTTTTAAAACCAGACTATTTCGGGTATGAGACACTCAGGCTAGGGAATTTTCTGTTTCTTAAAGGTAGTTTATGCTGGTAAGATATTAGAGTTTACCTCATGTTATTAGCTTTAGAGAAGATGAAGGATAAATCAACAGTGATGGAAAAACATGATCACACCAAAGCAGCATGCTACCTGTCTGAAGCTAAAAATGGACCTGTTAAATTTACTAGAACAAGACCTATTAGCAGAAATTCCATCATTGTTGGTTTTTGGAGAGATTTGGGGTTCAACTGATTTCTAGGTTTCAGGTGGCTTGCAGAGGAGGTTCTAGCCCATGTTTATCTTGATCTAGGACGTTAATCTGTATCAAAAGGAAGTTGTTTTAACGTGAATCTTAACAAAGTTTTACAGAATATTAATAGAGGAACAACTAATATAAATAGGAAGTAAGACTTGGGAAATTAGCAGGAATTCAGTTTTGAATGTATATGTCAAGTTAGTGGATTTTTAAAGGTTTGGTAAAAATAAACATGAGGAAAATACTCGCCTATCGTGAATAAGATTCCTTCTAGTCGTAAGAGTAGAAAAACAAGAGTACAAAACAATTGACATATAGAATTGTTGAAGTTTAGAAACAACAATGGAGTTATACTTTTTATAACCAAAATTATAACCTTTCCTAGTTGCAGAAGTAGTGTGCAGCGAATGCAGCATAGTTGAACAAGGGACAAGCTTGTTTAAGGGGCCAAAATTCCCAGTTCTAGAAGAATGTGATGCCCAGACCTTTGGGGACGTTATACTCCCTGTACTCAGCTAAACCGAAAGCATGCTATTGCTGCTTCCATCACCACCAGAGCAGAAACAAATACTGCGGAAGCATTGTGACCTGTAGAGGCAGATTATCCCACCTTCTTTCAGTTTTCATGTCATCCCTTAGAGGCAGAAATGCATTCTCTTGATTTCTTTTCATGGATCTCGGCAAAATGCTTATGTAACAGCTTGGCCTTTTCACAAAAATTAAGCTCTGTGCTAGGACAAGTTGCTAGTTGTATAAATAATTCTAAACTGTGAAACCCCAAAATATATTATTTTAAAGGTCTTGAGTGTTCGTTCGGATTATAAATTGTGACATTTATGCAGAAACAAATCTGGATTGAATCCAGGGATATCCAGTGTGCCTGGAGCAGAGAGGTCTATGGAGAGAGAAGGTCATAGAAAGGATTATGAAAAGAAGGTTGGAAGAGACTTGGACTATATTTGGTAATTATGGAATGCACTGGTGCATTATAGAATAGAATAATATAATAATCAAAGTAGTGCTTTTAGACCGTGAAAGATATGAGAAATTGAAGGAGAAGAAATCATTTTAAAATAAATTGTATATGTAATGAATAATGTCAGAAAAGCATTACAAATTGTTACCAGTAGTTGAGTAATTATCTCTTGAGCAATAGAATTATCACTGTTTTGTGTTTATCTGTGTTGTCTACTTTCATTGAGAATGTATGACTTTGTGTTGCTTTGCTTTAAAGAAGCCCTAAATTAGGTAAACATTTATTTTATAATTGAAAAATTCAAACAAATACAAGAGAAAAGAATAAAATGAACCCATACATCTGTCAACCAGATTAAGCAATTACCAAGATTTTGCTGTATTTTCTCTCTCTCTCCTTTTTCTTTCTTTCTTTTTGTTTCTTTACCAATGTCTTGCCCCTGTTCATTCCTGCACCTTGCTTTTCAGCACAGCAAGATGTCCCATACTCCTCTTAATTTCCTGCCACAGCCCTGAAATCAGTCCATCTTTCAAGGTGCTCTGTGTCCTTTCAGTGGGTTGAAAATTGTTTTAAGAAACAGAGGTATAAGCTGACAGAAATTTTATACAGAGGTGATTCCTGAACAATTATGGGTGTTATCCTCCTCAGAGTTGTAGAGAGAATAATTAAAATAGCGTAAAATAAATAAGAGTAAATTCACTTTAATAAACATACTAAAATGAATCTGTTTTTAAAACAAAACATTTGTCAGCATTAAAAACTTACCCTGTAGGTAACCCTGCTGCTGAGTTGATTTCTTCAATTTAAGAAATATTTCGCTTCTTTGTCATCTTTTGAATAAAAATTTTAAGCCTGCTCTTGCCGGATAAAATCTAGCATCTTTTAAACAAGCACCTTCATTTCATTTTCATAACTCTTAGCAAAATGCTAAGTAACATCTAATACCTTCTCCTTACTGTTTAGAACAGTTTTCATTCTCTAGTTTAGCCTAAACAGATAAAGCCCAATCCTGTCACCACCCTGGTCTCGGACTTCCAGTCTCCATAACTATAAAAATTAACGTCTGTTTAAGGTGACCAGTGTATGGTATTTTGTTATAGCAGCCAGAGCTCACTAAGACAATGTATAAACATATATGTTTAAATAGTAATAGCTAAAGCATGAGAAGTATTTACCATGTGCCAGGTGCTATTCTTAAATCCTGTACATATATTAACATTTATAATCCTGAAAAAAAAAACTATGACGCAGGCACCGATTACCTTAATTTTTATAAATAAGGACACTGAGGAATAAAGAGTGAATAAATAGGAAGCCCAAGACCAGTCATCTATGACATGACACAGTCAGAATTTGAATCCAGGCAATCTGGCATCAAACTTGCTCAGGGCTCTTTTTTCTCCCTAACAAATAGAAAAACCCTGAATCTCAAAACCACTGCTACAGAGAAATTACTGTTCAAGAGTGAAATACCAGAGTCCTTCATTTTAAAAGCAAAAACAAAACAACAAAACAAAACAAAAGAACAAGGTGCTCACTATCACCATTGTATTGTCAGGCTAACCCAATCATTCAGTTAACAGTTGTATAGTTTTTACTCAGGAAAGAACTAAAACATGTTTATTGTTTACAGGTGCAGTTTTCACATTGCATTATGTAAGCTCCATGTGGGCAGGAACAATATTTTCATCTTTGTATCTCAATCATTCCTTGCAGATAGGAGGTAAATAACAAATAAAATGAATACTTTTTGAATGAATTAAAGTTGATAAAGCACTGGATTTTGAAAGTCATGCATATTGCATCATGATACCTGTGTGCAGATGACCACATGTTGTCTAAATTTGGACACTTAAAATTTTTTTTTGTTTTTGTTATTGTTCCTCAAATTCCTTTTTACCAAAATCTGGACACAAATGAAAGAGGATACTAGTACTAATTAAACCAGGATAACAACCCTTCTTATTTGAACAGTTTTGCTGCATAAACCAGAACTGAACAAAATAACTGAGTCCCAAGGTAAGGTAATGTGTGAAGGTGTTATTGTACCATATTTTTAAAAAATGTTATGCTATTTTATAGTATAAATTTGTCACATATACCTGCAGCTCCTTTCTCATTACCCTTTTTTTTTTTTTTTTGAGACAGTCTCGCTCTGTTGCCTAGGCTAGAGTGCAGTGGCAAGATCAGAGATCACTGCAACCTCCACTTCCCAGGTTCAAGTGATCCTCCCACCTCATCCTCCCAAGCACCTAAAACTATAGGAACGTGTCACTATGCCCAGCTAATTTTTAATATTTTTAGAGAGAGGGCCTTGCTATGCTGCCCAGGCTGGTCTCAAACTCCTAGGCTCAAACAATCTTCCTGCTTTAGCCTCCCAAAGTGCTGCGATTACAGGTGTGAGCCACTGCACCTGGCCTCTTTACCTATTTTTATGACTTACTAGTAAAAACTTCTCCTGCCATCCTTTAAGTCCTTTATTTATGCTGCTGTTTTAAACAACATAAGTATCTGCAGATATCTACCTAAATATTTAGTCTTTGTTCTTTTGGTAAAATTTTAAAGTAAACTATAAATACCTTACGGTATTTTCATAGTCAAACTCTAGAAGCTCTTTTATGTGTAGTTCCAATTTTTAAGGTTTTCTAAACTTTGGGATCATCTACATATTTTAGAGGTGGCAAAACTTTGTAGACCAAGCCAGAGAGGTATTCTTTTTAGTAAAAACAAAAAAACAAAAAAACAAAAAAAAAACAAAAACAGGGTCTTATCTTTGATTTTTTGTCTCTGATCAAAAGACCAACATTTATGGTTTCTATGAACTCCTTTTTTATTCTAGCATTTTGAAGATAGTGTTGATGGTGAAAATCTGGTTGTTTACATCCTAACTTTCCTGTTTTGTCAACTCAGCCTTTTAAGTCTCTTATGAGCCAGAGCAAGGATATAATATCATTTGTGGTATTATTTGCAAACATGAAAGGAAATCACTGTGTGGCTCAGACACCACTCACATTCCATCGTCGACAAGGAAGCAAAAAACATAGCATAGTATAGATTTAAATGGTTTGCCTGGTGTTTCATAAAACACTTGTTTCATTTACTTCTCCAAGTCTGTGCAATTCAGCTCAGCTACTGTGAAGCAGAAAATATTATCAATTAGAGGCACAGTATGTTAGTCCTGAATCACAGGGCTTCAGTACCCTGGTGTGTTATGATATCCAAGCTCTACCCTGTTCCCCGCCCCAGCACACACATCACAGCAGGAAGGGATGTGTTCAGAGGCTAGATGTGTACTGAAAATTAATAGAGAGAAGAATTGAAAAGACAAAAACTCAAGAAACAAAAGTTTTTAAAAGGTAAAAATGTGGAAAACCATAATATGACCCCCAACTATTGCTTCTTTTAGTATAGTAAGACTAGATCTCTAAATTGACAAAATTGGAAATGACAAACAGGTCACTTAGGCCCTCACCTCAAACTCAATATACCTAAAATTGAACTTATGCTAATCCTTTCTGTCCCATCTAACTCCAAATTCTCAGTCGATAATGGCAAGACTACCAGCAAAGGCTAGAAACTGAAGTCATCTTAACTGAAGTCCAAGCCTCTTTCATTCCCATGGCAATCAGTCTGTATGTGCTGTAGGTAATTTTGCTTTGAAGTATTTCTGGAATCTGATGTTTATTCTTCATTTTCATTGCCTCACTCTAATCCAGACCTTCTCTGATTTGTTTCTGGACCATTAGAACAACTTTCCAGCTTGTCCTTCCAGCAGCACATAATCTTCCACTTTTAATCCATCTTATGTACTTTGTAAGTGGCAAATTAATCTACCCCAAACACCACTTTCACTTTCCTCTATAGGGAGGCTCAACAGCTCATGGACTTCAAGACCCTCCGTGATCTGTTTTCCCTTACTTCCTCCTAAATATACATATTTTTTTTTCCAAGACAGAGTTTTGCTCTTGTTGCCCAGGCGGGGGGGCAATGGCGGAGTCTCGACTCACTGCAACCACTGCCACCTGAGTTCAAGCAATTCTCCTGCCTCAGCCTCTCAAGTAGCTGGGATTACAGGCATGCACCACCACGCCCAGCTAATTTTTGTATTTTTAGTAGAAACCGGGTTTCACCATGTTGGCCAGGCTGGTCTTGAACTCCTGACCTCAGGTGATCCACCCGCCTCGGCCTCCCAAAGTGCTGGGATTACAGGCATGAGCCACAGTGCCTGGCCTCAATTTTATCTCATTGTTTCTGAATATTTATTCTCTGATGTGGACAAGGCCTTTTCTACACAAGCCCACAAACTATAATCCCTGCTAGCTGTTCCTCGGCCTTCTTGCCTGGCATGCCCTCTTTTCCCCCTCTATCCTTTAAAATTCAGCAACAAGTTCAAACCCTAGCTCCAACCCTTGCTTTCTCTGAATTATATCGTTTGACCAACACCTGACTCTTTTTTTCAATAAACAAAGCACTGTGCTATCACAGTGTGTGGTTCATTCAACCCTGAAGGAGGGCGAACAAAGGTCATAGTTCTGGAGGGTGGGCTCCCATGTCAGATATCCTCTTTTAAGAATGTGACATTGGGTTAATTATTTAATCTTTCTTAGCCTCAGTTTATTAATCTGTAAAATGGGGATAATAATAGGACCTACTTCACGGAGTAGGTGCTATTATGTTGAGAGATGAAATAAGACAATCCAAATCAAATACTGAATATTATGCCAGATATGGCAGTGCCTGATAAATGTTATTTGTTATAATTCATGAGATATTTGCTAGTCCAGGCTCATGGGCCCCACCTACAGGGGTTCATGAGCCAAGGGAAGAGAAAGACTTGATGTGTGTATGTGCATGTGTGCATGTGCAGGGCTGGGGAGGTGGCATTGAGGATGGCACTGAAAGGTAGTGGTGCCTTTAACCAAGGTAACTAAGGAACCCAGGAGGAAGGTTGGGTTAATGAAGAAAGGATGCTGTGGTTGATTAGGGAGATGTTAAGTTTAAGGTGCTAACAGGACATCAGTGGAGCCATGCTTGTCACCTATATTCAGTTTTCGCCTCCAGATCTGCTTTCCATCCTTCCCCACTCTGCCCTGGGCCCCAGGAGTACTGATCTGAAGGGCTACAGCCGTAGCCTCCTGTGCCCTCTGGCTTCTGTTTGAGTTTAGCCAATGGGGAGCCTAGCAGGAAATAAGGAGGGGGAAGAATGGAGCCTGGGTATTTATTTCTCTGGTTTCTTCCCAGCGAGACCACCGTCAGGCTGGCTGCATCCCCTGAGAGGAAATTACAGTTCTCTCAAAGCAGCCTACTCTTCCCAACTTTCTCTCCTTCTTGGTTCTGGTAATTTCTTCCTCTTCTTATCCTTTCAGATTTAGGGCTAGTAAAAGCCCAGCTCACAGTAGCCCCTCATGGTTCTCCTCTCCCCCAAACCTTTTTAAGTAGTCTCTTTGCAAACAAACCCTCTCTGAATTATCCCAATTTAAATGTGCCATCTGTTTCCTGTTGAGACGTTGAGTGATATACCATGTTGGTCTGGCCATTTGGATTTCACGTCTAGAATTTGGAAGAGAGATTAGGATTGGAAATATAGATTATAGAGTCCAGGTGAAATAGGGAGAGTGAATGAGATTGCTAACTGAGGGGAAGTAGATGGGGAATGAGCACTAAAGGCAGACCTTGGGGGACTTCTGTCTACTCCAAACAGTGAGTAAAAGAACACTTCGAGAGTGAAAGTAGTAACTTTTCTTATGACTCTGATCCTCCTAACAACTGTCAGGCCCTGTTGACACCTTAAACTCAACATTTCCCTTCCAGAAGATATAGAAATGTTATAATCCTACTGATGGGGCAGTCATTTTGAAACATTGTCAGAGTGCTTGACAACTTGGACTTGTCTTGGAAACAGATTCTGAGTAAATTATGCATACCTATATGTATAGGAACTTAATTTTTCTAATTTTTTAGTTTTATTTTTTAATAGGCAATACATTGACATAATTCAAAAAGTAAAAATAAAAATAAAAAGATACACATTGAGAGTCTCTTTTCCACCTGTCCCATTTACCTTATTTCTCATCCCCTGCTTTCTATAGTACCATTTTCTATAAGTTGCTTGTAAAATATACAGGTATATCTTGAATATATTGTGGGTTCAATTTCAGGCAATCAAAATAAAGTGAGTCACACAAATGTTTTTGTTTCCCAGTACATCTAAAAGTTATGTTTACACTATTCTTTAGTCTATTAAGTGTGCAATAGCATTATGTATTTAAGAACAATATACATACATTATTTTTTAAATACTTTATTGCTAAAATATGCTAACAAACATCTGAGCCTTCAGTGAGTCATAATCTTTTTGCTGGTGGAGGGTCTTGCCTTGATGTGGCTGGTTGCTGACTTAACACAGTGGTGGTGGTTGAAGGTTGGTGGCTGTAGCAATTTCTTAAAATAAGCTAACAGTGAAGTTTGCCACTTTGACTCTTCCTTTCACTAAAGATCTCTCTGAAGCATGTGATGCTGTTTGATGCTTTTGCCCACATTAGAACTTCTTTCAAAATTGGAGTTAATCCTTTCAAACCCTGCCACTGCTTTATCAACTAAGTTTATGTAATACTCTAAATCTTTTGTTGTCATTTAACAATGTTCATAGCATCTACACCAGGAGTAGTTTCTGTTCAAGAAACCACTTTCTTTGCTCATCCGTAAGAAGGAACTCCTGATCTGTTCAAGTCTTATCATGAGATTGCAGCCATTCAGTCCCATCTTCAGGCTCCACTTCTAATTCTAGTTCTCTTGTTATTTCCACTACATCTGCAGTTACTGCCTCTAATGAAGTCTTGAGCCTCTCAAAGTCACCCATGAGAGTTGGAATCAAATTCTTCCAAATTCCTATTAATGCTGATATTTTGACTTCTTCCCCATGAATTATGAATGTTCATAATGTCATTTAGAATGGTGAATCTTTTCCAGAAGGTTTTCAATTTGCTTTGCCCAGATCCATAGAAAAATCCCTATTTGCGGTAGCTATAGCTTTACCAAATGTATTTCTTAAATAATAAGACTTAAAAGCCAAAATCACTCCCTAACCCATGGGCTGAGAATGGATATTGTGTTAGTAGGCATGAAAAAAACATTCATCTCCTTGTACATCTCCATCAGAGATGATTCTGTGGACCCCAGGATTTTCAGAATGTCAAATAAGCATTGGCTTCAACTGCTGCACTATCACCAGCATTGTCACCAGCTGGATCCCCTAAGAGGAGAGCCAGCCTGTCCTTTGAAGTTTTGAAACCAGGCATTGACTTCTCCTCTCTAGCTATGAAAGTCTTAGATGGCACCTTCTTCCAACAGAAGGCTGTTTGGTCTACATTGAAAATCTGTTGTTCAGTGTAGCCACCTTCATCAATTATCTTAGCTAGATCTTCTGGATCACCTGAGGCAGCTTCTACCTCAGCAGTTGCACTTTTCTGTTTTGGAGATGGCTTCTTTCCGTAAACCTTATGAACCAACCTCTGTTAGCTTCGAACTTTTCTTCTGCAGCTTCGTCACCTCTCTTACCCTTAATAGAACAAAAGAGAGTTAGGACCTTGCTCTGGATTAGGCTCTGGATTAAGGGAATGTTGGGGGTGGTTTGATCTTCTATCCAGACCACTAAAGCTTTCTCCACATCAGCAATAAGGCTGTTTTGCTTTCTTATAATTTATGTGTTCACCGGAGTAATATTTTTAAGAACTTTTCCTTTGCATTCACAAAATGGCTAACTGGTACAGGAGGCCTTGCTTGTGGCCTGTCTTAGATTTTGACATGCCTTCCTCACTAAGTGTAATCATTTCTAGCTTTTTGAAGTGAGGGACATGAGACTCTTCCTTTGATGTGAACACTTAGAAGCCATTGCAGGGTTATTAATTGGCCTAGTTTGTTGTGTGTTGAACACATAGAGAGGCCCAAGATGAGATAGAGAAAGCGGGAAGAATGGTCAGTCAACGGAGCAGTCAAAAGACAGGCAATTTATTAAATTTTCTGTCTGATATGGGTGTGGCATGCAGCTCCTCCAAACAATAGTAACATAAAGATCACTGATTACAGATCATTATAACAGATATACTAATAATGAAAAACTTTGAAATATTGTGAGAATTACCAAAATGTGACACAGAGACACAAAGTGAGCACATGCTCTTGAAAAATGACACCAAATACACTTGCTTGAGGCAGGGTTGCCACAAATCTTCATTTGTAAAAAATGCAATATCTGCAAAGTACAATAAAGCGATGTGCTATGAAATGAGGAATGCCTGTATTCTTTCCTGTTTCTTCATGTAAATACAAGCTAATATGATATATTCTTATTTTCCCTTTCTTACCCAAAAGGTATTATACTAGATGACTACATCTTGTTTTTTTCACTTAACAGTATATACTGGAGATCATTTCCTCTTTCTTTAGAGTGCTTCCTTATGTTTTATGTAACTGTATAGATTCCATAGAGGGGAGATACCATTGTTTATTGACTCAGAATGTAGAAGAGCTTTGATGAGTGCTCTGCCTACCAACCTCAAGTCCCTAACTACAGGTCTCAAACCTTTTCCCCTCCCTGAAAACGTCAGTGCCCAATTCCTACCCACCTATCTTCAGGGATTTCTCTCCCTCTAAGAAGAAAAAAATTGAGGGCTTCAGAAGGAGCTTCCTCAATTTGCTGCTATCGAATATAAAAACCCACCTACATCTGTGCCTACCCTCCTCCTTTCACAGGCTGTAATACAGAACACTTTCACCTGCTGTTGAATGCCAATCCTTTCCCCTCTGGCTAGGATCTCATCTCCTTTCAGTCTTCTCAGGACTCTACTATTGACCCTAGTTTCCCTCTTGTATATTAAAGTTTCTTTCTTATACTTGGATCACATAAAAATACAATTAACCCACCTCCCCACCCCCTTGAATTCTCTCTCTAGCTACTGCCCTGTCTATCCCTCTCCTCTTCTTCAGAGCCAAATATCTCAGAAGAGTTGTCCATAGTCAAAGTTTTGATTTCCCTGCTTGCTACTCACTTTTTCATCCATTTCAGCCCAATTCCACCCCATCACCCCACTCAAGCTTTTCACAATATGTTCCCAATGACCTGCAGATCACTCAACAAGTGTATGTTTTAGTTTTAGCTTTAGTTGACTTCTCAGCAACATTTGATACCCTTTATGATTCTCTCTTTTGGAAATACTCTGATGACGCTATACTCCTGGATTTCTCTTACACCTCTGGCTACTTCTCCATATAGTGGGGATGATTCTCAGTCCATAGTTACATGTTCAAGAAATAGGACTAGAACTGGAGTGAGTTGAGTGAAGCATTCACCTTGAGTGTAAAATTAAGGGGATGCAAAAAGTAAACAAAGTGAATAATATTTTAATGCAATAAGTTTTTAAAAACCCAATTAATGTAAAAAATCTACATTGAACAAAATATCAAAATTTTAAATGAAAACCAGTGCTATCTGATCCAGATTGGAGCCTAAGGCAAATGGAAAAATGTATGCCTCTGTATACATGTTTTTATGTGGTTTTTAATGGTCAATTTGTTCCCTGAACATTAACATAGGTAGAAAAATATTGAAAAATTAAAGAGTAGGTATATTACCACATTAAGTTTAAACATATTTTATCTGTACCAAAAGGAATTCTGATTTTACTTCAATTTAATTAAAATTTATTTAGATCATTACTTGGTCAAGAAAATTTATTTATTTATTTATTTTTATTTTTATTTATGTATTTTTTTTGAGACAGAGTCTTGCTCTGTCGCTCAGGTTGGAGTGCGGCGGCGCGATCTCGGCTCACTGCAACCTCTGCCTCCTGGGTTCAAGCAATTCTCCTGCCTCAGCCTCCCGAGTAGCTGGGACTACAGGTGCATGCTGCCATGACCGGCTAATTTTTTGGATTTTAGTAGAGATAAGGTTTCACTGTGTTGCCCAGGCTGGTCTCGAACTCCTGAGCTCAGGCAATCTGCCTGCCTTGGCCTCCCAAAGTGCTAGGATTATAGGCATGAGCCACTGCTCCTGGCCGGTCAAGATAAATTTTAAAACAGGGTAATCCTGTTATCTCAATTGAAAACAAGGTAATCAAATAAGTAGATTTGAAAATTTTATTGATGAGTTTGCTCCCATGAAAGCCAGGGGCACATTTTTCCTTTTACCTTAGACATCCATATGACACATCGTGGAACTGTTGAAAATAATCGCATTTAATTCTAATTTTTAAAGCAAAGTGCAGACTTTTTGCTACTGTCCCACCAGCATGGTGAGAAATTTAACTTCAGTTATTTTTGAGCTTCCCATCCTAGAGCTGGGCAAAGATCTGGAAGCCATACATATCACCAGGGCACTGGGAGAACCCTCTGACCAGTGGCCATAGACTCTCATTATCTGCAGAATACACTCAACCAGATCTACTTGGGGCCCTCAGGCCCAGGAGGTTCTGCTGCATCTAAGGACTCTGACAGGCCCTAAGTTGCTCAGGTTGGGAGCTTGAGCCACCTGTGGATCTTTACAGTTTACCCTGCCTTGGAGCTTCTCTGTGACTTCTTGATATTTGCCAAAAATTGCAAGAAGTTTACCTTCAGGATTCTTTTGCTTTAGGCCCTACCAAGACCCCTGAAGCCAGGAATAATAAAACCAGGCTATCAGTTTAAAATGGGAGAAAAGGGAAAAATAAGAGTTAGAAAAAACAATAATTAATATTCCATAGACTGTCCTGTCACATGAGCCTCTTCTGCAGGCTCATCTTCTTCCCACTGATCATCCAGTGTTGGGGTTCCCTAAGCTCCCACTCTGTTTCCTCCCCGGGCAATTTCATCTGCTTTCCTGGCTGTAGTTGCCATCCATAAGCCTATGACTCCCTGATTTCTCCGGCCCAGACCCCTACACTGAGCCCCAGAGCAATACGTCCAACTGCTTCTTGATCCCTCCATTTGGACATCTCTCATCAACATCAAACTAAATATGCTCAGTGCCACATTTACTATCTTCTCCCTCCAATCCAGTCCTTTCCCAGTGTAGTTAGGGAATGGTAGTCATTCTGTACACCTCCCGCTCCCTTCTCTCCTGTTTCCAATTCATCCCTGAATCCTGTCCATTTCTTCTCTTACATAGTTCTCAAATTCTAAATGGCTCCATTTCCACTGCCTCTGCTCTAGTCTTACCTACCATCATCTCTCCCCTAGACTGTTGTGAAAATCCTTTAATTGATCTTCTGCTCTCGGCCTGCTTCAATCGTTACCATGCCCTCAGAAACACAGATCTGAACATGTCACCTCTGGCTTCAACTCTTCAAAGGCTTTCTGTTCCCTCTGGAAATAGACCAAAATATGTGCTGGCCCTGCTTGTCTGGCCTCCGTTCACTTCTCTCACCCCACATCTCACCTTGTTCCATCTTTCTCCCCTTTGCTCCCTGAGCTCCAGCCACACGAGTGGTTCTTTGCTTCAGCACCTGTTTCTCATTTTGTCTTGACATACTACTCATTTATATGATTATGTGATTAATGTCTGCCTCTCCCTCTGGACTGTGTGCTCTATGAGAACAGAGGCTGCATGTCCCCAAGGCCTCACACAGAACCTGCGATATTGTAAACAAATACTATGTTTGTGGGAAAAGTAATAAATATATTGCATGTATTTCTTTGAGAATTAGACCCTTCTGAAGTTTAGAAGTATATTTGTAAGGAATTTTTCTTTTTCAATAACATGTATAGAGAATTATAGTGTTCCAGACATTGTTTTTAAGTGCTTTACTATTAACTTAGTTGACCCTCACTATAAGCCCAGAGGTCAAGGCTATTATTATCTCTATTGTAAAAATGTTGAAACTCAAGCACAGACACGTCAAGTAACTTGAATGCTCATGGTCTCACAGCTAGTAGGAGATGGAAGGAGGGCTCTAACCCCAAAGTGTTGTACTGGACTCTATGTTTATTCAACAAATACTTACTGAGCAAAGTGCCAGGCACTGTGACAGGAATGGGCTAGAACATTTCAAAAGAGGAAAGCGTAAAAGAGGAGATTAATGGTGTTTGAGCGTAAAAGATGCTATGCTGAGTATATATCCCATTTTATTGGATCCTCTCAGAATGGAGTAAGCTAAGTATTATTATGCCCATTGTATACATAAGAAAGATGAGACTAACAGAGTTGGCATAACTGGTTGAAGCTCACATAAGCAGTAATGAGACATAACTGGAATTCAAACCCAGGTCAGGATGACTTTAAAGCCAGTGCTCTTTCCACCCCATGAAGCTGCCTCCAGAGAAAGCTGTTTGAGACTGTTTCTTTTCCATCAAAGATTTATTGATTATCTACTACTTCAGTGTGCATAAGAATCACCTGAAAAGCTTGTTGAAATCAGAGATGCTGAGTTGGGGAGCTCAGTTGGGGAGACCCTAACCCAGCAGCCCTAGAGGAATTAAAGACACACACAGAAATATAGAAGTGTGAAGTGGGAAATCAGGGGTCTCACGGCCTTCGGAGCTGAGAGCCTCGAACAGAGATTGACCCACATATTTATTAACAGCAAATCAGTCATTAGCATTGTTTCTATAGATATTAAATTAACTAAAAGTATCCCTTAAGGGAAACGAAGGGATGTGCCGAATTAATTGCAGGAGGAACACACTCTTTTTTTTTTTATTTTTTTATTTTTTTTATTTTTTTTTTTATTTTTTTTTTATTATACTTTAAGTTTTAGGGTACATGTGCACATTGTGCAGGTTAGTTACATATGTATACATGTGCCATGCTGGTGCGCTGCACCCACTAACTCGTCATATAGCATTAGGTATATCTCCCGATGCTATCCCTCCCCCCTCCCCCCACCCCACAACAGTCCCTGGAGTGTGATATTCCCCTTCCTGTGTCCATGTGATCTCTTTGTTCAATTCCCACCTATGAGTGAGAATATGCGGTGTTTGGTTTTTTGTTCTTGCGATAGTTTACTGAGAATGATGATTTCCAATTTCATCCATGTCCCTACAAAGGACATGAACTCATCATTTTTTATGGCTGCATAGTATTCCATGGTGTATATGTGCCACATTTTCTTAATCCAGTCTATCATTGATGGACATTTGGGTTGGTTCCAAGTCTTTGCTATTGTGAATAATGCCGCAATAAACATACGTGTGCATGTGTCTTTATAGCAGCATGATTTATAGTCCTTTGGGTATATACCCAGTAATGGGATGGCTGGGTCAAATGGTATTTCCAGTTCTAGATCCCTGAGGAATCGCCACACTGACTTCCACAATGGTTGAACTAGTTTACAGTCCCACCAACAGTGTAAAAGTGTTCCTATTTCTCCACATCCTCTCCAGCACCTGTTGTTTCCTGACTTTTGAATGATTGCCATTCTAACTGGTGTGAGATGGTATCTCATTGTGGTTTTGATTTGCATTTCTCTGATGGCCAGTGATGATGAGCATTTTTTCATGTGTTTTTTGGCTGCATAAATGTCTTCTTTTGAGAAGTGTCTGTTCATGTCCTTTGCCCACTTTTTGATGGGGTTGTTTGTTTTTTTCTTGTAAATTTGTTGGAGTTCATTGTAGATTCTGGATATTAGCCCTTTGTCAGATGAGTAGGTTGCGAAAATTTTCTCCCATTTTGTAGGTTGCCTGTTCACTCTGATGGTAGTTTCTTTTGCTGTGCAGAAGCTCTTTAGTTTAATTAGATCCCATTTGTCAATTTTGTCTTTTGTTGCCATTGCTTTTGGTGTTTTAGACATGAAGTCCTTGCCCGTGCCTATGTCCTGAATGGTAATGCCTAGGTTTTCTTCTAGGGTTTTTATGGTTTTAGGTCTAACGTTTGAGTCTTTAATCCATCTTGAATTGATTTTTGTATAAGGTGTAAGGAAGGGATCCAGTTTCAGCTTTCTACATATGGCTAGCCAGTTTTCCCAGCACCATTTATTAAATAGGGAATCCTTTCCCCATTGCTTGTTTTTCTCAGGTTTGTCAAAGATCAGATAGTTGTAGATATGTGGCATTATTTCTGAGGGCTCTGTTCTGTTCCATTGATCTATATCTCTGTTTTGGTACCAGTACCATGCTGTTTTGGTTACTGTAGCCTTGTAGTATAGTTTGAAGTCAGGTAGTGTGATGCCTCCAGCTTTGTTCTTTTGGCTTAGGATTGACTTGGTGATGCGGGCTCTTTTTTGGTTCCATATGAACTTTAAAGTAGTTTTTTCCAATTCTGTGAAGAAAGTCATTGATAGCTTGATGGGGATGGCATTGAATCTGTAAATTACCTTGGGCAGTATGGCCATTTTCACGATATTGATTCTTCCTACCCATGAGCATGGAATGTTCTTCCATTTGTTTGTATCCTCTTTTATTTCCTTGAGCAGTGGTTTGTAGTTCTCCTTGAAGAGGTCCTTCACATCCCTTGTAAGTTGGATTCCTAGGTATTTTATTCTCTTTGAAGCAATTGTGAATGGGAGTTCACTCATGATTTGGCTCTCTGTTTGTCTGTTGTTGGTGTATAAGAATGCTTGTGATTTTTGTACATTGATTTTGTATCCTGAGACTTTGCTGAAGTTGCTTATCAGCTTAAGGAGATTTTGGGCTGAGACAATGGGGTTTTCTAGATATACTATCATGTCATCTGCAAACAGGGACAATTTGACTTCCTCTTTTCCTAATTGAATACCCTTTATTTCCTTCTCCTGCCTAATTGCCCTGGCCAGAACTTCCAACACTATGTTGAATAGGAGTGGTGAGAGAGGGCATCCCTGTCTTGTGCCAGTTTTCAAAGGGAATGCTTCCAGTTTTTGCCCATTCAGTATGATATTGGCTGTGGGTTTGTCATAGATAGCTCTTATTATTTTGAAATACGTCCCATCAATACCTAATTTATTGAGAGTTTTTAGCATGAAGGGTTGTTGAATTTTTTCAAAGGCTTTTTCTGCATCTATTGAGATAATCATGTGGTTTTTGTCTTTGGCTCTGTTTATATGCTGGATTACATTTATTGATTTGCGTATATTGAACCAGCCTTGCATCCCAGGGATGAAGCCCACTTGATCATCTACAGAACTCTCCACCCCAAATCAACAGAATATACATTTTTTTCAGCACCACCTCACACCTATTCCAAAATTGACCACATACTGGGAAGTAAAGCTCTCCTCAGCAAATGTAAAAGAATAGAAATTATAACAAACTATCTCTCAGACCACAGTGCAATCAAACTAGAACTCAGGATAAAGAATCTCACTCAAAACCGCTCAACTACATGGAAACTGAACAACCTGCTCCTGAATGACTACTGGGTACATAACGAAATGAAGACAGAAATAAAGATGTTCTTTGAAACCAACGAGAACAAAGACACAACATACCAGAATCTCTGGGACGCATTCAAAGCAGTGTGTAGAGGGAAATTTATAGCACTAAATGCCCACAAGAGAAAGCAGGAAAGATCCAAAATTGACAACCTAACATCACAATTAAAAGAACTGGAAAAGCAAGAGCAAACACATTCAAAAGCTAGCAGAAGGCAAGAAATAACTAAAATCAGAGCAGAACTGAAGGAAATAGAGACACAAAAAACCCTTCAAAAAATTAATGAATCCAGGAGCTGGTTTTTTGAAAGGATCAACAAAGTTGATAGACCGCTAGCAAGACTAATAAAGAAAAAAAGAGAGAAGAATCAAATAGACGCAATAAAAAATGATAAAGGGGATATCACCACCGATCCCACAGAAATACAAACTACCATCAGGGAATACTACAAACACCTCTACGCAAATAAACTAGAAAATCTAGAAGAAATGGGTAAATTCCTGGACACATACACTCTCCCAAGACTAAACCAGGAAGAAGTTGAATCTCTGAATAGACCAATAACAGGATCTGAAATTGTGGCAATAATCAATAGCTTACCAACCAAAAAGAGTCCAGGACCAGATGGATTCACAGCCGAATTCTACCAGAGGTACAAGGAGGAACTGGTACCATTCCTTCTGAAACTATTCCAATCAATAGAAAAAGAGGGAATCCTCCCTAACTCATTTTATGAGGCCAACATCATTCTGATACCAAAGCCAGGCAGAGACACAACAAAAAAAGAGAATTTTAGGCCAATATCCTTGATGAACATTGATGCAAAAATCCTCAATAAAATACTGGCAAACCGAATCCAGCAGCAGGAACACACTCTTAAGACACAGATCGCTCATGCTTTTGTGTGTGGCTTAAGAATGCCTTTAAGCGGTTTTCCGCCCTGGGCGGGCCAGGTGTTCCTTGCCCTCATTCCTGTAAATCCACGACCTTCCAGCTTGGGCGTTATGGCCATTATGGACATGTTACATTGCTGCAGAGATTTTATTTATGGCCAGTTTTGGGGCCAGTTTATGGCCAGACTTTGTGGGGCTTGCTCCCAACAAGAGATTTCTGGGTTTCACCCTTAGAGATTTTGGTATGCAGTAGGGCCCTTTAATCTGCAGTAAGCCCACCACCTCCCAGGTGACTCTAGTAGTTTCAAAATTTTAGTGGCATGATTCCAAAACTTTAGCACTATCAGAATCAGCCAGAAGGGTGGATAAACCAGAGACTGTTGGGCTCTACTCCAAGAGAGTTTCTAATTCAGAAGGTCTAGAGTGTCAGAATTTCCATTTCTAAGTTCCTGAGCAAGGCAGGGACCAGCTTTTGAGATCCACTGTGTCCTAGGACAAGACTCTAAGAGACACTTCACTGGTTATATAATTCTTGATTCCACCAATTTTGAAGCAATTTCTAAAATATACAATATACATGCCTCCACTATGCCATATCTTCATACCCCTTTCTTTGAGAAATGTGGAGAATGGCAGGTTTAGGGACCTAGAGAATACTATCTTGGGGTAAAATCCTTCAGCAGCTTGAGATGAAAAATCTACTCTTTTCTTTTCTTTCTTTCTTTTTCTTTTTTTGAGACGAAGTTTCATTGTTGTCACCCAAACTGGAGTGCAATGGTGCGATCTTGGCTCACTGCAACCTCCACTTCCCAGGTTCAAGTGATTCTCCTGCCTCAACTTCCCGAGTAGCTCGGATTACAGGCTCCTGCCACCACGCCTGGCTATTTTTTGTATTTTTAGTAGAGACGGGGTTTCACCATGTTGGCCAGGCTGGTCTCAAACCCCTGACCTCAGGTGATCCACCCGTGTTGGCCTCCCAAAGTGCTGGGATTACAGGTGTGAGCCACCACAGCCAGGCTTTTGTTGTTGTTGTTGTTGAGACAAGGTCTTACTCTGTCATCCAGGCTGGAGTGCATTTTGTTTCGAGGCAAGGTCTTGCTCTGTTACCCAGACTGGAGTGCAGTGGCACAAACATGGCTCACTGCAGCCTTGACCTCCTGGGCTCAAGCAATTCTACCACCTCAGCCTCTCAGGTAGCTGAGACTATAGGCATATACCAGCAAGCCTGGCTTATTATTTATTTATTTATTTTTTATTTTTATTATTATTTTGGTTGACATGAGGTCTCATTATGTTTCTCAGGCTGGTCTTAAAATTCTGAGCTCAAGGGATCCTCCCATCTCAGCCTCAAAGTGCTGGGATTACAGGTGTTAGCCACTGTGCACAGCCAGAAAATCTACTTTCAAAATGGTGCAGTGTTTGTATAAAACTTCAAAGTATTAGAAGCCTCAAAATAAGACTGATTCTAGACAAGAAATAGCAAAAGCAGTACTTTTTTTCTCCTGCCTATACTGCTTTAAGATTTAAAAAGCAGGGAAATTTATTTTTTGTCACAAATATGTGTATTTGTGACAACTATAGTATATACACTTGTGAGTTTTTCAATAAAATATAATTTGCATTTAAAGTCATTTAGCTTTTGGCAAACTGGAGGACACCATGTCAGACATATTTAATTTCATATGGGGGGATATTTTAAATTGAAAATAAAAATAGGATTAAAAATGTTAATCTTATACTGTTCCTCTGGGAAAATCATTTTATCTTAGATTTCTTAATACTGCTTAAGATGCAGAAAGATAAAGTGTGTGTGTGTGTGTGTGAGAGAGACAGAGGGGGAGAGAGAGAGAGTGAGTGAGTGTGTGTGTGTGTGTGTGTGTGTAAGGCTTGCTTGGTTTCATGGTTCAAACTCATGAAAGTGCACAAGGTAACCAAACAGCATAAAGGATGATGATTCCATGATTCAGGGCCCATCCACGTGATGCATTTTTGAGATATGTTAGGTAATCTTTTCAGTGTATGTGATCTATGAAGATATTTTCCATAAAGGCATTTGGCAAATGAGTTTCCGATGAAATGTACTTCTAGACTTCAGTATCTTCAGAAATAATTCAGTCCTTTCAGATTTTGGAATTACATAAAAGATTTATGTTTCTTATAGGCATCCATGAGGAGAGTTGTCAACATCTCATCTTGAAAAAACCTTCGTAAATATCACAGTCTCCATAAAGCTTCCTTTTCTTGCCCATGAGCACCTCACTCCCAGCAATGGACTCACACCCTCCCTTGAATCCCACTTCACTGTTATAATGAACAGACATCTGACTTTACTGACTGAAATTGATTGGCTTTACTGACTGAAAATCAACTCAACTTTATTCATTATCCTTTTTTTCTATTACTACTTTCAGCTTAAATACAAATAAAGAACTCTTCTTTCCTACAGCTATCTACAGGAAGTGAGTATTTTTAAATTACCAATCAAATGTCTTGGTGTGAAGGGAATTATATTTTTGCAGACTCTTGATGATTAAGTCTTCTGAGAATGCCAATGGGCATGAAAAGTTTTTCCTTTTCTCTATTAAAATAGACCCTACTTAAGGCAAATTTTTAGACAGATAGCAGAGAGATGCACTCTCTTAAGTATAAGGCTGGTCTAACTCAACTGTCTTACATATGGATGAAGTGTTTGAGGACGCAGTTGCCAGGCACATGGGCTCTGGAACCACACTGCATGAGTTCAATTCTGGCTCCTACAGTTACTAGCTGTGTGACATTGTGCAAGTTACTTGCCTTCTCTGTCTCATCTGTGACATTAGATTCTAATAGTACCTACTTCAAAGAGTTATGAGGATTATATGTAAAAGGCACTTAGAACAATGCCTTAAATATAATAAATGTTCAGCTGTGGTTGTGTTGTTGTTATAATTGTTACTGAAAGTTTATATCATGTTAACAAAGAATGAAGAGCAATTTTATTCTAAAGGGATAAGTATTAACAATGGTTTGTTTACTATAAAATGGCATGAATGCCTATTTAAGGGAAAATAGAATAATTATTAGTTTACCTGATCCCAAATTAAAATGAGAAAGCTCCTTTCTGTAAAAGCTACTACTTATTGCCAAGAAATATAACAAATGTTATAAAATGTATAACAAACACAATATAGCTTAAAAACATCCCTTAAAAAAACAACCTGGATTTTAGTTACGAACAGACGCCATTACATTATTACCTTGAGACATTTGCTGAGAGGGAAGCACAATTATATAATCAAGCATAATGAATGCGTATTCATTTATTTATACTGCAACTTATTCCAGAAAGGAATAGAGGCTGCTATGACTAGTGAATCATAAGAGAAACATAAAAAATCTTCTAATGCAGTGGGCTAGCTCTCAATGCATATAAAACACATTGTAAAAAATATTGCAAAGAAATATAAATAAATAAGAACAGAAAATGCTCCTTCTACATTTTTATTAGTGGCACATTTCCTTTCTTGAAGTATCAGTGTTTCATTTGAATCTTTCCCATCCCTCATTCCTCATATTCAATTGGTAGCCATGACCTATTAGTTTCACCATAGCCTTATTTCTTGGATCCAGATCTTTTTTCTGTTTCTACTACCAATACCCTACTTCACATTACCTCTTTAATATTAATAGTTTTTCATTCGCCCCTTTTCCCTCTCTCCTCTTTCCATCCTCCTTGCCTTCTCTTCTACCACCATAATCTACCCAACACTGTGCTACAGGATTAATTTTTCTAAAGTACACCTCTGGTCTTGTCATTTGCCTGCTAAAAAACCTTTAGTGGCTTCTTATTACTTTATATTTTTGATACATCTTATTTGTACCTCTTTTTTGTCAATGTTTTCTACTTCATAGTATAATCAATTTTGTATATATTTGAGCATCTCTACTAGTAAGTAAGTTCCTTGCATTGCTTTTTTTCCACAGAACCTAGCCATTCTCCTAAGGTATCAATGAATGTTGAACAAAAAGAAGTAAGTAGGCCAGGTACAGTGGCTTGTGCCTGTAATCCCAGCACTTTGGGAGGCTGAGGAGGGAGGATGGCTTGAGGCTAGGAGTTCAAGACCAGCCTGGGCAATATAGCGAGACCCTGTCTCTACAAAAACAAAAACAAAAAAAAAAACAAAAAGAGAAAAAAAAGATTAACTGGGCTTGATGGTGTGCACCTGAAGTTTTAGCTACTTGGGAGGCAGAAGTGGGAGGGTCATTTGAGCCTAGGAGGTTGAAGCTGCAGTGAGACCAGGCTGGACTGCACCACAGCACTCCAGCCTGGGGGCAACAGATTGAGATTTCGTCTTAAAAAATAATAATAATAAATAAATAAATAAATAAATAAAATCTTAGAAGAAAATAATCTTGCTAGGCATTCGTATTTCTTTTTCTTCTTTTTTCTTTTCTGAGACAGGGTCTCACTTTGTCACCCAGGCTGTAGTGCAGTGGCACTATCATGGCTCAATGCAGCCTCAACCTCCCAGGCTCAAGCAATGCTTCTGCCTCAGCACTCCCAAATAGCCGGAACTACAGGCACGCACCGCCACACTGGCTAATTTTTTATATTTTTAGAGGCTGGGTTGCGCCACGTTGCCCAGGCTGGTCTTAAACTCCTGGGTTCAAGCAATCCTCCTGCCTTGGCCTCCCAAAGTGCTGGGACTATAGGCATGAGCCACCACGCCTGGCCTTGACAGGCATTTCTAACCACTACAACTATTTCTTTATGATGACATAATTTGATCAGGACAAAGAGAGATGTGAATCACCAAATTAAGAAAGTGTAACTAATCAAGACCTTAATTACAGATCTGCAACATAGTTACTTAATTTCTCTAAATTGAAAAGAACATATTTTTATCTTGTTGCCTGCTATGTAAGTTATGCCAAATAAAATGTTAAGCAAAATTTAAGGAAAGCCAGTAAAATGAAAAAACAAAAAATCTAATTAAAAATAACAAAATGTAAAAAGGTACCATGACACTAGAGATTCTAATGAAAATGATAAACTGAAATGTCCTTACATGTAAGGTAGCAAGCTATTTACTAAGTTGAAAGCCTTTGAGAAAATTTATAATCACATGACCATCGTAAGAGTAATTCATTTGTGCATTTATGATTCTGCAGACAAACAGTATTCTTGGCAATGTGCGTTTAAATGTTGAGTGACCCCAGAGTACAACTATATGAAGATTAATTTTTAGCTTGTATACAATTTGCATTGTAGCATGTTCAGTCTCAGAAGAAAATTCACCCAGAGATTTCATCAGATGTTAAAAACAGCTTAGAAAAATAAGCAATCATTTTAAAGACAATTCATGTAAGGTAAAGATAACCATCTCTTAGACTCTGAGTATCTATAATCATTGTAAGGATTAAGGTTTGTGTCTTTCCATATGATAGTAATACACACAGACACTTCTAGAGATTACAGTTGTTGCACAACAAATCTCCAAAATATTTCTTTTCATGATAACCTAAAAGTTTATTGAACTGAATTTGTATGGAAGATAGGAGCTTTATTATACATTCACATTTTGCATAGTAGTTATCTTAAAAGCAAGTCACCCCTTTCACCTCTTGAGTGTGGGCTAGGCTCAATGACTCATCTCCAAAGAATAGAATATGGGAAGGGAAAAACGTAACCTTACAATGAAGAAAGCTGGCACACACCACTTTATCCAAGTGATGAAGGTTAACATCACTGGTGATGTCATGTGCATATTATGTCCCTCTGATGTGTGAGAGGAGAAGGACACTTCACCTCTGTGGCATTCTTTCCAAAAACCGATAACCCCAGCTCATCATGAGAAAAACATAAGACAAACTGAAACTGAGGGACACTCTACAAAATACCTGGCCAAACTCTTCAAAATTGTCAAGGTCATGAAAAACAAGGGAAGACTGTGAAATTGTCACAACCAGAGGACATTAAGGAGACATAACAACTAAATGCAATGTGGTACCCTGGATTGGACCCTGAATCAGAAAGAGGATATTATTGGGGAAAGCCATGAAGTCCAAATAAAGTCTGGAGTTTAGTTAATAGTTATATGCCAATGTTGGTTTCTTAGTTTTAATAAATGTACTATGGTAATGTAAGATGTTAACAATAGGTGAAACTGGGTGAGAGTATGAGAACTCTGGGTAGTACCTGTTCAACTTTTTGGTAAATCTAAAATTATTACAAAATTAAAGTTTACTTAAAAAGAAACATCGTACAGCAGACATATGCCCATTGTCTGCCATTGTTAAAAGCTATATTATCATTCCAGGAGCACGTGGTTGACAATGGTGTTGAGGGAAATGGATAAGAAAATGAATAGGAGAAGGCAATTTAAAGAAAGGACATGGGAAAGCTTAAAGAAAATCAAAAAGCTTTGGAAACAATGTATAATATTACATTAAAAAAAAAGAATGTGTTTTACTTTTTGCATACAACCACAAAAGAGCCAAGGTAATAAAAATTCACTTCCACTGTATTGTGATTCCATTGAAATACAAGTAATCTCTATGTTTATGCTTTTCTTCTGTCCTTCTGTTATCGCAGCATAGACTTCTAAGCTGCTATTACGGTCAGGGGAGAGCTATGTTTTGTTGGATTGGGTCTAACAACGTTGCAGCCTATATGCACCCCCTGAGAGAATATCTGAGCATTTCAAGTTCTTAGTAATAATTTAAAAAACCCTAGAATTTGGCTGCTGGCTTTCTTTAAATGTGAACAAAGGGAAATATCATTTTTAAAACTCATATAATCCTAAAATTGATGAAAGTGGACCAGGACATAGCATTTGTTGCCCCACCTTTGTTCCCTCAGTGGCAGATTATCATTGCTGAATATTCATGATGACCATGCCTAGCTATTCTTAAATGCGCTAGTCCCCCTTTATCTTTGGGGTAAACATTCCAAGACCCCCAGTGGATGACTGAAACTCCAAGTAACACCAAACCCTATATAAACTGTACTTTGTTTTTTCTATACATACATACTAGTGATAAAGTTTAATTTATAACTTAGATACAATAAGAGATTAACAATAACTAATAATAAAATAGAAAAATTATAGACAAATAGAAACATTTTAAAATTATGAATTGTTCATTTCTAGAATTTCCCATTCAATATTTTTGGACTGCAGTTGTCCATAGGTAAGTGAAGCCATAGAAAGCAAAACTGTAGCTAAGGAGAGATTATTGTATTTACAATAATATAATTTTATTATTGACTTGGGAGGCTAGTTTATATTGTCATTATAAAATTTACTTGATCTAAATAAGCAATTTTTGCTTATTATTATGTTTACCTTTTGCCACACTCTTAATAGATTTTAATTCTTGTCTTGCATTGCAAATGCTAACATCATTGGTTAACCCATATGTTCCTTCCAAAGGGAATATTACAAGAACTACTGTATTTTCTGCGTATGCATCTAGGCAAATGCCTTCATATCAAATCCATTATTGAAAGATTCATTCTTCATCGTGCTGAGAAGATTATAGATATCTCCTATAATTTAGAAACTGTGTTCTGGTAGAGTTTGCCATTAGGTAAAACGTTGCATATCAAGTCTTATTTTCCTGTGAATTCCGGTAATAAATGTTACGTGCTTTTCAGTGCAGAAATAGAATGAAAGAGCAAAGTATCTTTGGAATAGGAAGGGCAATGACAATGAGATAGGAGTACAGAATATCACGACATCAGGATTCCATGTCCCTGACTCCTGGTGATGGGGAGGTGCAGAAAGACTGTGGCTGTGTTTGCTTTCCCAGGGCTTTCTTCCTGAGTCCTTAAGTTCAATGGGACCTTGGTGGGAGAGGGAGACCATTTCTGAAGAGCAGGGAGAAAGGAAGAAAGCCTACCATCTTTCCTTAATTTTCTTCTCTCCCTCTCCTGTGCCCTGGACGTCAAGGTAAGACTACTCAGAAGGCTGACCTCAAACACTTGAACTCATTGGTATTGCTGGCTCTGCTCTTTGGAATGGGCTCTAGAACATCTGTGGTACTTAATACAGGTAATTGCAGTATTTGCATTGTTACAGTATACAGGAAAAGAACTTTATATATTCCAATGTTTCAGTTATTGAAATGCCAAATAGTTTCTGCCTCCAACAAGATGTGCATGATTTTCCTTACATTAAAAAACATTTGTGTCACTTAAAAAGCAACTTTCCATGTACATAATTTTCTTTACATTAAAAACATTTCTGTTTCTAAGAAAGCAGTTTTACTTTACTGTGAAGCTAGTATTCTTTGAGCTGTATTTGATTCAGGGCCTGGACCTTCATAGGATCCATATTTTTCAGTAGTCTTCTTTCTGATGCTTTTATCTATTTTTGCCCATATTTGACCAGGCTGCATTTTCTTCCCTGGCTAAGCATTTGCCAAGGAAGCCCACCAGAATGGAAACTGCTAAGAGTGGAGACTGCTTCTTACCTACTAATATTTCTACCTCTAGGGCCTAGCACAGTGCTTGGCACATAAAATATGTTTCATTCTTGCTATTTAAAATGTAGAAAAAATCATTGTCTTCTTTCTTTCTACTGGTGGGTGTCCCCATAGTGTGCACCAGAATTGAAGGTTCACCCTTTGAATCAATTGTGTGGGTGTCAAGGATACTGCATCATTCATAGGTTCTCCAAAGTTGTGAGCAAACTTCCCCAATTTTTTTTCCTGTTGGGTTGACATGCATGGGTTCTTACAAATGACCTGATTCTACACCAAATATCTATACCTTTGGTGTCTGTTATCCACTGTCCAATTTTTCTAAGGACCATTTCTTCTCTGGCTTCTCATGTTATTGAGGTATTTAGTTGCTTCTATTCCTGACCTCATTTGCAGGAAAAGTAGAACAATTTAGAAAACCGATGGCCATTTTTAGAGAGTTGAAAGGAGTTAGACTGGTGTAGCAAAGATACTTGAACCAGCCAAAATTGTGAACCAACTATTAGGTCATGTATACCATTCACCTCCATGGAAGGAATTCTATAGGTACAAATAAACCAATTGGAATCTTAAGACCGGTTAGTTGCAAACTCCTCTATTAACTAAATTCCACTATGTAAACAGCAACCCTTCCCAGTTCTAACATACCTTTTCCAATAATCTTCTCGGTGTTGATGTTTGTGCTTCACTTTTGTAGAACACAACCCCTCCTTATTTTCCCTTCTGCTAACTTATCCATTTCCAGTTCAGCACTGTGTCCAGGTTCCTTGCACTTGCTCCCTTCTCCCTCACCCCCAATACTTTTCACTGTGGATTTTTTTTTCCTGCTTTTTTTGTTTGCAACCAACACTGTTTTGTGGAAAAATCTACTTGGTTGTATATTTCAAGGCTTCCCTTTCAATTCTTTGTGATGGATAATGCTCCTTTTCTAACTGCTGCTGATGCATGGGGCTGAGAAGAGGAGGTCCATGTACTCCACTCCCCATGTCCTTTTCCAGACCATTGTTCATCCAACTTGTGCCTCATCATGCTCAATATTTCAGAGGCTCGAAAGCAACTCTTTTTCTATGTCAGTCTATGGATTATGCCTCTATAGGCCTCTATAGCTCTTGTCCTTTCTCATTGCTACCATGAACACTCAAAAACTACCCAAACTAGGCCGGGCGTGGTGGCTAACACCTGTATGTAATCCCAGCACTTTGGGAGGCCGAGGTGGGCAGATCACGAGGTCAGGAGATCGAGAGCATCCTGGCTAACATGGTGAAACCCCGTCTCTACTAAAAATACAAAAATTAGCCGGGCCTGGTAGCAGGCTCCTGTAGTCCCAGCTACTCGGGAGGCTGAGGCAGGAGAATGGCGTGAACACGGGAGGCGGAGCTTGCAGTGAGCCGAGATCGCGCCACTGCACTCCAACCTGGGTGACAGAGTGAGACTCCATCTCAAAAAAAAAAAAAAAAAAAAAAAAACCCAAACTATTTTTATGACATTCCAACTGGTCACTTTGATGCCAGCCTCGCCTTCTACTCTTAACCTACTGTCCATCCAACATGTTGCTTATTTACACTAAAATGTTAAGTCTGATCTAGTTTCCTAAAAAAAAAAATCAAAGATTTGTTTGCTTATTGAATAAAGCCCAAACTCCTCAGTGTGGCATCCAAGACTCCCTAAAATTTAACTCTGGCTTTACCTTTCAGTGTCCTCCTCTTCAACCAGCCTATCCTGTGTGTTTTTCCTGCCCTGTGGGATTTTCTGCTTTTCATAATGGTAGTAATAATTGCAATTTAATCCAGCATGATATTCCAGACATTGCAGTTAAGCACTTCATATTTAATCAACTCAGCAACGTGTAAGGTAGCAACTATTATTCCACTTTTAACAGATGAAAACATTGTTACAGGGAATTACAGAAACTCCCCAAATCACATATTTAGAAAATGGCAGATACAGATTTGAACCCCATCTCGGCTCACTGCAACTTCCACCTCCCAGGTTCAAGCGATTCTCCTGCCTCAGCCTCCCGAGTAGCTGGGATTACAGGCATGCACCACCAAGCCCGGCTAGTGATTTGAACCCCATCTGTCTCCAAAGCCCATGCTCCCTTCTTTGTTTGAAATGTACTACTCTTTATTCATCAAAATTAATCATAACCCCCAAAACCATCTCAAATGCACTTTCCTTTATGAAACCATTTTTCATCCTTCTGACCAAACGGCATCACTCCTTCTCTATACTCTTACAGTATTATAGATACTTTGCTTCAGCTTTTCAAAAGCCAAATTAACAATAGAATATGGTTGCTGCCCTACTGAAGCTTACCTACCACATGTTACTGCCTTTTGTATTATCTTTGGACATAGTAGGCATTTATTACATGGTTATTGCACTGAGTTAATATATATCCATCCATCCATCCATCCATCCATCCATCCATCCATCCATCCATCCATTATCCACTAATACACTGGGTTATTTGTATGGAAGAAACTGACAAAATCCTTTCCCAGACCCCCTTTCTCAGAATGCTGTAGTCACAATGGCATCTGAACCTCATTTTTACAGTTCCTATTAGTGTACAAACTATATGCTCTATACTTAAGAAATTTTTTGTTCACTAAAATAATAAACTATTTATTTCCTTACATATAATCAAAAGATTCGTGTCACCAGTTGCGTTTTTAAAGTCTCACTTCTTATAAAATCTAATGTGAAGACAGCTTGTTTCTCACTCAACAGCACCAGGGAAAAACCAGGCGTGAGGAATGAGAGGCGAAAGTGACAGTAAGTGGCAGAATCAGGATTTAAATCAAGGTGTACTTGATGCAAATGCCATAGTTCTTAACCTGTATGCTACATTGTATCACAAAATCATTGTCTAGCCATTTTGTTGCCTACAAATACAGTCATGCTGTTTTGACAATACTTTCTGGCCACTAGGATTAGAATTTGTGTTTTTCCAAAACAATTTAGCTGCTTATTGGTAGTTTAAGATTTTTTCCCTTGTTTTGTTTTTGACATAGATAAAATATCCTACCATTTCTCCAAGGGGACTATCTTTTAACTGTGCTTAGATGGTACCTTTGATAAGGATTAATACACACAGTTGATCTTATTTGTCGTTTTTCCTATTACATTTCAGAAGGCAAGTTCAAGCTTGGAGGTTACCTTGCAGTCATCACTCTTGTGTCGTCACGTGCCTATTTGTATAAAACTGAAGTTAAGCTGGGCATGGTGGCTCTCGCCTGTAATGCCAACACTTTGGGAGGCAGAAGGCTGGAGGATTGTTTGAGCCCAGGAGTTGGAGACCAGCCTGTGCGACAAAGACAGACCCCATCTCTACAAAAAAAAAATTTTTTTTAATTAGCTGGGTGTGGTGGTACACACCTGTGGCCCCAGCTACTTGGGAGGCTGAAGTGGGAGGACTGCTTGAGCCTGGGAGTTCAAGGATGCAATGAACCATGATCATACCACTGTACTCCAGCCTGGACAACAGAGCAAGATACTGTATCAAAAAATTAAAAATAAAAAAACCTGAAGTTAAGTGTAACTTAAAGAAGGAAGAATATATTTAACTGCCTTCTTGGTGGCTCATGCCTATAATCCCAGCACTCTGGGAGGCCAAGCAGGGCAGATCACGAGGTCAGGAGTTCAAGACCAGCCTGGCCAACAGGGTGAAACCTCATCAATTGGCTGGGTGTGGTGGCAGGTGCCTGTAATCCCAGCTACTCGGGAGGCTGAGGCAGGAGAATCTTTTGAACCCAGGAGACAGAGGTTGCAGTGAGCCGAGATCATGCCATTGCACTCCAGCCTGGGTGACAGGGTGAGACTCCATCTCAAAAAAAAAAAAAAAAAAAAAAAGGATTTTCTGAACTCAGGGATCTGGTTTGCAACCAGAGATAAAAGCTAAATTTACAATTTCCTGATATAAAAAGTTAATTAAAATAGACCTTACAATATTGCTTTTAGAATAGCAAGCAAATTTCTTCAGAAGGTGCATACTGTTGTTCTTCATAAAATGGTTCTTCTTTATCACTCTAGTCTCTTTTCTCACCATTTTCTCCTCTCACTTCGATTATAGACAAACTAAACTTCTTTCCCAAAGACAAGATCGTTCATACCTCTGCAAATGCACATGTTGATTCTTCCTTACCTTTTTTTTTCTTTTTTCTTTTATTATTATACTTTAAGTTCTAGGGTACATGTGCGCAACGTGCAGATTTGTTACATATGTATACATGTGCCATGTTGGTGGGCTGCACCCATTAATTGGTCGTTTACATTAGGTATTTCTCCTAATGCTATCCTTCCCTCCTCCCCCACCCCATGACAGGCCCTGGTATGTGATGTTCCCCACCCTGTGTCCAAGTGTTCTCATTGTTCAATTCCCACTTATGAATGAGAACATGCGGTGTTTGGTTTTCTGTCCTTGCGATAGTTTGCTGAGAATGATGGTTTCCAGCTTCATCCATGTCCCTACAAAGACATGAACCCAGCATTTTTATGGCTGCATAGTATTCCACAGTGTATATGTGCCACATTTTCTTAATCCAGTCTATCATTGTTGGACATTTGGGTTGGTTCCAAGTCTTTGCTATGGTGAATAGTGCCACAGTAGACATACGTGTGCATGTGTCTTTATAGCAGCATGATTTATAATCCTTTGGGTATATACCCAGTAATGGGATGGCTGGGTCAAATGGTATTTCTAGTTCTAGATCCCTGAGGAATCGCCACACTGACTTCCACAATGGTTGAACTAGTTTACAGTCCCACCAACAGTGTAAAAGTGTTCCTATTTCTCCACATCCTCTCCAGCACCTGTTGTTTCCTGACTTTTGAATGATTGCCATTCTAACTGGTGTGAGATGGTATCTCATTGTGGTTTTGATTTGCATTTCTCTGATGGCCAGTGATGATGAGCATTTTTTCATGTGTTTTTTGGCTGCATAAATGTCTTCTTTTGAGAAGTGTCTGTTAATGTCCTTTGCCCACTTTTTGATGGGGTTTGTTTTTTTCTTGTAAATTTGTTGGAGTTCATTGTAGATTCTGGATATTAGCCCTTTGTCAGATGAGTAGGTTGCGAAAATTTTCTCCCAGTTTGTAGGTTGCCTATTCACTCTGATGGTAGTTTCTTTTGCTGTGCAGAAGCTCTTTAGTTTAATTAGATCCCATTTGTCAATTTTTTTTTTTAATTTTTTTTATTATACTCTAAGTTTTAGGGTACATGTGCACATTGTGCAGGTTAGTTACATATGTATACATGTGCCATGCTGGTGCGCTGCACCCACTAATGTGTCATCTAGCATTAGGTATATCTCCCAATGCTATCCCTCCCCCCTCCCCCGACCCCACCACAGTCCCCAGAGTGTGATATTCCCCTTCCTGTGTCCATGTGATCTCATTGTTCAATTCCCACCTATGAGTGAGAATATGCGGTGTTTGGTTTTTTGTTCTTGCGATAGTTTACTGAGAATGATGGTTTCCAATTTCATCCATGTCCCTACAAAGGATATGAACTCATCATTTTTTATGGCTGCATAGTATTCCATGGTGTATATGTGCCACATTTTCTTAATCCAGTCTATCATTGTTGGACATTTGGGTTGGTTCCAAGTCTTTGCTATTGTGAATAGTGCCGCAATAAACATACATGTGCATGTGTCTCTATAGCAGCATGATTTATAGTCCTTTGGGTATATACCCAGTAATGGGATGGCTGGGTCAAATGGTATTTCTAGTTCTAGATCCCTGAGGAATCGCCACACTGACTTCCACAATGGTTGAACTAGTTTACAGTCCCACCAACAGTGTAAAAGTGTTCCTATTTCTCCGCATCCTCTCCAGCACCTGTTGTTTCCTGACTTTTGAATGATTGCCATTCTAACTGGTGTGAGATGATATCTCATAGTGGTTTTGATTTGCATTTCTCTGATGGCCAGTGATGATGAGCATTTCTTCATGTGTTTTTTGGCTGCATAAATGTCTTCTTTTGAGAAGTGTCTGTTCATGTCCTTCACCCACTTTTTGATGGGGTTGTTTGTTTTTTTCTTGTAAATTTGTTTGAGTTCATTGTAGATTCTGGATATTAGTCCTTTGTCAGATAAGTAGGTTGCGAAAATTTTCTCCCATGTTGTAGGTTGCCTGTTCACTCTGATGGTAGTTTCTTTTGCTGTGCAGAAGCTCTTTAGTTTAATTAGATCCCATTTGTCAATTTTGGCTTTTGTTGCCATTGCTTTTGGTGTTTTGGACATGAAGTCCTTGCCCACGCCTATGTCCTGAATGGTAATGCCTAGGTTTTCTTCTAGGGTTTTTATGGTTTTAGGTTTAACGTTTAAATCTTTAATCCATCTTGAATTGATTTTTGTATAAGGTGTAAGGAAGGGATCCAGTTTCAGCTTTCTACATATGGCTAGCCAGTTTTCCCAGCACCATTTATTAAATAGGGAATCCTTTCCCCATTGCTTGTTTTTCTCAGGTTTGTCAAAGATCAGATAGTTGTAGATATGCGGTGTTATTTCTGAGGGCTCTGTTCTGTTCCATTGATCTATATCTCTGTTTTGGTACCAGTACCATGCTGTTTTGGTTACTGTAGCCTTGTAGTATAGTTTGAAGTCAGGTAGTGTGATGCCTCCAGCTTTGTTCTTTTGGCTTAGGATTGACTTGGTGATGCGGGCTCTTTTTTGGTTCCATATGAACTTTAAAGTAGTTTTTTCCAATTCTGTGAAGAAAGTCATTGGTAGCTTCATGGGGATGGCATTGAATCTATAAATTACCTTGGGCAGTATGGCCATTTTCACGATATTGATTCTTCCTACCCGTAAGCGTGGAATGTTCTTCCATTTGTTTGTATCCTCTTTAATTTCATCAAGCAGTGGTTTGTAGTTCTCCTTGAAGAGGTCCTTCACGTCCCTTGTAAGTTGGATTCCTAGGTATTTTATTCTCTTTGAAGCAATTGTGAATGGGAGTTCACTCATGATTTGGCTCTCTGTTTGTCTGTTATTGGTGTATAAGAATGCTTGTGATTTTTGCACATTGATTTTGTATCTTGAGACTTCGCTGAATTTGCTTATCAGCTTAAGGAGATTTTGGGCTGAGACGATGGGGTTTTCTAAATATACAATGATGTCATCTGCAAACAGGGACAATTTGACTTCCTCTTTTCCTAATTGAATACCCTTTATTTCTTTCTCCTGCCTGATTGCCCTGGCCAGAACTTCCAACACTATGTTGAATAGGAGTGGTGAGAGAGGGCATCCCTGTCTTGTGCCAGTTGTCAAAGGGAACGCTTCCAGCTTTAGCCCATTCAGTATGATATTGGCTGTGGGTTTGTCATAAATAGCTCTTATTATTTTGAAATATGTCCCATCAATACCTAATTTATTGAGTGTTTTTAGCGTGAAAGTTGTTGAATTTTTCCAAAGGCCTTTTCTGCAACTATTGAGATAATCATGTGGTTTTTGTCTTTGGTTCTGTTTATATGCTGGATTACGTTTATTGATTTGCATATGTTGAACCAGCCTTGCATCCCAGGGATGAAGCCCACTCGATCATGGTGGATCAGCTTTTTGATGTGCTGCTGGATTCGGTTTGCCAGTATTTTATTGAGGATTTTTGCATCGATGTTCATCAGGGATATTGGTCTAAAATTCTCTTTTTTTGTTGTGTCTTTGCCAGGCTTTGGTATCAGGATGATGCTGGCCTCATTAAATGAGTTAGGGAGGATTCCCTCTTTTACTATTGATTGGAATAGTTTCAGAAGGAATGGTACCAGCTCCTCCTTGTATCCCCAGTAGAATTCGGCTGTGAATCTGTCTGGTCCTGGACTTTTTTTGGTTGGTAGGCTATTAATTATTGCCTCAATTTCAGAGCCTGTTATTGGTCTATTCAGAGATTCAACTTCTTCCTGGTTTAGTCTTGGGAGGGTGTATGTGTCGAGGAATTTATCCATTTCTTCTAGATTTTCTAGTTTATTTGTGTAGAGGTGTTTGTAGTATTCTCTGATGGTAGTTTGTATTTCTGTGGGATCGGTGGTGATATCCCCTTTATCATTTTCTATTGCATCTATTTGATTCTTCTCTCTTTTCTTCTTTATTAGTCTTGCTAGCGGTCTATCAATTTTGTTGATCTTTTCAAAAACCAGCTCCTGGATTCATTGATTTTTTGAAGGGTTTTTTGTGTCTCTATCTCCTTCAGTTCTACTCTGATCTTAGTTATTTCTTACCTTCTGCTAGGTTTTGAATGTGTTTTCTCTTGCTTCTCTAGTTCTTTTAATTGTGATGTTAGGGTGTCAATTTTACATCTTTCCTGCTTTCTCTTGTGGGCATTTAGTGCTATAAATTTCCCTCTACACACTGCTTTAAATGTGTCCCAGAGATTCTGGTATGTTGTGTCTTTGTTCTCATTGGTTTCAAAGAATATCTTTATTTCTGCCTTCATTTCATTATGTACCCAGTAGTCATTCAGGAGCAGGTTGTTCAATTTCCATGTAGTTGAGCAGTTTTGAGTGAGTTTCTTAATCCTGAGTTCTAGTTTGATTGCACTGTGGTCTGAGAGACAGTTTGTTATAATTTCTGTTCTTTTACATCTGCTGAGGAGTGCTTTACTTGCAACTATGTGTTCAATTTTGGAATAAGTGCGATGTGGTGCTGAGAAGAATGTATATTCTGTTGATTTGGGGTGGAGAGTTCTGTAGATGTCTGTTAGGTCTGCTTGGTGCAGAGCTGAGTTCAATTCCTGGATATCCTTTTTAACTTTCTGTCTCATTGATCTGTCTAATGTTGACAGTGGGGTATTAAAGTCTCCCATTATAATTGTGTGGGAGTCTAAGTCTCTTTGTAGGTCTCTAAGAACTTGCTTTATGAATCTGGGTGCTCCTGTATTGGGTGCATATATATTTAGGATAGTTTGCTCTTCTTGTTGAATTGATCCCTTTACCATTATGTAATGGCCTTCTTTGTCTCTTTTGATCTTTGTTGGTTTAAAGTCTGTTTTATTAGAGACTAGGATTGCAAGCCCTGCTTTTTTTGTTTGTTTGTTTTCCATTTGCTTGATAGATCTTCCTCCATCCCTTTATTTTGAGCCTATGTGTGTCTCTGCACATGAGATGGGTCTCCTGAATACAGCACACTGATAGGTCTTGACTCTTTATCCAATTTGCCATTCTGTGTCTTTTAATTGGGGCATTTAGCCCATTTATATTTAAGGTTAATATTGTTATGTGTGAATTTGATCCTGTCATTATGATGTTAGCTGGTTATTTTGCTCATTAGTTGATGCAGTTTCCTCCTAGCCTCGATGGTCTTTACAATTTGGCATATTTTTGCAGTGGCTGGTACCGGTCATTCCTTTCCATGTTTAGTGCTCCTTCATTCTTCCTTACCTATCTAACCTCTATTGGTCCTTCAGTACTATTCTCACGCGGCATCTCTTTCTTGCCTCCCAAACTCCCCCAGTGTCAGGAACCCTTTTTATATCTACCTGCTTATTTCCCATTGGTAGCACATGTCATACTGATTTGTGATTGCCTTGTAACTTGCCTGTCTTCCCAATCAGCTTATAAACTTGCTGAGGGCAGAAACTCTGTCTTGCCCACAGATAGATTCCAAGGACCTTGGATGGTATTTGGACTATAGTAGGCACCCCTAAGAAGACACAGTCATTCTAGACAGTTAGCTTTGTATCTTTTCGCACTAAATATTGTTTCTCATGACCTATTCCCTGACAAATTTGAAAGACTGATTTATTGTAGGTAGGTAGCATCCAAATTGTTAAAATACTTGGGCAACTGCCAGATTCCTTTTTACCATATGCATACTTTGCATCTGGATATTTTATTTGCACAGGGATAATTCTCCTGGGAAGTAATATAGGCATTCCTAGGGAGTACACCATCAAAAGAGATGGATCAGCCTAAATTAATCTGAGAAACTAAATATAACTGCTTGGAAAAAATAATGCTTACTGTTACTAAGAGGGAAAGCACACACTATATTTTGTTCTGTAATCAATTGCAAATTTACATTTGATAACTGGTTGCTGTTTAATCAAAAATGATCATCTTCCTTGATTAGGAGTATTTTTTAAGGAAAAGGAATTGCTAATTAGTTTGCTAACTCTCTGTTGAAGGTGTTTGTAATTAAATTGAGGAGGTAAAGAAAGCTGCAAATGATCCAAATGCTGAAATGTAGTTACTAAATATTGAAGGAGTTCCTCTTTCAAACTATATGAAACTCTAAACTTTTTAAAAAAACTCTAGTATCTAAAATGCTGTCCCTATATGAAAAAAAAATCTATGAATTCTTGGAAGAGACTAAAGAGGCTGATTGTTAAATACTTTTATTACATGTAAACCTAAAAAGGAAAGCAAATTGCTGTTGTGTATTTAGATACAGTTAGATAAAGTCATGATATTAGACCATTTTGAGGTTGTTCATTCTCTTCATTAATATGGCATTGACTATGAATAACAGCTACTTCCTATTAGGTCACTTCAGACCTGGTATAGGAGTCTCCCCAAAGCTCTGGGGTTCACACATCATGTGACTTTTATTTCTGTTATTCCTTGCACCTGGAGACACTACCAAAGGCATAATCCGTAATGATGCATTGGTTTCTTCAATAATAACATTTGTAGATGTCTGTGTCTTGAAAAATCAAATTGCCTAAGATTGATTTTTGCAATCTTAACCCTTTTTCAATACACAGTTCAGTAGTGTCAACTACATGCACATTGTTGTGCAATAGATCCCTAGGAACTTTTCATCTTGCAAAACTAAAACTCTGCATCCATTGAACTTCCCACTTCCTCCCCTGGCAATGTCCATTCTACTTTCCAAGAATATGACTTTTTTACATACTCCATGCAAGCAGATTCTCTTTTTGCAACTGGCTTGTTTCACTTAGCACAATGTCCTCAAGGTTCATCCATGTTGTAGCATGTGAAAGTATTTCCTTCTTTTCCAAGGCTAATATTCCATTGTATGTACATACCACATCATCTTTATTCATTCATCCACCAATGGACATTCAGCTTGCTTCCACCTCTTGGCTATTGTGAACAATTTTACAATGAACATGGGTGTGCAAATATCTCTTTGAGATCTTGCTTTCAGTTTTTTGGGTTTATATCCAGAGGTGAAATTGCTGGATCATACAGTAATTCTATTTTTAATTTTTTGAGGAAATTTTATACTGTTTGTTGTAGTAGCAACACCATTTTATATTCCTACTGACAGTGCACAAGAGTTCCAATTTCTCCACATCCTTCCCAACACTTGTTATTTTCTGTTTGTCTTTTTTAAAATAGTAGTTATCCTAGCGGGTGTGAGGAGATATCTTATTGCAGCTTTGATTTGCATTTCCCTGATTATTAGACATGCTGAGCATCTTTTCATCCACTTATGGCCATATGTATATTTTCTTTTCTTTAGAGAAATGCCTATTCTAGTCTTTTGCTCATTTTAAAATTGGGTTTTTTGTTGTTGTTGTTGAGTTGCAGTAGTTCTTCATATATCCTGGATATTAACCTCTTATCAGATACACGATTTGTCTGTTTGTTTTTGAGACATGGTCTTGTTCTGTCACCCAGGCTGGAGTGCACACTTTTAAAAAACATATACCTGTTCAACCAACCCAGGTATTTATTCATTAAACTTTTACTTGTCATCTATCATGTGCCAGGCACTATGCTTGGTGCTTATGATACAGATGATGTAAACACACACACACACACACACACACACACACACACACACATACACATACACACACCCTCCTGTGTCTTCCTCCAAGGAATCCATATTTATGTGCTTTAGTAACAAATATAAAAGATTGTAAAATGCTTCACTGAAATTCAGAAACCCTGATCCATAATGTCAAACACAATAACTATTGTATATCAAAGCTGAAGTGCATTTTCACTTCAAACCCAGGATGATCAACTTCTTTTTTCTAGAACTGTTGTTTCAATATTCCTATAAATACATTTAATTTCACTGTACGTTTTCATGGCCTGGCTTGCCTTAGACAATTTTTTGAATTCTAACCAATTGTTAAACAATTTTTATGCTGAACTTAAATATTCAGTAAAGATTCTATTTGGTTTGAATATGTATGATTCATTAAACCCATGGTCTTCATTACAGTAATATTTAGAAGACTAATTATCTCTGAGTAATCATAGAGTATGAAGCAATTTAAATGTCATTCGCAGCACAGGTTAGAAGCAAATTTACTTATTAAATTATTAATGTTTTACTTTAAACTGGCTGTTGAATAATTAAAAATGAACATGACACTATTTTAAAGATGTTAAAAAAAGAAATACAATGGCAATAGCTCTACATCAACTCAAAACAGTCTGACCTGAGTTTATTTTCTTCAAAATCAAAAACCTCCATTGTGTTTTGATTATTTTGGAGTCACAGTTTTCAAATGTGATTTTGAAGTAATTTATTTCACCAACAATTTTCCAGAAGTTAGACTTATTTTGAAGCTTAAAGAACATTTTAGAATAGGAGCTAGCCACTTTTATTCCAAAACAGATTCATTTTGTTAGTTGAACAATGATAATACACTATTAGAATGAAGTATACATTGCAATTTCTGTAGGTCAAAGATGATTGACCTACATGAAACTGACAATTTCATAGAGTTGAATTTAATGAATATACTTCAGCATATGATAGGTCTTCAAAAGTGAAAATTAATCTTTAAAAATTATAAATAGAGGCCAGGTGCAGTGGCTCATGCCTGTAATCCCAGCACTTTGGGAGGCTGAGGCAGGTGGATCACCTGAGGTCAGGAGTTCAATACCAGCCTGACCAACATGGAGAAACCCTGTCTCTACTAAAAAAAAATACAAGATTGTCTAGGCATGGTGGCGCATGCCTGTAATCCCAGCTACTAGAGAGGCTGAGGCAGGAGAATCGCTTGAACCCGGGAGGCAGAAGTTGTGGTGAGTCAAGATCGCGCCATTGCATTCCAGCCAGGGCAACAAGAGTGAAACTCTGTCTCAAAAAAAAAAAAAAAATTATAAATAGAATTTAAACATACATGAGATTTGAAAAGAAAAATCCATAATCTCACCACACAAATATAAATTCTATAACAATTTCTGTACTTTCTGTTCTATTATTTTCTCTTGTGCATAGTTTTACATGGTGTATTCAGAGCATGCATAAATATTTGCATATGTAAAATGAAAAACTTTACATTACAGGCATACCTTGTTTTATAGCACTTCATTTTATTTAGCTTCACAGAGACTGCATTTTTTACAAACTGAAGGACTGTGGCAAACTTGCATCAAGCCAAGTCTATTGGCATCATTTTTCCAGCAGCGTGTGCTCACTTCATGTCTCTGTGTGACATTTTGGTAATTCTCACAATATTTCAAACATTTTCATTATTATTATATCTGTTATGGTGATCTGTGATTAGTGATCTTTGATGTTACTATTGTCATTGTTTTTGGGTGCCATGAACTGTACTCATGTAAGATGGTGAACTTAATAAATGTATGTGTTCTAACTGCTCCACTGACCAGCCATTCCCTGTCTCTCTCCCTCTCCTTGAGCCTTCCTGTTTCCTGAGACAGAACAATATTGAAATTAGGGCAGTTAACAACCCTACAATGGCCTCTATGTGTTCCAGTGAAAGAAAGAGTTACATGGCTCTTACTTTAAATTAAAAGTTAGAAATGATTAAGCTTAGTGAAGAAGGTAGATCGAAAGCCAAAAGAGGCGAAAAGCAAAGCATCTTGTGCCAAACAGTTAGCCAAGTTGTGAATGCAAAGGAAAAGTTCTTGAAGGAAATTAAAAGTGCTATTCCAGTGAACACACAAATGATAAGAAAGCAAAACAGCCTTATTGCTGATGTGGAGAAAGCTTTAGTGGTCTGGACAGAAGATCAAACCAGCCCCAACATTCCCTTAAGCTAAAGCAACATTCCCTTAAGCTAATCCAGAGCAAGGCCCAAACTTTCTTTCCATTCTATGAAGGCTGAGAGAAGTGAGGAAGCTGCCAAAGAAACAGTTTGAAGCTAGCAGAGGTTCATGAGATTTAGGGAAAGATGCCATCTCCATAACATAAAAGTGCAAGATAAAGCAGCAAGTACTGATGTAGAAGCTGCAGCAAGTTATCCAGAAGATCTGGCTAAAATCATTGATTAAGATGCCTGCATAAACAACAGATTTTCAACGTAGATGAAACAGCTTTAAGTTGGAAAAAGATACCATCTAAGACTTTCATAGTTAGAGAGAAGAAGTCAATGCCTGGCTTCAGGTCTTCAAAGGACAGTCTGAATCTCCTGTTAGGTGCTCAAGCAACTGGTGACTTTAAGGTGAAGCCAATACTCATTTACCCTTCTGAAAATCCTAGAGCCCTTAAGAGTTACGCTACATTTACTCTCCCTGCACTCCATAAATGGAAAAACAAAGCCTGGATGATGGAATATCTGTTCATAACATGGTTTACTAAATATTTTAAGCTCGCTGTTGAGACCTACTGCTAAAAAAAAAAAAAAAAAGATTCTTTTCAAAATATTACTGCTCATTGTCAATGCACCTAGTTACCCAGGAACTCTGATGGAGATGTACAAGAAGATGAATGTTATTTCCATGCCTGCTAACACAGTATCCATTCCATAGCCCATGGGTTAAGGAGTAATTTGGCCTTCCAGCTCTTATTATTTAAGAAATACACTTTGTAAGCCTGTGGCTACCATAGGTAGCAATTCCTCTGATGGATCTGGGCAAAATAAATGGAAAATCTTTCTGAAAAGGATTCATCATTGTAGATGGCATTAAGAACGCTTGTTGCCAGGTGTGGTGGCTCATGCCTGTAATCCCAGCACTTTGGGAGGCAGAGGTGGGCAGATCACCTGAGGTCGGGAGTTTGAGACCAGACTGGCCAACATGGAGAAACCCCGTCTCTACCAAAAATACAAAATTAGCTGGGCGTGCTGGCGCATGCCTGTAATCCCAGCTACTTGGGAGGCTGAGGCAGGAGAATCGCTTGAACCCAGGAGGCGGAGGTTGCAGTGAGCCGAGATAGCGCCATTGCACTTCAGCCTGGGCAACGAGCGAAAATCTGTCTCAAAAACAAACAAACAAAAAAACTTGTGATTCATGGGAGGAAGTTCAAATAGCAACATTAACGAGAGTTTGGAAGAAGTTGATTCCAACCCTCATGGATATCTTTGAGGGGTTCAAGGCTTCAGGGGAGGAAGTAACTGCAGATGTGGTGGAAATAGCAACAGAACAGAATTAGAAGTAGAGCCTGAAGACGGGACTGAATGACTGCAATCTCATGACAAAACTTGAACAGATAAGTTGCTTCTTATGGATCAGCAAAGAAAGTGTTTTCTTGAGACGGAAATTACTGGTGTAGATACTGTGAATATTGTTGAAGTGACAACAAAGGATTTAGATTATTAAATAAACTTAATAAAGTGGCAGCAGGGTTTGAGAGGATTGAGTCCAATTGCGAAAGAAGTTCCATTGTTCGTAAAAAACAGCATCACATGTTACTGAAATTATTTTGTGAAAGGAAAAGTCAATCAATGTGGCAAACTTCATTGCTGTCTTTTTTAATTGCCACAGCCACTTCAGCCTTCAACAACCACCACTGTTGTCAGTCAGCAGCCATTAACATTGAGGCAAGACTCTCCACCAGCCGAATGACTATGATTTGCTGAAGGCTGAATCGATCGTTAGCATTTTTTACCAATGAAGTATTTTAAAATTAAGATACGTACTTTTTTTATACATAATGCTATTGTACACTTAACAGACAACAGTATAACATAAACATAGCTTTTATATGCACTGGGAAACCAAAAAATTTGTGTGACTCGCTTTCTTGTGGTACCTGCTTCATTGTAGCAATCTTGAATTGAAACACAGTATCTCCGAGGTATGCCTGTACTTACATTTTTCAATCTGACATATAAGTTATATTTATAACTTTCAATAATTGCATAATCTACCAATTGGATGTACTGTAATTACTTACTCATTCTCATGTTGCTGAATATTTAGGTTGCTTCTAGTTTTTTGATATTACAAATGTGTTATGATGAGCATCTTTTGAATTGCTAAGAAAAAGCTGGCTTATATTTATATAATACCATTTCAAAAATCTATGTCTCTGTATTTTTCCACTGTTTGGGTTTCTTAATCAAGTAAATTATGATGAATACTCTTGGTACATCAGGAGATAGGAAGCAGTTCCATAAGTTTTTTTCTGTAATTTACCGTTAGCATTCAAAACTGATTTCTTTTATAGTCATTAATTTGTAATGACAACATAATAATGATTTTCAAAGCCCACAGACTACTAGAAAACTTTCTACTGAGCTTGTAATTAAAATGTCAGAATTCGTTCCCATCCTTGAAAACAATTTTTTTTTTTTTTTGCTTTTGATGATTGATTCAAAACTGTGTTCTATAGATCTTAATTTTCACATCTTCTACTTCGGCAGCAAAATGAATACTCAAGGTGAAAAACAAAATAATAGCTTAGAATTTAAAACCTGTTCTTATTAGCTTGATATAGACAACAGGGTCAGATGTTGCTGCTTTCAACTTTTTTTTGCACACTTAAAAATAAAAATATGAATCGTTATGCAACTAAGAGTTTAAACTTTTCTATTGGACTATTGATAAGTTACAGTTTGTGAGTTTTAAAAACTTTTACTTCTGTGTATTTTAAAGAGATTGTGTTCAGTTTATTCTCAAGTCAGACTTATACATCTTGGTTCTGACCCAGATTTTATATTCTCATATATAAGGGTGAAAAAGACTGCCAAAGCACAGTGTTAAGTTCAGGTATTCACCAGTCTAACCTGTTACCCTCCTTGGGGTCTTACTTTCTTACATGACTGCAGTCAACAAGTTAACTGGAGCTCTAGTTCTTGTGATTCATTTGAAAGTCTATTCACTATTATTTCATGTCCAAAGGGCTGTAACAACAAATATTAGAAAGTGGGTAATATACAGGCCTCTTTGTTTTGATTATTTAATCCAGAAGAGGTAGATGTAGAAATACATGACATCATCCCTCACTCACTTCCTTTAATCCTTTTTGATGATGGTACTCAATAGTTGTCAATACCTAGATAGTTCACAAGGAAAAGCTATGTAGAATTAGAATGAACCATTAATATGAAGAATGTGACAACCTACTTCTGCCCAATATCATACATTATATAAGGAGAGAACATTCAATTTGATAAGTATTTGAGTGCCTTATCTGTATTGGGTAAGACGTGTATCAAGGAAAGCTGTGCCCTTGGTTTTTACATTTTTCCTCGTCTAGCGAAGGGCTACATTCTTCCAAAAACACATCCTGTGGCTGAAAATGTTTTTGTTAGCAGTTATGCAACTTTATGAAAAAGCATGGTCTTCTCCAAATTGGATATACTATAAATTGAAGACATTAGTCATAGCTGCTGGATTTTTCCCCCCATTTGAAACACATGCTTTAATACTTTCTTTTTTAGGTCGAATTTTAAGTGGTGTATTGAAATGTTGGAGAAAAAAAAATACTATATGTAAAAAAACAGGTTGGATAGATAATATTTTAAAAAGCAATCTGCATTAGGAAGAGAAAGAGCCGTGTCATTTTCTCACATTTCAACTCCCAGGCATACACATATAATTTAACAAAATGCAATATGATGCAGTACTCATTCACACACTTAGCATGTGATTATTGAACACTTGTCATGGGTGTCACACTGCAATCATCTCTGTGGGGGATACGAAGAAAAGAAGGCCCTGCCCTTGCTCCCAAGCAGCTCACAGCACCTTTGGAGAAACAAGACAAGCATGAAAAATTTAATGACAGTGTAGGGTACTGAATCTATAACCAGACAATAGTGCTTTGAGAAAACATGAGAGAATGTGTTCTGTTGGGAGGGCTATAAAGAAGCAGGTAGGCTTGAGCTGGGTCTTGGATGGTGAGAAAGATTTAGCTAGATTAGGGAACAATAGGGAGGAGGGCCCTCTAGACCAAGGGGGAATGTTTAAGAAAAGGAAGGATTGTGTAACCATGTCCAGCGGGTGGTAAGCAGACAGCCTGGCTGACCTAGAGGGTCTATGTCTTAGAAAATTATATTGGAGCTAGAATTGGTGGGAGAGACAGGGAAGGCAACTGACTCTTATTGCTACCCGCTGTACGCCAGGCCCTTTACTTACCTACGGAATACTTCCAACAACCCTGCTATTTCCCAGGTCTACAGGTGAGAAAACTGAGTCTCAGACAGATTATGTGATTTGTCTAAAGTTGTAAGGCTAGTTGTTGACAGCACCAGGATGCAAACCCATGTCTGTCAGCACATCCTTCCTCTTTCTACCGTACCAGCTCCTTTAAGTGCCTTGCAGAGGGACTTGAACTGGTTCTTTATGAAATAGAGAATAGCTGAAAATACTTTGATCCAAAAAGACTTTAAGGAAATTATCTTCATGGTGTGTCAGCGTGCAGTATGGATTAGAAGGACCTAAGAGTGGTGAGCATTTTGGACATATGTTTTTTTCCACTCTGTCGCCCAGGCTGGAGTGCAGTGGTGCAATCTTGGCTCACTGCAGCCTCTGCCTCCTGGGCTCAAGCAATTCTCCTGCCTCAGCTTCCCTACTAGCTGGGATTACAGGCTTACGCTGCCACACCCAGCTAATATTTTGTGTTTTCAGTAGAGATGGGGTTTCACCATATTGCCAGGCTGGTCTCGAGCTCCTGACCTCAAGTGATCTGCCAGTCTTGGCCTCCCAAAGTGCTGGGATTACAGGCGTGAGTCACTGCACCTGGCCTGGAAATAATTTTAAAAAGGGCCTTTACAACTCGGTATTCCCTTGGAATCCAGGACATTGTCTTGCACATAGTTGCAGCTCAGTAAATATTTCTTTAGCTAGAAAAGACCACAGAACTAGTATTCAGAAGATGTGTGTTCTAGTCCTGACTTGACACCGATGAGTTTTGTGGGCATGGGCAAATGGGGTAAGAGCTCTGTGATCTTGAGCACATTCCCCAACCTCTCTAAGGCTTAGTTTCCTTATCAGGGAATATAAGGCTCATAGGCTTATTACGGGGTTTACACGGAGATGATAGATACAATATGATTGAACAATGCCTGGCATAGTAAACCTTAGTTATTATTATTAAGGGGGAAATCCTTTAATTATTTTAATTAATTCATGAAGCCTAATGGAAATAACAGTTTCCCATATTAAGCCTACATTTAGTAAATGGGTTTTGGTAGATAAATATTTCTAAAGCATGAGAGTTGAAGGGAAGGGAAGGGAATTAAAAGGATTTTAGGTGATGGGAGTGATGAGCACACTGGCTTGAATGGTCCCCAGGAAATGTCTACCAGCACAAATGCTATGTGAGAATGGGACTGAAGGAAGACATAACCAACCTGGTGACTAGTCCTATTAGTGCCTTAATCTCTAGAGGCCCAAGATCCTAAACAAAGAAAAAATAGAGGTATAGAGTTGACCCTCTACATGTCTGGGTTCTGCATCTGTGTATTCAACCAAATACAGATCAAAATACTTAAAAAATTTCAAAATAACAATAAATTAAAAAATTTTAAAAAGATACTATATGACAACCATTTACATAGCATGCCTATGGTATTAAGTATTATAAGTAATCTATTTATTTATTTATTTATTTTGAGACAAGGTCTCACTCTGTTGCCTAGGCTGGAGTGTAATGATACGATTATGGCTCACTGCAGCCTCAACCTTCCTGACTCAGGTGATCTTCCGACTTCAGCCTACCGAGTAGCTGGGACTATAGGCATGCATCAGCATGCTTGGCTAATTTTTGTATTTTTTATAGATTCAGGGTCTCACCATGTTGCCCAGGCTGGTCTTGAACTCCTGGGCTCAAGCAATCCTCCCACCTTGGCCTTCCAAAGCCAAGTGCCGGGATTACAGGTGTAAGCCACCCTGCCTGGCCTCAGTAATCTAGAGATTATTTGAAGTGTATGTGAAGATGTATGTATGTTATATGCGAATATCATGCCATTTTATATCAGGGACTTGAGCATCCACATATTTTGATAACTATGGGGGTCCTGGAACCAATCCCCCAAATACCAAGGGACAACTGTACTAAATGCCCTAACTTTTTTGAAAGACCAGAAAACTCATGTTGGTGATGGTGGAAAAGTCCCATTGGAGTTCAAGGTGCTTGGGTTTTATATGTTATGTAATTTAAAGTAAGCTTTCAGTTTTATAAAATATAGTCCTAGTTAAATCCTGTTCTGAAAAATTTTCAGGTTTTGTCTGAAATTATACTGCCTAAACTTTATGCCAATACATTTTCCAGGGGAGGATGAATAATGGATTTGTTGTCTGATTATCATATTTACAAGCATCATCTGGTCTTAGTTGCCAAAGATTGGTATTTTGAAACCACAAGACGAGAGATTCATTTCTTTACGGTAGAAAGACAACAAAAATCCCCATTAGGTCTACAGCACTTTCCCACTGTTCTTTCTTTGTTGTACATTAGAACAGCTACAATGCACTGCACATAAAAAAGGAATCTGTGATGGTTAAATATTCATGGCCATTTGCTATTCAGTGTGTGTTTTTATTATTTTTAGCAAATAACAGCACGATCTAATGATTCACTTAACCCAGTTTATGAACTTTCCGTATCTAATTTTTATCTATCACTGAAAGATTTCTGTTCTTTCTTAAAAAGAATGCGTTAGTCTTGCTTTTATGTGGACTCCCAGCCTAGAAAAGCCCATTTGATGGTCCCACATGCTTAGTTTGTAGGATCTTAGGTCTCAGAGTTGATAAAGTACTGTTGATGAAGACCAAAGAGAGTATGGAGGCAGAATCTTTCCTCCCTGGGAGCATAGAACCTCCAAAATATAAACGGGGGTTAACTGGGAATAGAAAGGTAGGGGGAAATTCTGCTCATCTTCTTTTTGTTTTATTGTTATAAAAAGGGTGGCATTTCCCAGAGATTATTGCCTTAGCAAAGCAAAGAGAAAATGAAGCAGAGAAAGAAGAGGAAAGGTTTCCTAAGATGTATTTGTTTACCTTTCAGCCTAACAAGGCTGGCTTTCTAGGTGTGTAACCTGTGTGGGTCTTAGAAGCAACTCAGGAGGCCCTCATGCTTGAATTAATAATGTTCTACTGTCACCATCTAAAAGTTGTTCATATTTTTTGAGCCAGGGGCCTCACATTTTCATTCTGTGCTAGGCCCACAAATTACATAGCTGGTCTCATGACTTGGTGAAATATAAGAAGAAGAAGATGTTTTTGTTTAAAGCAAAAGGGTTATATCAAGCTGACTGAAGAAAGAAGGCAATACCAGGAACCAAAAGAGGTAGAGGAAGTTGAGAACAGAGGAATAGCTTCAATGGTAATGTCCCTTTTCATGACTAACAGTGATACATATGCAACTTGTTCTCAAGGAAAAAAGAGGAATATGATTGGAAAGATAAATTACATATTTGATACCTCTTCCAATATGGCTACTTTTTATACAAATTACGCATTTCTGTTTTTCATCCTTCCTGCACCTGCCCTGCTCTGGTCTAATAGTCATTTGGACTCTGTTTATATAATTCACAATTGCTACTGATATCAAAGGTAAAGTATCCTATGTTGATACTTTAATACCAAGAGTCTTCCCATAATTTCCAGAATAATAAAAAGCTCTTCATTTATTTCTCAAGTGCCGAAATAAACAAAGGTCAACCAAACGAGAAAAGCGAAGGCTATTTATTCTGAGTTCGCAATGGAGTCAGCCGCCATCATTTGCATCTTGACAGAGATTCAAAGGCAGGTGGGAGAGAGGAGGTGGAGCAAGATAGCTGAACAGAAGCTTCCACCAATCATCCTCCCCACAGGAACACAAAATTTAACAACTACACAAAAGGCTCCTTCATAAGAACCAATAATCAGGTGAGCAATCACAGTACCTGGTTTTAACTTCATATCTCTGAAAGAGGCACTGAAGAGGAGGAAAGATAGTCTTGAATTGCCAACACCACCCCTTCCCCATCCCCCTGGCAATGGATGGCCAAATGGCATGGTGAGAGAATTATATGTTCTTGGGAGAGGGAGAATGCAGTAATTGTGGGAATTTGCACTGGAATACACTGCTGCCAACCCAGGCAGAACTCAGCTGGCACTCACAAGAGGGAGCATTTAGACCAACCCTTGCCAGAGAAGAATTGCCCATCCTGGCAGTTGGAACTTAGGTTTCAACAAGCCTCACCCACAGGCTAAAGTGCTGTGGGGTTCTAAATAAACTTGAAAGGCACCCTAGGCCACAAGGACTACAACTTCTAGGCAAGACCTAGGACTGTGCAGGGCTTAGATCCAGTGGACTCTGTGGGTGCATGACCTAATGAGACACCGGCTGGGCAGGGCTAAGAAATCGCTTACACCACCTCTCCCACAACCCCAGGCAGTGCAGCTCACAGCTTCAAAAGAGACCCCTTCCTTCTGCTTGAGGAGAGTAGAGAAAAGAGTAAAGAGGACTTAGTTTTGCAATGTGGATACCAACTCAGCCAATGTAGGACAGGGCACTGGACAGAGTCATAAGGCCACAATTCCAGGCCCTAGCTCCTGAACAACATTTCTAGATACATGCTGAGCCAGAAGGGAACCTGCTGCCTTGAAGGGGAGAACCCATTCCTGGCAGAATTCCTCAACTGCTGACTAAAAAGCTCTTGGGCCTGAATAATCAGCAGCAGTAGCCAGGTAGTGGACACCATGTGCCTTGGATGAGACTCAGAGATGTGCTGGCTTCAGGTGTGACCCAGAACATTCATAGCAGTGGTGGCTATGAGGAGAGACCCCTTCTTCCCAAGAAAAGAAGAGGGAAGAGTAAAGGAGACTTTGATGTGGGCTTAGGTACCAGCTTGGCCAAAGTGGAAAAGTGCAGCAAGCAGGCTCTTGGGGTCCCTGATTCCAGGCCTTGGCTCCTCGACAGCATCTCTGGACCTACCCTGGGCCAGAGGGGAGCCCACTTACCTGAAGAGTGAGTCCCAGGCCTGGCAGCATTTACCAAAAGCTCACTGAAGAGCCCTTGGGCCTTAAGTGAACATTAGTGGTACCCTGGCAGTACTCTCCATGAACTTATGGTGGTGGCAGACATGGGGAGAGACTCCTCTGCCTGGGAAAAGGGGAGAGAAGAGTGAGAAGGACTTTTTCTGGTGGTTTTGGTGACAGCTCAGCCACATTAGACTAGAGCATCAGGTAGACTTCTAGGGTTTCTGCCTCCAGGCCCTCGCTCCAGGACGGCATCTTTGGACCTGCCTGGGGGCCAGAGGGATTGCTGCCCTTAAGGGAGGGACACAAGCATGGCTGGCTTCACCACCTGCTGATTGTAGAGCCCCAAGGCCTTGATTGAACATAGACAGTAGCCAGGGAGTAGTTACAGCAGGCCTGGGCAGGACCCAGTGCTGTGCTGGCTTCAGGTCTGACCCAGTGCAGTCTCAGAGGTACTGGTCACAGGGATGCTGGTGTCACCCCTCCCTCAGCTCCAGGCAGCTCAACACACAGAGAGAGACTCCATTTGTTTGAGAGAAAGTAAGAAAAGAGAACAAGAGTCTTTGCCTGGTAATCCAGAGAATTCTCCCAGATCTTATCCAAGACCCCATGGGCGTACCTCTACGAGTCTGCAAGAACCAGTGTTACTGGGCTTGGAGTACTTCCTAAAGCAGATATGGCTGCAGTGATCAAAAACTTAGGTCACCAAACCCAAGTCCCTTCAAATACCTGGAAAGCCTTTCCAAGAAGGACAGGTACAAACAAGCCCAGATTATGAATAACTCCTCAAAGCCCAGGCACCAACAAATATCCATAAGCATCAAGACCATTCAAAAGAGCATGGCCTCACCAAACAAACTAAATAAGGCACCAGGGAACAACCCCAGAGAGACAGAGATATGTGACCTTTCAGACAGAGAATTTCAAATAGCTGTTTGAACAAAACTCAAAGAAATTCAAGGTAACACAGAAAAAGAATTAAGAATTCTATCAGATAAATTTAACAAAGAAATTGAAATAATTAAAAAGAATCAGGAAGAAATTCTGGAGTTGAAAAAGGCAATTGACATACTGAAAAATGTCAAGATTCTCTATCAGCTAGATTCCCCTTCTCCTGAACAGCTCCTCAGCCTCTCTAGGTTTGCCTCTCTAATCTTAGCAGCTCAGAAAGCAAGCACGAAAGGAAATAAAACAAAACAAAAACCAAACGTTGTATTTAAGGTCAAGGTTTACCGGGGTACCAGTCCTGGCTCTGCCCTATGAGCCACATGATTTCAACCAAGTATGTTGTCTGAATCTTACCTTTCTTATCTGTAAAATGTGGATAATGTGTTTCTTGCCATTTTCACGGGGTTATTACGAGGGCTAGATGTGTTATTCTATATGCAAATGCTCTGAAAACCTAACAAGCAGTATTGGTTTGTTCACTTTTGTGACCCAGCCTGGTGGGTCAGAGAAGTCTTCCTGGAGGAGCAGATGTTGGGCCTGAGGCATGGGGAAGGCAGAGAGTTAGCAAATGAAGAAGGTTCTAGATTGAAGCAATGGTATGAACAAAGCCAAGGAGTTGTAAAGTGGCAGGGTGAGCTCAGAGAACCATGAGCACCTCTGTATTCTCAGCTGAAGAGAGATGGGGAGATGCAGACAGGGCTTGGGTCAGGAGAGTCTGGTAGGTTCACCAAGAACCCTGTGGCCCTGGGGCCATAAGAGCTATGGGAAGGTTTTGGTAAATGAATAATGTGGTATAACAGTGTTGTAAAAAGACTGCTCTCATGGCAGAGTGGAGGGTGAAATGGAGGGAAACCAGAATGAAGCTGGAGGTGCGGTCAGGATAAAGGCCTTAACCAGTGCAAAAAGTGAGGATAGAGAGGAGGGGTGAGGTCAATAAATATTTAGAAGACAAAATTAGCAGCACTTGGTGATGAGTAATGAGTGTCTTTGGATAATAAAAATTGGCAAGTTTGATGATTGGTCCTTGGCAAAATGCTGTAGCCAATTTTTGGAAACAGTAAATGAACATTTCATTTAGAAATTAAAATGGTGGATTAATTTAGCCTCAGAACACATTGACTATGAACAAATCATACCAAGCATGTCTCATTTCCTCTTTACAGAATAGTTATTTTTCCAATATAAAATAATAAATGCTTATTTTAGAAAACTTGGAAATTATCGAAAGCTAGGATAAGAAAAAGTTCTGCTACCCACTAATTAACATTCCTGTCAGTATTTTTCTAAGAAGATCCTTTAACATGGTTGTGATCATTCTGTCCACTAAGTCTAACAGTGTGTGATATTTTTTTCTCTTAACATTACACCTCAAACGTATTTATTTTGTAACAAAATCTTTGTAAATATTATTTTAAATAGATAATATTGACTGTCTATGGATGTGCTTTAATTCATATTTTATGGGATATTTGTTTCTAATGTTGGGATATTTAAAATAATAATTTCATTGATATCTTTATATATAAAGTGCTTTCCATGTATGGGACAGATTTCCTTAAGATAGATTTCTTAAAAATGTTTACAGTATCAAAATATACAAATGTTTAAAACCTTTTGTTACATGTTATCAAACCTCTTTCAAAAAGGATTGCAACAATTTATAATGCCACTGGTATTGTAAGGTTATCCATTTCACAATATCTCTTCCTGCAGAAAATCATCATTAAAAACAACTAAACAAAACCAAAACACTTTGCTAACTTGATTAGTAAAAATGCCAACTCATGGCCAAGCATGTGTGACTCACACCTGTAATCCCGGCACTTTGGGAGAGCCGGACAGGAGGATTGCTGCAGCCCAGGAGTTTGAGACCAGCCTGGGCAACGACACTTTGTCTCTACAAATAATTTTGTCTCTACAAATAATTTTGTCCCTACAGATAATTTTAAAAATTAGCTGGGCATGGTGGCATAGGCCTGTAGTCCCAGCTGGCCTTAAACAGGGCAAAAAGTGAGGATAGAGAGGAGGGGTGAGGTCAATAAATATTTAGAAGACAAAATTAGCAGCACTGGGAGGCTGAGGTGGAAATATCCCCTCGACTGGGAGGTTGAGGCTGTAGTGAGCTGTGATCACACCCCTGCACTCCAGTCTGGACGACAGAGTAGGGGGATAAAAGTCAACTCATTTCATTTTCTTTGTTTTTACAAATATGAATAATACACACATACGGGAGAAAGTAAAATAGTATAGAAAGGCATAAAATGAGAAAGCAAAAATCTCCCCCCTTCCACAACCCCAAACCTACCCGCTTCCCCAAAGCAACCACTGCAAAAAACTTACTTGTGAATACCTTTCTGAAAAAATTGTTTATTAAAGTTTCTAAAATAGTACTAGGTACTATTTATATCCGAGGGTTCTAGGTCTGGAAACCTTTCCATGTCAATGCATATAGTTCTACTCTATGAATATATAAAAATTTATTTATCCAGTTCCCTATGGATTGATATTTTGTTTATTTTCAATATTTTGCTATTGCAAAGAATCCTGCAATGAACATCTTTGAATTAAGATCTCAGTGTACTTGTGCAGCATAATTCCTGGATATGAAATTATTTTCAATCTTACATTTTAAAATGTTTACAGCAATTTATGATCTCACCAACAATGTGTAAATGTTTATTCCTTCACACTCTCACAGATAAGCCTTTTTTATCAATCTGATAGATGAAAAAATGTCATCTCCAGCCAGGCACGGTGCCTCATGCCTGTAATCCCAGCACTTTGGGAGGCCGATGCAGGCAGATCACCTGAGGTCAGGAGTTCAAGACCATCCTGGCCAACATGGTGAAACCCCATCTCTACTAAAAATACAAAAATTAGCAGGGTGTGGTGGCACGTGCATGTAATCCCAGCTACCTGGAAGGCTGAGGCAGGTGAATCACTGGAATCCGGGAGGCGGAGGCTGCAGTGAGCCAAGATGACACCACTGCACTTTAGCCTGGGTGACAGAGCAAGGCTCCCTCTCAATAAAAAAAAAAAAAAAGGTCATCTCAGCGCACACTCATTCATAAATGTTTATTGAGCTCCTACTTTGTGCCAGGCCCTGCTCTAGATGCTTGGGACACACAACTGAACAAAGCAAAGATTCCTGCCCCTATGGAGCTAACATTCTAACACAATTAACAATAAGCATAATACATAATAAATCATAGTACACAAGTAAGTCAGAAGAAGATAAGCTCTGGATGCACTAGAACCTCTGCTTTTGCTGCCTCTGAAACAGAACGTCATGGCTACCTTTGTCACAGCACCACCAGAATGGATTTTGGTCAGTTGCTGCTTCTTAACCTCACTGGTTCTTGCCACGAAATTTAGGACTAGAGTATCTGATTGGTGAAGGCTAGATCATGTGACAGCACTCTTACTGTAAGGGTGGTTAGGAAAGTGAATATATGGAAATTTCAGATTCTTTGCTGAATAGAGGTCTTTGTCTCATAAGGTGGGGAGGAGATTCCTCAAACCCAAGGGGAAGTTCAGTCACTGAGCAGCTAAAAGGAATGACAAATGTCTACACACTGGTGTTTGATTCCCTTTCACAAGTGCCTGGGCAAACCTTAGGGAGTAGAGGTCCCAAAAGTCAAACTAGATCTGGTAAAGTAGGTACCCAGAGTGACCAGGGGCAGATGTAACCTGATGAGCAAATGTAGGTAGAAGCCTAAGGTCAAAACTTAAGGATCATGACCAGTTATTGGGCCTAAGGGAGTAATGCAAATATTACAGGAGTGGAAGCTACATATCCCTGGATACTAGGAAATTTAGGAAGAATATAGAGCTTGCCTTCACGTGTAGAAGTGTTGTCATATGGAAGAGTGATCATATGTATTTTTGGAAACTGCACTGGGCAAAGCCACATTTATCATGTATCCAGCAAATATGTAGTAAGTAACTGATATATACTAGTTCCTGCTCTAGGCAGTAGAAATACAACAGTGAACAAGGCACATAAATTCCTACTGATATAAAACTGGCATGAGTTGGGGGAGTAAATTATAAAAAGAATCACACATTCATATGTATAATATAATGTTAGCGTTAGATGATATGAAATAAAATAGAGCAGGGTAAAATATACAGTCGAGCATGGAGCAGGATAGATAATGCAGCTGGAGAAGGCCTCTCTGAGATGGTAGCATTTGAGCAGAGACTTGAATGAAAAGAAGGAGCAAGCCCTGCAAGCATTTGGGAGAAGAAATTCCAGACAAATAAAAACCAGCACAAACGCCCTGAGATGGGAATGCACATAGTATGTTGGAAAACACTGAGAAGCCAGTGTGGCCAGAGAGCAGTGAGTAGTAGGAAATGAGATCAGAGAAACAGTCATGAAACCAGGTATTTCAGGCCTATAATTATAGGCTGAGGTAAAGCATTTTGATTTATTGTAAATGTTATAGAAAACTATCAGAGGACCTTGAGCCAGAGAATGACATGATTTGGCTTACATTTTATAAGGACTAGTTAAGGGGCTTCTATGGAGAATTGATTGTAGGAAGGACAAGGTAGAACCAGAGAGATAAGTTAGGAGGCTACTGTCATGGTCTAGTTCAGAGGCAACGGTGGTAACAGTGGGTGAGAGTTTCAGAGAGACACGGTGTAACTTTGTATAAGGAAAACCTCCAGTTATTACAACTGTCCAAATATAGAATGGTCTGGGTGCTAGAGATGAGATTTCTATATTGGGAGGGGTTTGGTCTAGGACAGGAATCAGCAATCTATGATCCAAAGCTGGCCCACCATCTGTTTTTATAAATAAAGTTTTATTGAAATACAATTATACTCATTATTGTCTATGGCTACGTTTGCACTACAAAGCAGAGCTGAATAGTTGCAACAAAGAACATATGGCCTGCAAAGCCTAAAATATCTGTTTTCTGTCTCTTTACAAGAAGAGTTTGTTGATCCTTGATCTGGAAGACTCCTCTGGTTCTTCCTCCCTTCCAGAGTTCCTAGAATTCCATATGTAATTGTTCACTTGACATTTTTATGTTATCTTTGTTCCATGTGGGTAGTAAAGACTTCACAGATGGGAAGCTTGCTTTCTACTTCTTAAGTAGGTCTTTCTATTGCCTAATTGTGAACATTTGGCAGTTTCTTTAAACTACACTCTTAATTGGGAGGTCAAGTATAGAGGTCATTATCACTTTGTAAAGAAAAAAAATTGTTCCAAGTTTCTGAGTACATTACTATCTAATATTTTCCTATAGATAAAGAGTGTATGCCATTGGCAATACCTATGAGTTAGCTTAGCAGTTGCTTAACAAAGTCATCTTGATAATTTTAAGAATGATATATGGGGTTAAGAATCAAATGTTTGAAGCTCAAGGGAAGATCTTTTTCCTGGCAATACACGTGGACCAAGGGTAATAGAAACAAGTACAGTAACTTAGCAGCCAAAAGAGGTTGATCCAGCTCTCTGGCTTCTTCTGAAGAGGCAAACAGGTCATATGTTTGGAGAAGTGAAGGAATTGCATACCTAAATAGACTATTACATTTCTTTTAATGAATGACAGGAATGTTTGTACAAGATACAAACCAATCTTAGTTATCCAACAAAAGGCAGCAAGAGCTTCAAGTCTACCATGCAAATCCCTGGAATTTGATTTGCAAGTAATTCTTATTCTCTCACACGAGGGCATTGGAAGAACAACAGTGCTGAGCAAGAGCAGAAATTCTTCATAAGAATTCTAAGAAAGAGAGAAAAGGGGAGTTTCTTACGTAACAATAGGTGTGAGAACAGAGAAAAGGGGGGCAAGAGGGTCACTATAGGCACCACTGATACTTATGGTGAGCTAATGCCATGCTGCTAGCTTTCCAGAAAGCAGAGACTCCCTTTCCCTTTGCCTCTACTAACAACAATATCAGATGAACTTCTATTTTGAAAAATGCTATCATTAGGCATTAGGACCAATTATGAGGAATGGATTTTTAAAAATTGAAATTCATTTTCATCTCTGAATCTACACACAGACACACAGACATACACACACACAAACACACACAAGCAGCTTAGACAATTATTCAGACAATTCAGACAAAAATCTCAAAATCTGTTACTTGTTCTTTATCTCCTCTAATTATCAATACTGATCATATCAACTAGACAGGCCATTGCTCTCCTCTCTTCTCTCTATTTTGTGTTCTTTGTGTAGAAGCATAATATTAATAAATAGATTGAAATCCTAACGCAGTATTCACTGCTGGTTTCAGGGGTTGCCTGGGGTCATCATTTGGGCAATACTCCAAAATTATTAGTTCCCTCTGGATTTTTAGTGATATAGCAACCTAATCAATTTTAAATAGTTTTATAGAATATTAATATCAGTGTTGCATAAGAACCTTTACTTCTGAAGCTTAGCTTTTAAAAATTCTTCCTAGAGCACCCTTCTTCAAACATATGTAGGCTAAAAGCTATTTGATATGTGACTGATCATTTATGTATACACACCCATGTTTACCCAGTGCTTCTGAATCACTTATGACTAATTAATCTAGTTAACCATTACAGGCTGCATAGCAAGTGATACTACAAATACCACCTTGTATTTTTTTACATAACAGAGGCAGAGCACTGGCAAAGGAGTTGTAAAAAACACTTCACCAAGCAACCTGGGACAGGCTGCTGGACATCTCTGAGCTTCTGTTTTTTTCTATCTACAAAATGGAAATATGTATGTATTTCCATTTTATCTAACTATATGTTTGTACCATTAACCTTTCCCACTCCCTGCCTACATTATTCTTTCCAGCCTCTGGTAACCATCATTCTACTCTCCATCTCCAGGAGTTCAATAGTTTTAATTTCTAGCTCCCACAAATAAGTGAGAACATGCAAAGTTTGTCTTTCTGTGCCTGGTTTATTTCACTTAACATAATGATCTCCAGTTCCATCCATATTGTTGAAAATGACAGGATAAATATGTATGTATTTCCATTTTATAGATACATATATATGTATTTCAATTTTATAAATATATAAATACATATGTAATATATATATATATCCTACTAGATGAAATTATTTTAAGATCATGATTCTGAATGGACTAATTACAAATGGATAGCACAGACAGGATTATTATTATACTATTATAGAATACCTTGCTTTATATTAGACCCTAGACTTCCTTGGAACAATTCTATGTCTGGCAAAAAGCATGGTCATTATTCAGTAATGGTCTTAGTAAGAAAATATTGAGTCAATAATTATGAATACCAAGATTCAATTTTTAAAAAAATTTTTTATTTTTAACTTTTCTGCTTATATAGTAGGTATATATATTTATGGGGTACATGAGATATTTTGTTACAGGCATACAATGCATAATAATCACATCAGGGTAAATGGAATATCCATCATCTCAAGCATTTATCCCTTTTTTGTAACAATCCATTTATACTCTTTTAGTTATTCAAAAATATACAATAAATTATTGTTGAGTGTAGTTATTCTATTGTGCTATCAAATACTAGATCTTATTCATTCTATCTAACTACATTTTTGTAACCACTATCCTTCCCCCTTCCCTCACCCGACTACCCTTCCCAGCTTCTGGTAACCACCATTCTACCCTCTATCTCCATGAGTCCAGTGGTTTTTATTTTTTGCTCCCACAAATTGGTGAGAACTTGCAAAGCTTGTATTTCTGTGCCTGGCTTATTTCACTTAACATAAGACTTCCAGTTCCATCCATGTTGTTGCAAATGACAGGAAGTCATCCTTTTTTTATCACTGAATAGTACTCCATTTTGTATAAGTACCATTTTTTTTATTATACTTTAAGTTCTAGGGTACATGTGCACAACGTGCAGGTTTGTTACATAGGTATACATGTGCCATGTTGGTTTGCTGCACCCATCAACTCATCATTTACATTAGGTATTTCTCCTAACGCTATCCCTCCCCCAGCCCCCCAGCCCCCAATAGGCCCTGGTGTGTGATGTTCCCCTCCCTGTGTCCATGTGTTCTCATTGTTCAACTCCCACTTATGAGTGAGAACATGCGGTGTTTGGCTTGCTGTCCTTGTGATATTTTGTTGACAATGATGGTTTTCAGCTTCATCCATGTCCCTGCAAAGGACATGAACTCATCCTTTTTTATGGTTGCATAGTATTCCATGGTGTATATGTGCCACAATTTCTTTATCCAGTCTATTATTGATGGACATTTGGGACATTTGGGTTGGTTCCAAGTCTTTGCTATTGTGAATACTGCCGCAATAAATATATGTGTGCATGTCTCTTTATAGTAGTATGATTTATAATCCTTTGGGTATATACCCAGTAATGGGATGGCTGGGTCAAATGGTATTTCTAGTTCTAGATCCTTGAGGGACCACCACACTGTCTTCCACAATGGTTGAACTAATTTACACTCCCACCAACAGTGTAAAAGAATTCCTATTTCTCCACATCCTCTCCAGCATCTGTTGTTTCCTGACTTTTGAATGATTGCCATTCTAACTGGCATGAGATGGTATCTCATTGTGGTTTTGATTTGCATTTCTCTGATGACCAGTGCTGATGAGCATTTTTGCATATGTCTGTTGACTGCGTAAATGTCTTCTTTTGTGAAGTGTCTGTTCATATCCTTTGCCCACTTTTTGATGGTTTTTTTTCTTGTAAATTTGTTTAAGTTCTTTGTAGATTCTGGATATTAGCCTTTTGTCAGATGGGTAGATTGCAAAAATTTTCTGCCATTCTGTAGGTTGCCTGTTCACTCTGATGATAGTTTCTTTTGCTGTGCAGAAGTGCTTTAGTTTAATTAGATCCCATTTGTCAATTTTGGCTTTTGTTGCCATTGCTTTTGGTGTTATAGTCATGAAGTCCTTGCCCATGCCTATGTCCTGAATCATATTGCCTAGGTTTTCTTCTAGGGTTTTTATGGTTTTAGGTCTAACATTTAAGTCTTTAATCCATCTTGGTTAATTTTTGTACATGGTGTAAGGAAGGGATCCAGTTTCAGCTTTCTATATATGGCTAGCCAGTTTTCCTAGCACCATTTATTAAATAGGGAATCCTTTCCCCATTGCTTGTTTTTGTCAGGTTTGTCAAAGAGCAGATGATTGTAGATGTGTGGTGTTATTTCTGAGGTCTCTGTTCTGTTGCATTGGTCTATATATCTGTTTTGGTACAAGTACCATGCTGTTTTGGTCACTGTAGCCTTGTAGTATAGTTTGAAGTCAGGTAGCGTGATGCCTCCCACTTTGTTCTTTTGGCTTAGGATTGTCTTGGCTATGTGGGCTCCTTTTGGGTTCCATATGAAATTTAAAGTAGTTTTTCCCAATTCTGTGAAGAAAGTCAGTGGAAGTACCACATTTTCTTGAGATACTCGTCTGCTGATGGACACTTGGGTTGCTTCCCAATATTGGGTATTGTGAATAGTGCTGCAATAAACATGGCACTGCAGATATCTCTTTATATACTAATTTGCTTTCTTTGGGGTATATACCTAGCAATGGGATTGTTGGATCATATGGTAACTCTATTTTTAGTTTCTTGAGGAATCTGCAAACTGTTTTACATAGTGGTTGTACTAATTTACATTCCCAACAATGGTGTATGTTCTCTTTGTATGTATGGTTCTCTTTTCTCCACATTATCTCCAGTATTTGTTATTGCCTGTCTTTTGGATAAAAGCCATTTTAATGGCTAAGAGTATATCTCATTGTAGTTTTGATTTGCATTCCTCTGATGCTTAATGATTTTTAGCACATTTTCATATACCTGTTTGCCATTTGTATGGATTCTTTTGAGAAATGTCTATTCAAATCTTTTGCCCATTTTTAAATTGGATTTTTATCCAAAAATTAGCTGGGCATGGTGGCACGTGCCTGTAGTCCCAGCTACTGGGGCAGCTGAGGCGGAAGAATCGCTTGAACCCAGGAGGCAGAGGTTGCAGTGAGCCAAGATTGCACCACTGCACTCTAGCCTGGCGACAGAGCGAGACTCCATCTCAACAAAAGAAAAGAAAAAAAAAGCTTCTTGACATTGGTATTCCATTGTGTGGATATACCACAACCTATCTATTCATTCAGTGATTCATGGACATTTGAGTAGTTTCTAGTTGGGTGATATTATGAACTAAGGTGTCTATAAATATTTGTATACATATTTCAATGAAGATTTGGGATATTTCTGCTTACTATATATTTAGGAGTAGCATTTGTGGGTCATAGGACAATTTCAGTTAATTTTTAATTCTAGAATTTATATTTGAATCTTGTTTATGCATTCCAGTTTTTTGTGAAATTCTCTTTTCTTCAACATATTATTTACACAATGTTAAAGTGCTACTAATTGGCTCATTTGTGAAGCTGCCTTTTAAAATTTTTTAATTTTTATTTTTTGTTGGTACATAGTAGGTGTTTATATGTATCGGGTACATGAGATATTTTGATATAGGCATACGATGCATAATAATCACATCAGGGTAATGAGGTATCCATCAACTCAAGCATATGCCCTGTCTTTGTGTTACAAATAATCAAATTATAATCTTTTCATTATTTTTAAATGTACAATAAATTATTATTGACTGTAAAAAAAATAAAATAAATTGGATTTTTAGATTTTTTTTCCTTGTAGAGCTGTTTTAGCTCCTTATATATTCTGGTTATTATTAATCCCTTGTGAGATTGATCATTTGCAAAGATTTTCTCCGATTCTGTGGGTTGTCTTTGCACTTCGTTTATGTTTCCTTTGCTGTACAGAAGCTTTTTAACTTGACGTAATCCTGTTTGTCTATTTTTGCTTTCGTTGCCTATGCTTGTGGGGTATTGCTCAATAAATTTTTGCCCAGGCCAATGTCCTGGAGATTTTCTCCAATGTTTTCTTGTAGTAGTTTCATAGTTTGAGGTATTAGATTTAATTCTTTAATTAATTTTGATTTGGCTTTTGTATATGGTGAGAGATAGAGGTCTAGTTTCATCCTTCTGTGTAATGGATATCCAGTTTTCCCAGCACCATTTATTGAAGAGACTGTCCCTTTCCCCAAGGTATGTTCTTGGCACTTTTGTTGAAAATGAGTTCACTGTAGATGTATGGATTTGTTTCCGGGTTCTCAATTCTGTTCTATTGGTCTATGTGTCTGTTTCTATGCCACTACCGTGTTATTTTGGTTAGTATAGCTCTGTAGTATAATTTGAAGTCAGGTAATGTAATTCTTTCAGTTTTTATTTTTGCTCTGGCTATTCTGGGTCTTTTGTGGCTTCATATAAATTTCAGGATTTTTTTTCTATTTCTGTAAAGAATGTTATTAGTATTTTGATAGATTGTATTGAATCTGTAATTGCTTTGGGTAGCATGGACATTTTAACAATATTAATTCTTCCAATTCATGAAGATGAAATATCTGTCCATTTTTTGTGTCCTCCTCAATTTCTTGCATCAATGCTTTATATTTTTTATTGTAGAGATCTTTCACTTCTTTGGTTAACTCCTAGGTATTTAATTTCATTTATAGCTATTATAAATGAGATTACTTTCTTGATTTCTTTTCAGATTGTTTGCTGTTAGCATATAGAAATGCTACTGATTTTTGTATGTTGATTTAGTATTCTGCAACTTTACCAAATTTGTTTATCAGTTATAAGAGTTTTTTAGTGGCCCATATGCTGAGGAGAATAATGTGTATTCTGTAGCCATTGGACAAAATGTCTGTAAATATAAAATCCATTTGGTCTATGATGCAGTCCAGTGTTTCTTTGTTGATTTTCTGTCTGGATGATCTTTCCAATGCTCAAAATGAGGTTGAGGTCTTCAGCTCTAATTGTGTTGGGGTCTATCCCTCTCTTTAGCTCTAGTAATATTTTCTTTATATTTCTGGGTGCCTCAGTGTTGGGTACATATATACTTATAATTGTTATATCCTCTTGGTGAATTGATCACTTTATCATTATGTAATGATCATCTTTGTGTCTTTTTATAGTTTTTGTCTTGAAATCTATTTTGGCTGATATAAATATAACTACTTCTGCTGTTTTTTTGGTTTCCTTTGAATACAGTCTTTTTCCATCCCTTTGTTTTCAGTCTATTTAGGTCTTTACAGATGACGTGTGTTTCTTGTAGGCAACAGGTCATTGAGTCTTGTTTTTTAAATCCATTCAGATTTAAATCCACTTGTTTTTAAAATCCACTCTATGTCTTTTGATTGGAGAGTTTAGTCCATTTACTTTTAATTTTATTATTGATAATTAAAGACTTTGTCCCGCGATTTTGTTTTCTGTTTTCTGTCTGTTTTGTGATCTTCTCTTCCTTCTTTCCTTCCTTCCTGTCTTCCTTTTAGTGAAGGTAATTTTCTCTGGTGGTATGCTTTAGTTTCTTGCTGCTTATTTTTTGTATAACCATTGTATGTTTTTCATTGTATATCTTCCTTTTAGTGAAAGTGATTTTCTCTGGTGGTATACTTTAGCTTTTTGCTTCATGGTTTTTTTGTACCCTTTGTATGTTTTTTGATTCGAGTTACCATGAGGGTTGTAAATAACATCTTATAACCCATTATTTTAAACTGATGACAACTTAACTCTGATAGCATAAACAAACTGAGAAACAAGCAAAAAGAAAACTAATAAAAACTCTACATTTTAACTTTCTTTTTTTTTTTTTTTTTGAGATAGAGTTTTGCTGTTGTTGCCTAGGCTGGAGTGCAATGGTGCAATTTTGGCTCACTGCAACCTCCACCTCCTGGGTTCAAGAGGTTCTCCTGTCTCAGCCTCCGAAGTAGCTGGGATTACATGCATGCACCACCATGCCCAGTTAATTTTGTATTTTTAGTAGAGACAGGGTTTCACTATGTTGGTCAGGCCGGTCTCAAACTCCTGACCTCAGGTGATTCACCCACTTTGACCTCCCAAAGTGCTGGGATTATAGGTGAGAGCCACCATGCCTGGCCCTACACTTTAACTTTGTCTGCCCACGGTTTTACTTTTTCTTGTTTTTACTTATATCTTTTTGAACTGTCTGGTTTTGTTTTTGCTTTTTTTTTTTTCCTTAAGATGGAGTCTTGCTCTGTTGCCCAGTCTAGAGTGTGGTGGCAGCACGATCTGGACTCACTGCAACCTCCGCCTCACAGGTTCAAGCAATTCTCCTGCCTCAGCCTCCTGAGTAGCTGAGATTACAGGCACGTGCCATCATGCCCGGCTAATTTTTATATTTTTAGTAGAGACAGGGTTTCACCATGTTGGCCAGGCTGGTCTTGAACTCCAGACCTCATGATCTGCCTGTCTTGGCCTCCCAAAGTGGTGCTAGGATTACAGGCATGAGCCACCGTGCCTGGCCATCTTATTGTACTGTCTAAGTCTTGAAAAGTTGTTTTTTATTATCTTTCTGTCTTTCTACTTAAGATATGAGTAGTTTACACACCACAATTACGGTGTTATAATAGTCTGTGTTTTTCTGTGTACTTACTATTACCAGTGAGTTTTATGCCTTCGATGATTTCTTATTGCTCACTAAAGTTGTGTTCTTTCTGATTGAAGAACTCCCTTTAGCATTTCTTGTGGGACAGTTCTGGTATTAATGAAATTCCTCAGCTTTTGTTTGTGTGGGAAAGCCTGTATTTGTCCTTTATATTTGAAGGATATTTTTGCCAGGTATACTATTCTGGGGTTAAATTTTTTTCCCTTTAGCACTTTAAATATGTCATGCCACTCTCCCCTGGCCTGTAAGGCTTCTACTGAAAAGTGTGCTGCCAGATGTATTGGAGCTGCATTGTATATTATTTGTTTCTTTTCTCTTGTTTCTTTTAGAATCCTTTCTTTATGCTTGACCTTTGGGAATTTGATTATTAAATGCCTTGAGGTGGCCTTCTTTGAGTTTAATCTGCTTGGTTTTCTATAACCTTCCTGTACTTGAATATTAATATTTCTAGGTTTGGGATAACCTCTCTGTTATCCTTTCCGTAAGCTTTCTACCCCTATCTCTCTCTCTCTACCTCTTCTTTAAGGTCAATACCTCTTAGATTTGCCTTTTTGAGGCTGTTTTCTAGATCTTGTAGACATGCTTCATTCTTTTTCATTCTTTTTTCTTTTGTCTCCTCTGACAGTGTATTTTCAAATAGCCTGTCTTCAAGCTCACTAATTCTTTCTTCTGCTTGATCAGTTCTGCTCTTTAACAGGCTCTGATGCATTTTTCAGTATGTTGATTACATTTTTCAACTCCAGAATTTCCTCTTGATTCTTTTTGTTTCCATTTCTTTGTTAAACTTATCTGATAGGATTCTGAATTCCTTTTCTGTGTTATCTTGAATTTCTTTGAGTTTTGTCAAAACAACTATTTGGCATTCTCTGTCTGAAAGGTCACATATCTCTGTCTCTCTGGGATTGGTCTCTGTGGCCTTATTTAGTTTGTTTGGTGAGGTCCTGTTTTCTTGGATGGTTTTGATGCTTATGGATGCTTGTCAATGTCCAGGCTTTGAAGAATTAGGTAGTTATTGCAGTCTTTGCAATCTGGGCTTGTTTGTACCCGTCTTTCTTGGAAAGGCTTTCCAGGTATTTGAACGGACTTCGGTTTGGTGATCTAAGTTTTTGATCACTATAGCCATATCTGCATTAGAAGTTACCCCAAGCCCAGTAACGCTGTGGTTCTTGCAGACTCACAGAGGTCCTGCCTTGGTGGTCTTGGATAAGATCTTGAAGAATTCTCTGAATTACAGGGCAGAGACTCCTCCCTTACTTTCTCCCAAACAAATGGAGTATCTCTCTGTGCTGAGCTGCCTGAAGCTGTGGGAGGGGTGACACAAGCACTCCTGTGGCCACAACCACTGAGACTGTGTTAGGCCACACCTGAAGCTAGCACAGCACTAGGTCTCACCAAAAGACCACCGTAACTACTGCCTGACTACTACCCACATTCACTCAAGGCCCTAGGACTCTACAGTCAGCAGGTAGTGAAATCAGCCAGGCTTGTGTCCTTCCCTTCAGGGTGGTGAGTTTCTCACTCTCCAGACTGGTGCAGAGACGCTGTATGGAGGCCAGGGCTTAGAGTTGGAAACCTTAGGGATCTACCTAGTGCTCTATTGTTCTGTGGCTGAGCTGGCACCCAAGCCATAAGGCAAGCCCTTCCGTCTCTCTTTCTTTCTTTTTTTTTTTTTTTTTTTTGAGACACAGTCTCACTCTGTCGCCCAGGCTGGAGTGCAGTGGCACAATCTTGGCTCACTGCAACCTCCGCCTCCTGGCCTCAAGCAATTCTTCTGCCTCAGCCTCCCAAGTAGGTGGGATTACAGGCTCCCACCACCACGCCCAGCTAATTTTTGTATTTTTAGTAGAGACAGAGTTTTATCATGTTGGCCAGACTGGTCTCGAACTCCTGACCTTAGGTAATCCCCTCGCCTCGGCCTCCCAAAGTGCTGGGATTACAGGCATTCCTCCCCCTCTTATTTCCCATTTCCACAAGCAGAGGAGTCTCCCCCCATGGCTACTGCTGCCCCAGGCCTGTGGCAAATGCTGCCTAGCTACCACTGATGCTCACTCAAGGCCCAAGGGCTCTTCAGGCAGCTTTTGGTAAATGCCACCAGGCCTAGGACTCTCACTTCAGGGCAATGGGCTCCCTTCTGGCCCAGGGAAAGTCCACAACTTCCATCCTAGAGCCAAGGCCTGGAATTGGGGGCCATAAGAGCCTGCTTGGTGCCCTTCCCCACTGTGACCAAGCTGGTACCTAAGCTCAAGTCAAAGACTCCTCTACTCTTCCCTCTGCCTTTTTTTCAAGCAGAAGGAGTCCTTCCATGTAGTCCTTAGATCTGCAAATGTGCTGGGTCACACCTGAAGCTAGCACGTCTCTGAGTCTCACCCAAGGCTCATGACAAATGCTGCCTTACTACCCCCTGCTGATTATTCAGGGCCCAAGGGTTCTTTGGTCAGCAGTTAATAAATTCTGCCAGGACTGGGTCCTTCCCTTCAAGGCAGCAGGTCTCCTCCTGGCCCAGGGTGTGTCTAGAAATATCTGGGTGCCAAGGCTTGAAATGAGCACCGTAACGACTCTGCCTGGTGTCCTATCCTATTGAGGCTGAGCTGGTATCCATGTTGCAAGACAAAGTCTTCTTTATTCTTCCTTCTCCTCCCCTCAGGTAGAAAGAAGGAGTCTCTTTCAGAGTTGTGAGCTGAGCTGCCTGGGGTTGGGGTAGGCGTCGCACAACCATTCTCTTGGCCACCCCAGGTTGTGTCTCACTAGGTCACGTGCACCCCAAGTCCACACGGCACCAGGACTTGCCCAGGAATTGCAGTCCTTGTGGCCTAGAGTGACTTTCGAGTTTATTTAGAACTCCATAACACTTTAGCCCATGGTATGAAGGGTGGCTGGAATTCAAGTTCCAACTTCTCAGATGGACAATTCCCCTGAGGTTAGGGCTGGTTGAAATGTTCCCTCCATGGGTGCCAGCTGAGACCCACCTGGTGTTTTGTTTGTTTGTTTCTGTGACAGGGCAGCACTGAATTCCAATACAAAGTCCCACAATCCCTGTGCTCTCCCTCCCCCAAGTACCCAGATTTTCTCCCTGTGCCATGAGGCTGCTGCCAGGGGATGAGGCGGGGTGGCACTGGCATTTCAAAACTGTCTTTCCTACTCTCTTTAGTGCCTCTTTCAGTGATACGAATTTAAAACCAGGTACTGTGATGCTCACCTGATTTTTGGTTCTTATGAAGGTGCTTTTGTGTGTTGATAATTGTTCAACTCGGTGTTCCTGCAGGGAGGATGATCAGTGGAGGCTTCTATTTGGTCATCTTGCTCTGACTCCTGATCCCTAGATTCTGTTATTATTATAGTAGACCCTACCGTAGGTCGCGGCTATTTTCTTACAGCAGTTTGCATTTTCCAAGCTCCTCTAATTATGCCCCTTTAAAAACTTGGGATTCTGTTGGTCGCATTTTCTAGACACCAAACAAGGATATACAGTTTGACCTGGGATTTTTGTCTCATAATCAACAATAAGAGATATTTTGTGTGATGTATTGTGGACACCACATTACTAACATTTCTGTGACATTCTTACTATAGGAAAAAAAAATCAAAATATTTGAAATGTAGAAAGTCCGAGATAAACAAGGGTTTATGGATATGATAGTTATAATAGCCCACAAATGCCCAATTTTGAGAAGTAGAGTCCAACTTCAAATGCAGAAAATAATATCTAACTTGATTCTTAGTGAAAACACAACTTTTAATGGGCAAATGTGCTGTTTACTAAATTAAAATGAGAAAAAGAAGGCTGAAAAGGAAACACCCCTTTATCATCAAGGGAATCTCTTAGAATTTTCCTCAAAGTAACCCTTCTGAATCCGATGGTCCAAAGAAGGCATTACATCTCCTGACTTGTTGTAGTTTTAAAAAAGAGGCGTGGGGCCAGGTGCAGTGGCTCATCCCCCCAGCACTTTGGGAGGCCGAGATGGGCAGATCACCGAGGTTAGGAGTTGGAGACTAGCCTGGCCAACATGGTGAAACCCCATCTCTACTAAAACACAAAAATTAGCTAGGCATGGTGGTGCGCACCTGTAGTCCCAGGTACTTGGGAGGCTGAGGCAGGAGAATTGCTTGAACCTGGGAGGTGGAGGTTGCAGTGAGCCCAGATGGTGCCACTGCACTCCCACCTGGACAACACAGTGAGACTGCATCTCAAGGAAAAAAAAAAAGACAAAGAGATGTGGGATGGAAGGGGATGGGGCAGGTATCATGAAAAAGTAAGAAGGCCGTACTGCAAACTACACATTAACATTATAGAACATTTTATGTAAGTGGTTACTGTTAATTTGTTATAAACTGTGCAAACTTTGGTTTTCAGTAACATTCAGATTTATCAGATTTACTCAAAAACAGGGAAGGGAAAGAGAGTTGAAAATTATATTTTAGCAAAAACATGGGAAAAAAGCTATAGTGTTTGTACACAAAAGTTAGCCTCCTAGTAACCAAGGCAAAGAGGAAAATATGATGAGTTATGTAACTTATTTTTATATAAGTTATATAAATAAGTTATATAAAATATAAAATATAAATATAAAATATAAAAACATATAAAAATAAGTTATATAACTTATTTTTTCAATAGAAGCAAACAGGCCAATTAGTCATGAGAACAACCCCTTTCTGACACTGGACTCTGTGAACAATTTGTCACAGGGGTTTTTTAATAGAGGAAAAGAAATTTTTTAATAAAGGACCTTGAGCAATTTAATGGCTGATATTTTCTAGTTAGGAGATTTTACATATATATGAGAGCAGAGCTGTTAAAGAAATGTGTTTCATGCAGGGTAGGAAAGACAGAATCACTCTCTCTCTCTCTCTCTCTGTCTCTCTCTCACACACACACACACACACACACACACACACACACCCCCAACACCTACATCCTTGTCAATGTACACATACCTTCAAAGGGTACGTGGCCCAGATGGGGTATGGCCATAAAGAAACCACAACAATTACATCATTACTCACTCACGGTTCTTCAGCAAGGTAAGAAGAGATATGTTCCCTTTGAAGTGGGCATAATCTTTCTTTCCATCCCAGACGCCTGTGTATGGGGAGTGGGATTTGTAACAGTTGACAAATTTTGCCACCTGTTCTGCCACTCTTTCTTCTATTGAGGCGTAAGGAAGAGTAATAGGTAGGGAGAAAGGTGTTCACATCATCTCTTCCACCCAGCAAGTTTTGTGGCTAGAGTCCTTCCTGGCTGGGGGGAAGAGCTGAATCTCTATGCTGTGATCCTAAAAGAGCAGGAAAGTAAGCTAAAGATGATATATGCTGGCAGGTATAGATGAAAATGGTAGTTTCATTGTGCTCTCCATGTTATAAAACAGGACACCTTCATAGAGAAAGATCAGAGGAATAGCATAGGGAAATGTGTTTTTCAGAATGCTACCTTCAATGCTTGACTGCTTGTTAAAGACCTATCAAAACAAACCCGAACAGGCTACTATGTGGTGCTTTGGTGGATTAACACTGGGCTGGCTCTTACATTCTGAGATTTCAAAGTTCCTTTGAAGTTAGTGTATTAGGAAATCACTTTGCAAGTCACACCACTGTAAGCTTTAGATGTTTCCTAATAACTCTGTGATGGAATAAGAGTTGACTAACTCTTCAGGATTTAACAAGGAAGATAAATTTTTTCTTGGCAAACATGAAAATAACATCCCTTAACCAGTGAAAAAAGAACACGGAAGTCATATGGCATTTGCCAAAGGTGATCTTTTCTTCTAAAAAGTCAATTTCCTTCAGAATTTTGTAACAGTTCTGTTCCCTTAATGTGGCCCTACATCTTAATATTACGGTAATTTCTTTAAAATATTAAAGTTTGACTTGTCATTAAAGTAACCATTATGATCCTCGATTTTGTTAATATTACTTTAGTGACCTTTCAGTTTGAGGAACATAAAGTCCTTCATAGGAGAATTAGTCTTCTACTTCCCCTTAGGATCACTTGGGTTGAATTGGTGATTAGGGTGTGAGAGCCTGGAAGGTGACAAGACAGTTCATCTCAAGTACCTCAGGGATCAGGTCCTGACTCCTGATACAAGTTAGAAGTTCCAGAAGTCCCCGCTTACCCCACAGTTGTGCGCTCAGTGGTTTTAGTTACAGGTGGTCAACCACATTCCAAAAATAGGTAAGTACAGAACAAGAAGGTAATTTGAGAGATAGAGATCGCATTCCCATAACTTTTATTGACATATATTCTTATACTCGTTCTTATTGTTGTGACTTTCTTACAGGGCCTAAGTTAGAAATTAAACTTTATTATATGTATGTATGTATAGGAAAAATGATAGTATATAGAAGGTTTTGGTACTATCTGAGGTTTCAGGCAACCACTGGGGGGCTTGGAAGGTATTCCCTGCAGATAAGGGAAGAATATTACTGTACTGGTTTTCCACATACTGAGTGCTTTTACAACATCAGTGCCTCTTAGAAAAGCTAAAAACAAATCACACAAAAATAAATAAAGAAAGAAAAACACATCACACTGATTAAAGAGTAATGTAACAGAAATGCTCTGCTATTTTAAGGTAGCTGCAACATTTGGATGTGAATCTAATGACTTTCCTGTTATCACATCTGTGTATATTTATAAACTTAGTGTAGAAACGTGTGTCACAACTGATCCCTTGAAAGTAGTCGAGGTTATGGTGTGGGGGATGAACATGAAATTTAACTACAAGATAAAGCTTCTTAAAAGGTCAGTGGGGTGGACAATAGCAATTGTTCCAGCTGAGCTACTTTTCACACTACATTTTTGATGCAATGACTAATTATTGTGATTATTTTCGCCAGCAAAGTTTTCTTGAGAGTTAAACATATTTATTTTCTCTTTTCATCCCTAAAAAGTTTTTCAAGCTTTGGAGGAAATCCATATGTTTTCTACCTATACTGAAGCAGTGTGCTCTCTTATGTTTCCACAAATGGTGAACCACCTTTTTCCCATTGCTCTTCTGTCTGTGACACATATTTCTCTCTTTGTATCTGCTCAAGAAAGCCAGCTGGGGCTTAATGAGAATAGTCAGCTCCCATGTTGATAATATTCTCACCTGACCTTTTGAGGGCCCCTGTTCAATAACTGTGCATATAGCCAGTGGCCAATAAGCTAGAATTTAATATAATGAGCTGACACATCATTTCAATAGAAGGAGATAGTAGGTGTAGAAATTGCAGGTTTAAAAAAAATTATCTGTAGTATCTGAAAAATTACTGTCTACAGTTTTTCAGTTTAATATCAAATGCGGCCCCTTTACTGAGCATTTATCTGAAGAAGTTGCAGAAGAGAGTTATTGGAGCTGCCACACCCACAGTAGTAGAAAGAATGAGAGATTAGCAGAATTCGATATATCATTTATAATATAATAATAACTCCTTAAATTCCTATAATTCTTCATACTTTTCAAAGAGCTTTCACACACCCACATTCTTGTTTGCTCTTCACAGGATCTAGGAGTGATCATACCAATTGAATTTGAGACCAAATGAGCATAGCTGGAAATCATGTTGCTCAAGATGTGACTTGTGAAGAACAGTCCAGCTTTCCAAATTTTGAATTGTTTGCACCACCATAAAACAAACACTAGCATAAGGTCTTCAGGAGCAAAATGAAGCAGAGATGTGGGGACAAATTAACCAGATTATCACATTCTGTCTGTTTCTTCCCCAAACTGATAATACAAAGGGAAAGAGTATCTTGGCCTGTGTGTTATTTGAATTCACACTGTTGTTAACTTTATCTGTGTTATGGAATTCATAATATAATTGTCAGTTATTTGCTCGGTTAACTGTGTGGTTAATTTGATTTTTCAGTCATTGAACAAAATCTTTGGTAGTTAAAATGCCTGATGAGTGAAAGATATTGGTACCACGCTTCCTTCCACATGAATGAATGATTTCTGAAAATGATCACGCACAGGAATCAAACTTCATTTCAATTTTTCTAGAGCCAGGTTAAGTAAATCTAACCAGTATACATTCATTTGGTCAACAACTTTAAAATTTAGAATCCCAGAATTTTATAACATTGAAACAGGGCAAGAAATCAGTAACAGAGGGATGTTGATATCTGTTTATTAAATACAAAAATATGAGACTAGCCAGAGAATTTATGAGTACAGATTTCAGAAAGTTTGGTTTAAAATGGCACTGGCGGCACTATTCACAATAGCAAAGACTTGGAACCAACCCAAATGTCCAACAATGATAGACTGGATTAAGAAAATGTGGCACATATACACCATGGAATACTATGCAGCCATAAAAAATGATGAGTCCATGTCCTTTGTAGGGACATGGATGAAGCTGGAATCCATCATTCTCAGCAAACTATCGCAAGGACAAAAAAACCAAACACCGCATGTTCTCACTCATAGGTGGGAATTGAACAATGAGAACACATGAACACAGGAAGGGGAACATCACACACCGGGGCCTATTGTGGGGTGGGGGGAGTGGGGAGGGATAGCATTAGGAGAAATACCTAATGTTAAATGACGAGTTACTGGGTGTAGCACACCAACATGGCACATGTATACATACGTAACAAACCTGCACGTTGTGCACATGTACCCTAAAACTTAAAGTATAATAAAAAATAAAATAAAATAAAATAAAATAGCACTAGTGCATGCTAATATCTCAGAAGACTATAAATGTCAGCATATTTCATACTGTCTTTACTCATGATGGCTCCCCTTTTACTCAAATTATGGCTATTTCTTACTAAAATTGTAGTTTTTTAGTATCTTCAGTATTATCTAGAGATGTAACAAAAACATACCATAGAAGTTTTTCTTTCAGGCATTTTGGAAACAAGCCAAAAATAGACTCTTCATCTTTGACTACATAGCACGTCTTAATAAAATAGCTATAATGGTAATTATTCATGTTCATTATATTTTTCTTAAAGATGCCTTAAAATATATATTTCACATTTCATTACTCTGTGTCATAATGCAGCATCATAAACTTAAATATCAAACCACTTCTTGTTACAGCACAAGTACTAAATATCTCTAAAAATGTGAAATCCTCTTTAAACGGTACTTTCTCAAAAACTATTTTTCTGCACCTCTCTAGGTATTGCATTTCATAACTCAATTCTTCTCATTTTAAGAGTAATTGGCTTTTCATAAAATCTTGAAGTTGGGAGGTATATTAGGATTGCATTCAGCTGCCAGCAGCAGAAAACTTGACAGGCAGCAGCTTAAGTAAGAGGTTTAATGGGCCCTGACTACTTCTGTTCATCCTCCTCAGCAAATGGCCTTTGTCTTCACAATCATAACATGGCCACTGCACTTCAGCTCTTCCATCTGCATTTCAGCAAGGAAAATAAGGTTATGGGTAAAGGGCAATGCAAGAGCAATTACTGTTAGGCCAGCTGAATCTGTCTCTTTACAAAATTGAGACATAATTCCCATACCATAAAATTCACCTCTTATGTTCACAAGGTGGTGCAATCATTACCACTGTCTAATTCCAGAACATTTCCATCATCCCCAAAATAAATCTGTACCCATTAGCAGCTGGCACTCATTCCCCCTTTCCCCCTCCCCAAACCCTGGCAACCACTAATCTACTTTCTGTCTCTACGGATTTGCCGATTCTGAACATTTCGTATGTATGGAATCACACAATATGTGGCCTGTTGTGTCTTTCCCTTTGCACGATGTTTTTAAGGTTCATCCATTGAATGGAAGTCTCAGTGCTGCATTCTTTTTTACGGCTGAATAACATTCCCTTATCTGTATATAACACATTGGTAAATGAATATTTGTGCTGTTTCCACTTTTTGGTTATTAAGAATAATGCTGCTATGAATCGTTGTGTATGAGTCTTTATGTAGACGTATGTTTTCACTTCTCTTGGGTATATAGCTATGAGTGTGCTCAGTCATATGGTAACTCTATGTTTTGGCTTTTTGAGGAACTGCCAACCGTTGTCGAAAGCAGCTGCACCATTTTACAATCCTGCCAGCAGTGTAAGACGATTCCAATGCGTCTGTCTCTTATAAAAGCTTTTCGCAAAAGCCTCCCTCACTCCGCCCCAGGACTCCTGCTAACATCTCATTGGCCAGAACAGGGTCACGTGGCCACTGCCACCTACAATTGAGTCTGGGAAAGTATTTTAGAATTTAAACCTCTGTTGTAGAAGAAGAAAAAGGAGGTTTGCATCTTTGTGTGCTGAAGAAGTGATTCTGGTCATCTTTTCTGATAGAAATCCCCTCTTCAAAACCCCTGCTAGGGGGCATCCTGCTTGTGCATGAACACTGCCAGTGATAAGACTCTTATCTCTGAAGGGAGGCCCCGTTCCACATTTGAACGGTTCTTATTGTTTGTGTGTTCTGTATACTGAGTAACATATCTAATATTTTCCCTTCAAAAATAATAAAGGGAAAATGGCTATGGAAATGAAATAGTCATTAATAATGTAAATGTGATGTTCCAGCTATTATTGCCTAGCTCACAGGAGGGCTCAGTAATTGTTTCTCTCCCTTCTGCCCCCCTCCCCTTCATCTTTCTCTTCTTTCCTCTGTAATGGGATGGCAAGGAGAATACGTTTTGTTGTTCTGTTAAATTATACATCTCTAGGACATCAGGGATTGTGTAGTCTAATTGACTTTGGTCCACACCTGCTGCAACTTAAACATACGCAAGCATTAATGAATTTTTTTCCTAAAGTAGAGGGAAGAAAGCTGTTGATAAAGGAAACCATTCACAGGCCTCACCATTGGATTATAAGCCTGCTGGGTGCTTAATGAGTTGCTGAATAATATAACACTTCTTTAGTTCTTTGGCTGCCTCATGATTAAATGCTATAAATATTTATGATTTATTACTGATGCTTTGGATAGGGTAGGCTTTGGAAGGCTCATGGATCGCAGTGATTCTAAAGGAAAATAAGAAAATACAACTATATAAAGCTGCTTATTTATAATGCTGCTCAAACGGGCAGAAGCTGGTGGAGGTAAATCTATTTAGAGGCGATGCCATTTAAATAGCTTCTTTTATCATTGATTATATAATTTTCATTAACATATACTTATAATAAACAGGAATTAAAATTATCACTTTCTACTAATGACACACTCACCTTTGAAGGTTTCAGTTAGGTTGCAAAATCAAAGAGCTCTGCATAATGTTTACTGCAACTGCTGTCATGCTATACGTGGTAACCAGGGACCTATAAAATATGGGGCTTTTTCTCCCCAAATCAGATACTTGTCTCAGGGAACCAAGGCTGGCAGTGTCTGCAGCATAAACCCCAGCTGCATCTAATACTCCACTTGCAAAACTTTCTGCTCCCTGTTTCTTTGGTTCTACTGGTTTAGAGGTTAAGTCCCCTGCAGAGTTAACACTTGCATGAGGGGCATGGAAGCACTGCAGGGTCAGCTGTAGTGCGGGTTATTGATTCAGATAACTAGGTTTGATTCCTAACTCCATCAAGCTGCATGACCCTTAGCAAGTTATTCAACCTCTCTGAGCTTCAGTTCCTTCATGGAGCTACTATGAGAATTGATTGAATTACACATGTGAAGTACTTGCCAATAGCAAGTGCTTAATTAAATATTAGATATTATCTCCATTAAAATGAATCATAAGCAAATATTTTGACCTGCAATATACCTTAGAATACAATGGACATTTATGAACAGTGTACTAGATAGCTTATTGCTCAGATATAAGAAAAATTTAGTGTATACAGAAAAACAGAAGCATTAATTTTTTCCCTGAAATTAATGCTGTCCCCTAAAGTATGTGTGGAGAACAAAATTATTGAGTCTGGCCTTTTCACATATCTCATTGCATCTTTATATCCACCTTTGAGATTATTATTATTGTCTTCATTTTCCTAATGAGGAAACTAAGGCTTTGAGAGATGAAATGATTTGCCCAAGAGACAAAACTACTAAGTGGCAGAGCCAAGAATTGAACCCAGGTCTTCTAACCAATCAATAGATACACAAAGTGATCTATATGCTTTATATGGCTGTTGTAAGAAATGGAAAGGCAGGTTTAGGGGTGAGGTAGAGGAGGAATAGAAAACAACCCACCTTCCTATAATTCTCCATGAAGGAATAGAATGGGTTCTCCTTGAAAAAGGTCAACCCATCTCTCCTGTCATGCAGATAGCCATTACAAGGTTGCAAAACAGATCTCCTATTTCTTGGGTTTCCAAGCTGGATGGCTTTTAAATATAAAGTTTCACTGATTTTTTTTAATCACAAAGGCAGGGCATTCAAATGAAATTATAGTTTCTTTTTAACTATAGGTGTAGCCTGGTCAGGGTCTAAGAAGCCTTTGCATTATAGACTGAAGTTTTTACCATTGCATTGACTGACAGCATTCAAGTGGAAGATAAAAATTTCACAATTTCTAACGTGGTAATGCCAATGAAGAAAGCAAAAGGCTGCTAAAAATTTGTGACTGACAGCTCAGCGTTCTCAGGGAGATAATGAAGTCTCTCCCGAATGCAGAGCCACCTTGTGTACCAAGACTGAGGTCATACATTCATGCCACTGAGGGAATTTCATCTGTTTCCTTATTTGAAAAAGGATTCTTAATAACTCATCACTTCTATATTTCCCTAGTTCTACTTCAGACAAAAAGAATTAGATAATCATGTCACATACCAAGAGGAGAACATTTATAATACCCATGAGAGTAAAACCTTTCAGGGCTGAATGGAAGGTTACTCAGTCTCCCTGAAACATAAAGTCCTGACAAGAGGAAACAAAAAAGCTAGCAAAACCAACCTGGATAGCTGTATCATGCTAAGGTCCCCGGGTGAAGACTATAATTGTTCCAGTGGATGAAATCTACATCATATAGTAGCAATGAATAGCATCTATTAAATACTTCATATCTGCCAGACATGCTACTAAATACTGTATCTGATTTACCCCTGCAAACAGTACCATGAGGCAGGAACTATTATCTTCATATTAGAAACAGAGAAACCAAGGTTTAGAAAAGATATGAAACTTAACCAGATACTAAATGGCATAGCAGGAACTCTGTTATCCAAGTCTATACTCGTTTCCATTTCGTACATTTCCTTTCTTAGGAATGTGACCCCACTTTTATCAATAATCAATGTATTAGTTAGCTATTGCTCCATAACAAATTGCCACAAACTTAGTGGCTTAAAAAATGCTAACTTATTATCTGTAGGACATGAATCTGGGCACAACTCAGCTGGATCATCTGCTTCTGAGTCTCTCAAAAGATTGCAGTCAAGGTGTCAGCCAGCATTGGGGTCTCCTCTGAAACTCGACTGGGGAAGGATTGGCTTCCACACTCACATGGTTGTTGACAGCGTTTCATTCCTTGCAGGTTGCTGAACTGAAGGCCTTAGTTCCTTGCTGTCTGTCACCTGGAGGACACCCTTGGTTCCTTGCGGTGTGGGCATCTCTACATGGTAGCTTATTTCATCAAAGCCATCAGGGGAGAGAGTCTGCTAGCAAGATGGACGTTACGATGTTATATAACATAATCATGACAGTGACATTCCACCACCTTTACAGTCTTCTTTCTATTGCTTAGAGGCAAGTCACCAGTCCTGCCCACACTTGAGAGGAAACAATTGTATAAAGATGTGGATAATAGGAGATGGGGGGGGGGTGGGCATCTTAGGGTCTATATGCCACAGGGAGTTATGTCAAATATTCCATGTTTTTCCTTTATATTTCTTCTAATTCCATAAACTTATCCTAAAGCTCCTTGTCCAGGAAGAGAGAAAGGTTCATAATTATTTTTCAAAATATTTTAAAATCCCACTGGGATGTTTATCTTATAGTAGTTTCTTAAAATATTATTTGTTATTTCTTAAGAGTTGAACCCTAATTCTTATTAGTTGCATAATCCCCTTGTTTCTGGAAATAAGCTCATTGCATATAGGACCCCAGGGAAGTGAATATTTAATGAAGTTAGCAGGGACATGAAATAAACAGATGGCATGAGTTCCATACCCTATGAATGAGCTCTAGCGGCCTTTCAACCAAGACTCTCCTGGGTCAAACAGAGGTTCCCTTTGGGGGAAATGCAAACTGTTTTCTGTGTCCTACAGAAACTCCTAGCACAAGGCTTCTGGCAGTGCAGGCTTACAGCAAACAGAACAGAACACTTACAATAAGAAATTGGTTTTAGAGGTTATCATTTTTATTGCTTTTTAGTGTCTCAAACCCCACTGCACCAGTGGAATGTAGCCTGCCTGAATTATAGCAGCTTAAAAAATCTTTTCATCACTATCACCACATACATATGTCTGTGTGTATATATATATATATGTATGCATGACACCCAAAATTTAGCACCGTGAATTCTCACTGCTGCAAAAATTGTGTTCTTTCTCAACCCTCTTGACGTACACTGCATCCAAAAAAGATTTTGGAAATCTTCCAGAGCCCGGTTACACTGGGGGGATGCAAACCCACCCATCTTCCATCTCCCTATAATTTCTTCAATAACTTCAGCATAGAGTGACATTGGTTTACCAAGGAAAAGCTAACAGATTTTTTTCTATAAATAACTGGTTGGCAGTGCTGTGGTGACAATTTATATAATAGAACTCATGCTTAAATAATAAGGTAACAGCTTTGGACTGAGAATTTTAAAATGTTTTATTGAAATGTAGACTGATTAACAGGCAAGATTCTTCTTCTAATTATTTTAATTATAGGCTCTTAATGACAAGAAGCCGTAGAAATAAAAACACATTAAAATTACATTTTTAATGAAGTGGCACCTGGAAACCTCAACTTCTCCAAAGCAAGTGAGGGTACTCTATTGTTACCTAGAAACAATGCACACATATGGAGGGGTTAAGATGTTTGTTTAAGGGACAGACTTACGACCTTGTTTCTCTCTGAATGCAGGTAGGATACAGGAGACATGAAGTATGGTAGAAAGAACACTAGGCTCAGAGTCAAGAGACCGATTTCTGGTCCTGGCTCTGTTACATTGCTTGACTGTGTATCCACTTCACCTTTCTTGGCCTCAGTTTTTCACAGGTAAAATGTAGAAGGTGAAGTTAATAAGCTCTAAACACCCCTTTTAACTTTATAATTCCATGATTTCATTCTTCTGTTATAAAGAACGATAAACTTTTGGGGGAAATAGATTGAGCACATCTGTCATTACATATTAATTCATATGCACATGTAGTAACGGCAACTTTTAGGACATAGATCGAGATTTTCATTGAATTTAGCAAAACTAAATTAGATGTTTATCCATGTACCCACCACTGTACCAGATATGTGAGGGCGGGTGAGGTTTTGAGGTGGAGAAAGGATAGTATGCATCTATCTACCCATTCAGTCATTCATTTCCTAAGCAAATATTTATTTGTTTATATCACAGGGAAGAGTTCACCAATTAGGTCACATTTGAAGAGAAATCTAAAAAAAAAGGGGAGAGAGCAAGGCATACAGATTATCCTGGGGAAGAGCATTTCAACAGAGAAAGAGGAAGTGCAAAGGCTCTGAGGTAGGAGTGCCTTGTTTTGTTCAAGGACTAGCAAGGAGGCCAGGATGGCTAATCAATGGGAGAGAGGAGCAAAGAGGTAGAGATGATGTCATGGAGGTAGGTAGAACCAGGGCACCTAAGGCATTTTAAAAAATGTCTCCTGCTCAGCACAAGTTGTATACTTTTATCTGTCTTCAAGTCCAGAACATTCTCGGCCATCATCTCTACAAATATATCTTATCTGCTACTGTCTCTATTCTTTTTAAAACAGAGAATTCCTGTAAGAACCATGCTGGAGTCATTCCATCTATTTTCTGTATTTTCTACCTGACATTTTATAGTTTTAATCTCTATCATTCTGTGCTGCATTCTGGGTGAGTTTCTCAATATTATTTTCCAATTCTTTAATTATCTGTCCAATATGTCTGTTCTAGAGCTTAACCTATTCATTATGGTTTTTATTTCAGTGATTGCATTTTTTACATTCCTAGGATTTTCAATTGGTTATGTTTTATATCTGCTTGCTCCTGTCTCATTTGACTATTTTGTTTCAGAATTCTTGTTTTTTAATAAGTGATGGACCTTCCTTTATCTCTTTGAGGATCTTAAACACACCTATTTTGAAGACATTTTCATATTAATCTATTATTTTGATTTCTGAGTAATCAATATATCTCCTACTTATTTATATCTGTTGTCTTAGTTTTCTCCATGTGTTTTGTAATTTTGGTTTGAAGGCTCATTGTGAATAGGAGGCTTTAGTGTTTTCTCTCTCTTTGTTCCCTCAGACTCTGACAATTTTGTGGTTGTTTTATTCTGGCCCCCCAGGTCCCAGCGTGTAGATCCCAGCTTTTTACCCCCAGCAGTTCAGAAGCTCCTGTCCTACTGAAATTTAAAAAGGTACAGGTTACTAACCCAGTGGGCTGCTTGGCCCATATTCTTGCTTCAAGATGAGATCCATTATTTCCTATCTTTCAAGATACTCAGCTTCATATACTCCATTGCTCCAGATAAGGACCCATTGCCACTTTTTTTTCATCCTCCTTTCATGGGTGAGAGAGTCTGCAAAAGTACTGGTTTCACTCAATGAAATTGGCTCTCTCTGACCTGCTTTGCATACCAGATATTACCATTTCACAGCCTGTGCCTCCTTTCATCCTTAGTAGCCTTGCTTATGGTACTGGGTTTTTGCTTTGTTTCTGGTCCAGAAAAAATTTTTTTTTAGCATGGCCACTTGTATTTAGATTTCTTTTAAAATATTTTTATCTACCATTGTTATGTGTTTGGAGCTGAGGGACAGGTTGTGGACCTAAATGTGTAAATCTGTATGCCATCTTGAACAGAAGTCTCTTTAAGCGGAATTTGAGACACAGGCTAGGTCTTAAAGAATTAATAGGTCCTGAGTAGGCTGGCTGAAACTATAATCCCAGAGCCGAAGTCAAGAATACGTAGGACGTGTGCAAGAATATGGGAGAAAACCAATCTGGCTAAGGAGAACCACGGCAGTTGAGACTAGGGGATTCCCAAGCCAGTGTTAAATGCCCCTCGCATGTGTTTCTGGAACAGTCTACACATCCCGTCTCATCACATCTATCCTCCCTTTGCAATTGCCTGAAAGCAGAACCCTGTATATCTTTAAAACAAATATGTTACAATTTTTGTTTTAACATTTGGTTAAGGTGTACAGCATGATGTTTTGGTACATAGTGAAACGGTTACTATAGTCAAGCAAATTAGCATATTCATCATCTCACATAGTTATTCCTACAATCTACTCTCTTAGTAAATATCCAGTATACAATACAATGTTATAATTATAGTACTCATGTTGCACATTAGATCTCTATATAAAAAGGACTTTTTATTGCTTTTAAAACTTTTGGTCTGGGCGGGGCATGGTGGCTCACGCCTATAATCCTAGCACTTTTGGAGGCCAAAGCAGGTGGATCACCTGAGGTCAGGAGTTCGAGACCAGCCTGGCCAACATGGTAAAACTAAAAATGCAAAAACTAGCTAGGTCTGGTGGTGCACACCTGTAATCCCAGCTACTGGGGAGGCTGAGGCAGGAGAATCACTTGAACCTGGAAGGCAGAGGTTGCAGCAAGCCGAGATCGCGCCACTGCACTCCAGCCTGGGCAACAGAGTGACAATCTGTCTCAAGAAAAGTAAGCAAAACTTTTGGTCTGCTCGAAAATCTTATTTTTAAAAATTGACTGATAAAATTATATGTATTTATTGTATATAACATGATGTTTTGTGGAATGACTAAATCTACCTAATGAACATATGTATTACCTCACATGGCTATCATTTGTGTGGTGAGTACACTGAACATTCACTCTCCTAGCATTTTTCAAAAATACAACACATTGTTATTAACTATAATCTCCATATTATACAATAGATCTCTTGAACTTATTCCTCCTAAATGAAATTTTTGTGTCCTTCGACCAATGTCTCTTCACCCCAACCCCTGCCCCTGAGAACCATGTATATCTTGTTTAGCACTGTATCCCCTATTCTTTGTACCGGGTCCAGACAGAGTAAGTCCTCAACAAATATACGTAGAATAAATGAACAAATATTGGGCACACAAATTAAGGTGTGAAAAAAATACAGTGATCACATGTGACTTCACTCCAACAAACACTAAGCGTTAGTCTTTTTTTCTTCAGCTGATCAAAAACCCGGTTCCTACTATCTTCTTTTCGCCCATGTTTCATAATCGGTCATCCATTCTCAAAACTACACTAAAAGTGCTCCACTTAAAAGCCTCAGCAAGTCCCCCACGCATAAAATACAGCTATCTATTTTCAATTCTTGCCTTATAAACTTCTCTGTAGTACACCTCTGACCTTGGCTTTGGTCATGCCACACTGTCCTGTCTTGGAGAACTCGTGATGGCTACTAGGTTGGACAGCTGAAAACACAGGTATCTGGTGATAAGCAAGCATTTGGCCAAGATCCTGAATAGGAAGTGACCTGACAAAAAGTGTGTTTTAGGAAATCCGATCTGAATGTGAGAGGCAGGGCAGAGGGGAAAGGGGCAAGATTGGAGGCAGCGAAAGTTCTACAAGACAATGACACCTTACTTGCCTTCATGTGTCTGTCTTACATCTTTCTTCTCTGGGAGGCATTTCCTGATCTACAGATCTTCTTCTCCTTTTTTTCCCCACCCCTCTGGGACAGGGTCTCACTCTGTCACCCAGGCTGGAGTGCAGTGGCGTGATCTCGGCTCACCACAACCTCCACCTCCTGGGTTCAAGTCATTCTCCTGCCTCAGCCTCCCAGGTAGCTGGGATTACAGGCGTATGCCACTACCGCCTAGCTGATTTTTGTATTTTTAATAGAGACAGGGTTTCACCACGTTGGCCAGGCTGCTCTCGAGCTCCTGACCTCAAATGGTCCACCCACCTCAGCCTCCCAAAGTGCTGGCATTACAGGCGTGAGCCACCGTGCCCGGCCCTGATCTATAGGTCTTCTTAGCACTCAGCTGTGCTGCCTAGGATATCAGCTCCTCTTCCTAGGACAAGAACCCACTGACTGACACTTTGTATAGTCTTTCCAGACTGGTGCTCTGGGACTAGTTTTTTTTTTTTTTGAGACGGAGTCTCGCTCTGTCCCCCAGGCTGGAGTGCAGTGGCGCGATCTCGGCTCACTGCAAGCTCCGCCTCCTGGGTTCACGCCATTCTCCTGCCTCAGCCTCCAGAGTAGCTGGGACTACAGGCGCCCGCCACTACGCCCGGCTAATTTTTTTGTATTTTTAGTAGAGACGGGGTTTCACCGTGTTAGCCGGGATGGTCTCGATCTCCTGGCCTCGTGATCCGTCCGCCTCGGCCTCCCAAAGTGCTGGGATTACAGGCGTGAGCCACCGCGCCCGGCCAGGGGACTAGTTTTTATCTCCGAGATCCAGCCTGCTGTCTAGGGTACTCGTGCATGTGAGTAAAACTTCCAAGAATGCCACCTCCCTACGTATCTCCCCTACACTGCTCTCCTCCTGCATTCCCTGTGACTCTAAAGTGAGGCCTAAGGCTCTGATGGGATCACCCAGCTTCCACCACACACTCCATGCTTTCCTCTGCCCCACCCTGATGAGATGAGGTGATTCTTTCCCTGGTGAGGGAGCGTCTGGCAGCTGTTGCCTGGTTCCTCCTCCCTGTTGGTTCTGTCCTGGTTGCTGAGGACCATAAGACCTTGCACTGTATGCCTGTTTGTGATTGGAACAAAACGAGGTGACTGGGGCTTGTTAGGCCCCAGTCCTAGTGAAAGTAGTAGGCAAGTTATCTAAACACGATCTCAGACAGAGGGTCCTCAAGATAGAAGCCCATTGGCAATCCTGGGGTACAAGGAGATGGTGAGTGTTGTGATTGTTACAGAAAGCTAGTTATCCAACTGGGGCCACAGACCAGGGCTAGATTTCTAGTTGGGTGACCTGATGGTTTGCTCCATAAGACTGCGTTGTAGCTCCAGAAATTCCTACTGTTTGAAGTCCAGACTGGTCATAAAAATGAGAGCAAGGTTTAGTTTATAGGTAGGTATCCAAATGGCCTAGCTATCTGGATAGAGACCAGCAGAAGAGGTAGGAACCAGGCACAGACTATAGAGTGCCTTGGGTATACCAGTGTGCACGCATGTGCGCGCGCGCGCGTGTGTGTGTGTGTGTGTGTGTGTGCGCGGAGAAAGAGAGAGAAATTTAGCTCATATATAGTGAGTAATTTTTATATATCAAATTGTGTTAAAGGTACAAACACTGTGACTCGGAATCTAAAGATCCCTTCTCTCTCTGTTGGTGCTTTCTTATTCTAAAATTGTTGTCCTGGAGTATTTATGTGTTTTTTCCAGCTACCTGAATTGCTCGAGAACTTTTTTCCTAAGGGATAGCTGGGGATATTATGGACTGCCTTTGACTGGCATTGGCTTAGGGACAGTCAATAAATAACTGGCATGAAGTTGTTTGTTTTTTTCAGCAGCCCATCTAGTTGGAAGCTCCAGCTAACTATACTCAAATTGTTTCTTATTAGTTCCATTTCTTCCTTCCTTTTGTGTCTTAGGTTGCCTTGTCTAACCCCTGGTTACTTAAGTGAACCCTTTCCTTCTCAGTTTCTCCCTGCCATCTCTTTTCTTATTGTTATTCCCAAGGGCAGTGAGGTATTTGCCCCAACAACCTATTGTAGGCACTGCTTGGAGTTCACCGTGGGAGTGAACAGCTTGTAACCCCTGGACTCAGTCTAAGAGACCAACATCAGGAGAATTGCTCAACCTGCTTTGCAGGAGACACCTGACAGTATTTTTTTGTTGTTTCTGTTGTTCCCAGATGCATTAATGGAGTTTAGGCATTTTATCTCATTGAGGTAATTGATTCATCACCTGGTTCACATCCCCCAGGTTGATGATATAAGTCATTTAAAAAGCCAGGTAGCTGGCTCTGCTACAAGAAATTGACAGTTATGTTACGTTCTTTTAGACTTATCTCATCGTGAACTCTGAGTCCAAAGTCACTTCCACTCTTCCTGGCTTTAGGTTTCACCTGCCTTACTTTATTTCCCTTTGTATCTGATTGAGTTGGTTGAATCATATGCTCATACAGAACATTTTCTCCTTGAAATTGGCCTGTATGGCCTGAAAGAGAGAGAAACTTTTTTTCCTTCTCTCCCTTTTCCCCTCCTCCCCCTCCGCCCTTTCCTCTCTCTACTCCTCATTGCCCAGTTAGCACAGTCTTCCAGAGACATGTTGTCTATTTTAGGAACTGCTATTCTTACAAACCAAAGTGGTTTGGTTGCTTTAGCAAGGGTAGAAGAGCTATAAAATGATTCATTGACTCCTCTTCAGCTGTTTCCTCCTACGAGTGTGCCAGGCACTGTGCTAGGTACTGGAATTATTTATAAACACCCAAGGGTAAGTTAAACCCCCTTTTATAACTTGTGTAAGTTAGGGTGAAATTTTCAAAGCCTCCTGTACTAACTTTCTCCAGTTGGTACTCTGCTACCATTCACTGTACCTGTAATTAATTAACGATGGCCACAACAGAGCCCTTTATCGGAAACCTGGTAACTGGGACAAGCAGTATGTGGAAAAATCCCACAACAGTACTGTGCAAGTGCAGCATGGAGCAAAGAATTCATGTGAATTTTTCACATCCACAGAGTGTCCTTTTTGAGTAACTAAATTATTCCCCCTGGTCTCTCTGAAGTTGTCGTTACTTTCCGGTTCACTCTATATAATCCGTGAGAAAAGTTTTCCTTCTGACTTGTCAGGGCCCCTTGAGTGCCCATCTTCATGTCAGTCTCAGCTTCAGCTCTTATCTTCTTTCTTCCTCTTTGCAGTCCGTAAACGGCCCCATCCGTCCCCAGCCCTGAGGTTTCTGTGCCTTTCACGGGATTTTTCTCATCTCTGATTACTCTGTGTGCTCCTTTATTCATCTCCTGTGTCGCAGCACACAAAACCCTCTAGAAGAGTCTGTGGAGTGTTTTCCTGCTTCTTCACATTGTGTGGGTTTGGGTTTCTTTATTTCACTTTGTTTTTGAAGTGCTTGGGAACATGGCTGGTTGAATTACTAAGGAAGCTGAATGGGCTTCATGGGAGCTCACCCTTTTCCTCTGAAGAAGCCCCAGCACTGGAGTGTGCCCTCTCCTGTCTGTTTCCTTGGGCCATCGTCTTCCCACAGAGGCCAAGTAGCCCTGTATCTCATCCCCACAGGCCACTCGTGCTTCCCAAAACATACCAGGGGACAATTTTAACTCGAGTTGAATGCCAACTCGTATTGATGCCAGGCCCTGCTCTAGGTGCTGGTGATACAAAGATAAATAAGACTCAGTCCTTAACCTCAAGGAGCTTCCAACCTTGTATGGAAAATATGCACACAGATGCAACAACTATAAATCTGTAATTGCTAAGGGTATGCCAGCTGCATGCACAGGGGGGTATGGGAGCACATAGAAAAACAGATGATTCTCCAGTAAAAAACATGGGAAATCGAAGTTAAAATTTAAAAAACAACGCTTTTAAGTTTGATGTATTGTAAGCTTTGGTGTGTAAGAGAAGGGAGGGGAAGAAGCAGCTTCCCAGAGAATGTGCCATTTGGGCTATATCTTGAAGATTGAATAATGGAGGATGCATTTACAACACTCCTAACAAATAGGAATTTTCCAGCCGAATGAGGCAGGAAAGGTTTTTATTGGCAGAGGAAAAACCAAATTGCAAAGGCACACAGGCATGATAGGGTGCTAATTGTGCAAGGAAGCTGCTGCTTCATTGTGACAGGGTCTGTTGGGGAGTGGAGGGTGATGTGGGTAGATAGGCTGGTGAGGGCAGGTGAGACAGGGCAGGCCCTGGGGAAAGCTGCCTATGGGATCCATCATGGGTTGGGTGTGAGGACAGGCAGATTGGGGCAGTATTTATGCAGAGTAGCCAGAAGTAATGTTCTAAAGCAGTGTGTTTTCAAACATTTTTTTTTATCATGTCCAGCAGAAAAAATACACACATATTGCATAGCAAACCAATGCACACACATTGAAAATTTACTACCTAGAATTCACTCTGATATTTTTCTATTTTATCCTGCCTGTTACTTTTTTTTTCAATGTCATCTAAAAAAAAATGCTAGTCCTAACTCTCTAAACTTATAACCCAGTGGATCAACTCAAAGTTTGGAAAACACCTTGATTTATAGGCTGAGTGTAAGTTATAGTCAAAAAGGGAATCTAAGATCAACTAAGTTTGAGGGGCAATCTAAGCAGGGGAAACCAGGACCTGTTCAGTAAAGAGAGAACCAGGCAAGGGTGTTGGGAACCTGTTCTTACAATGATAGCTGCACATCACTGGAAAGGGCTGGTTACCTAAAGGTATGGAGCTCAGCAAGATGATGAAAGACCTTCTATGTTATTAAGTTAAGGAGTTTAGGCTTTTTGCAGAGGCAATTAAAGGCATTGAAGAGTTTAAAGTAGGTGTATCAGTTAGCTATTGCTGAATAACAAGCCACATCAAAACTTAGAAACTTAAAATGACAGTCTTCAATTGTTTTTCACAAATCTACTGATTGGCTAGACAGTTCTGCTTCTCTGGTTGAGACTCATTATGCATTTTCAGGCAACTAGCAGGTTGGTTGGGACCTGGCTCATCTAGGACGGCCTCGACTGGGACAACTCACCTCTCCTCCATGTGTTGTAGGCATGTTCTTGTGGCACTAGTGGGGATCCAAGAGAGGAGGCAGCATGAAAGTGCTTTTTCAAGCCTCTTCTGTATCAAGTTTTCTATTATTCCCTTAGCTGAAGCAATTCACATGCTTGAGCCTAGAATTTGTGTGGGAAGGCACTACCTTGGGTGTGGGTACAGAGAGGCATGAAAGATTGGGCCATTCATGCCATTAATCTTCACAGTTGGAGAAGAAATAAGATCAGATTTTTGTTTTAAGAAGATTATATTGGCTGCTGTTTGTTGGAAGAAGATGATGCTGGAGGCAGCAAGGCCATGTAGGAGGATGTTTTAGTGATCCAGACGAGAGATGGTGAGGGTTCAAACTAAGGACCTATGGTTGGGGAGAAAGGGATTGCTAGAAATCTAGGGAGTCAGCTCAAACTCTTGGGACCTTCCTATTCCCCCTCTCCCAGCCTAGGCCTTGGGACAGCCCTGTAGAGTAGATATTGTCACTCAGGATTAGTGCTTCCCACTGGTGGATGACAGAGTAGAAAGAAAAGGAGATGAAATCATGTAGTCTTTAATAGATTGGCCCCACCCAGCCAAGAAATTCACCTGTCAATGGGAAGTAAGTGGAGAGGGGAGCGAAGGGCCAGGAATGACATGCTAGGGCAGGGGTCACAAACATTTCCCATAGAAAGCCAGAAAATAAGAATTGTGTCCTATGCAGGCCACTGGGTCTCTGTCACACTACACAGTTCTGCCATTGTGGTGCAAGAGCAGCTATAAGCAGAACATATATGAATGAATGTGACTGTGTTCCAATAAAACTTTATTTATGAATGCTGAAATTGGAATTTTCATGTTCCACAAAATATCCTACTTATGACTGATTTTCAACCATTTAAAAATGTTAAAAATCATTTTTTATCTCGTGGGCTGTACAAAATCAAGTGGTGGCTAGATTTGGTTTGCAGATCCCTGCTCTAGTGGAAGCTGTTTCATAAGAAAATATGAAGTCAAGAGAAAGGAGTTCCTCCAGCATAACTGTAACCTAATGAGGGTAATTTTTCAGGCCAGTGTTGTTGCTGCTTCATAGGAAATGACTTCTATGATGAGAGCATCAAGTGAGATCATAGGGGTGAGCTGAGGGGGCTGGGAGATGGGACAGAAAGGGAAACTGTTAACATTTATGAGTGTCTCTTCTGTGCAATACACTTTGCATTATGGTATTAATCTTTTCCAAAACCATCTAAGACAGTTTTCATGCCCCCTAATCTGCTAGAGAGGAAGCAGAATTTCAGAGAGGTTCATTAACTTGACTTGCCCAAGGCCACACAGCAAGTAGGGGCAGAGTTAGTTTTTTTTTTTTTAATTATCATTATTATTATTATTATTATACTTTAAGTTTTAGGGTACGTGTGCACAACGTGCAGGTTAGTTACCTATGTATACACGTGCCACGCTGGTGCGCTGCACCCATTAACTCATCATTTAGCATTAGGTATATCTCCTAATGCTATCCCTCCCCCCTCCCCCCACCCCACAACAGTCCCCAGAGTGTGATGTTCCCCTTCCTGTGTCCATGTGTTCTCAACTTAGTTTTAAAATCTAAGGTCCTTTCCCCAGTTCACTGGTATTTTGGTCACTTCTGTGGTCCCCAACTCTCATCAGGTAGACAAATACATTTCCAGTGGACCTACTCTTCATGGGACTTATGTTCTAACCCAGAATGGCCAGACAACAGCAGAGTTTTCAAAATACCAGATGTCCACTAGTAAAACAAAAGCAGAACTGAGATACTCAGGTACTTCAAGCCCCCAGATGCTCCCCACCTTCCATGTGCAAGCCTTCTTTTCTTCAGAGATGACAGGCAAAGATTCCCAAGGAAATGGGGTTCTTCCTTTCTCTTTCTGTGCCTCTTCACAGCACATTTTTGAAATATTGAGGTGACATTCATATAACATAAAATTAACCATTTTAAAGTATAGAATTCAGTGGCATTTAGCACATTCATAATGTACAACCAACTCCTCTACCAAGATCCAAACTTACAGCACATTTTGCCTCCCATTTGATAGATGTTTGTTTGTCTATCACACTGGACAGTTCATTTCTTGAAGCCAACATCTATGTCAATTTCATCTACATATTTGTAAACATTCTAATGCCCAGGAAATTCTAGTTGAATGGAATTCCAGTTTCCCTATTCCCTATTTCTTCTTCTGAGCAGCACTTGAATGGCTGGATTTGGGATCAGAATCAATGCCTTCTTCCTGCAGTGTACCTTCATTATATCATTGAGTCAAAACAACAAGCTTCACAGGGAAACAGATTCTCTGTCCTATCTTCTTTGAAGACATTCTTCTCATCTCTTTTTCATCTGACTGCACACTGCTCATGTGGATATTAATTTGTGTCAAGCTATGCTTAAATTTTGAATGTGCCTCCAAATTTATATTCTAAGTGAAAACTCACAAATCTGAATATTGAAACTCATTAAATAATTAATTTTTCTAGGATTTCTTCCATTTTGAGAACAGCAGACTTTATAAATACATAAATATGAACTGAAGCTTGGAAATTGAGGCAGATAATATGTGTACAACTTCAGTGCAGAATTAGGGAAAAACCAATGCATTATGTTTTTAAAATCAAAATGAATTAGTCAAGAGGTTTACTTGAAAACAACATAAAAAAAGACTTTAACCTATCTTGTGTGTTCCACAAATTGTGAAATGGAAAGTGAATCTTCCAGTTATTATTTCGGAATGTTTTAGTCCCTAGAAATAGCTACAAATTAGACTCATTCACCACTGGAAAGCTCTGAGTTTTCTGCACTGCAATTCTATATAATTTATATGCTATGCAAATCATGCTCCACTGAATACCATCTAATGCATTTATTCTTCTTCAAAATTAGCTAAACACTGCCTTCTCTTCTGCTAAATCAATCCGCCTGCAAAGGCAGTTGTAAGGATACTTCTCTGACAAGTGCTGTTGCTTCTTAGCTTCTCTTTGCCAAAAGGCATATGACTGGACAATGGTAAAAAATCTGTGGGGCCTCATTTCACAAAACCTAATTTAAAATCTGTATGATGCTAAAGGTGTGTAGAAGGAAACATGAAAGAATGGAGGCCAAGTTTCCTGGAGGTAGAGGTAGGGACTTGGGAATAGACCACAAAAGTACAGAGCCTAAATTTACTTATGATTTTATGAAAATGTTTATGAGAAAATTGACTTAATCCAGAATAGTATTTCTCATCCCTCATTACATTCTAATCATCATCTGCACTTATCGATATTATTGGAATAACTCCGTTAAGATGTGTTGGAGGGCAGTCATTCTAAATCTCTGATTTTCAATAATGCTATTTGATGAGAAGGTGCTGGCATAAACAGAGGATCATTTACATCTTTAAGCCCAGATATGCTAGGCTCAGCAGCTACTTCACTGAGAAACATAAGGGATCCCAGTATAATCCAAGTAGGAAACAATCAACCCTATTATCAATTCTCATGTTGTATGGAAGCCATTTCCCTCCCTCAGGCCCTCTGGGACTCCCTGTTTATGACTTGGAAGTCCAGAGGTCTTACCAGAAGGAATGCATTCCGTGAAGGAGCAACATGCAACAGGACCATACATTTGAAGTGTTGGGCCTGGGAGAGACATCATTTCATGGACTCCATCCATTTGTCCCATGTCATGGAGTAAGTAGCATGACTTAGTGGACAATTACAGAGGCTCTACAGACAGAGTTCAAGTCACCACCTTTCTATTTAAGCTGTGTGTGCTTGGGTAAGTTAAACTTTCTAGACCTCAGTTTCCACATTTGTAGAATGGACATAAGATAACTACCCACATCACAGAACTGTTCAAGGCTTAAAGAAAGTAAACCACACACAGTGGCTAAGAATCAGTGTTCAGGAAATGCTAGTTGCTATTAACTGTCAGAGTTGCCTTGTTCTCTCCCTATTACCAGAACTGGGATGACTAATTTGATTTATCTAACCCAATGAATGTCTCACCTTCCCCTATTGTAGAAGTCCTTTGAAAGGACCTTAAATGCAATTGTATATTAAATATCTAAGCAGAATCAATATACAGGCCTAGACTTCTGTTTTTTTTAAGTTTTTTGTTTGTTTGTTTTGTTTTGTTGTGTTTTTGAGATGGAGTCTCGCTCTTGTCACCCAGGCTGGAGTGCATTGGCGGGATCTTGGCTCACTGCAACCTCCACCTCCCAGGTTCAAGTGATTCTCCTGCCTCAGCCTCTCAGGCAGTTGGGATTACAGGCGCCTGCCACCACACTCAGCTAATTTTTGTATTTCTAGTAGAGACGGGGTTTCACCATGTTGGCCAGGCTGGTCTTGAACTCTTGACCTCAAATGATCCACCTGCCTCGGCCTCCCAAAGTACTGGGATTATAGGCGTGAGCCACCGCGCCCAGCATTAAGTATATTTTTAAATTTTGGTTTTTTGGAGATAGGGTATCACTCTGTTGTCCAGGCTAGAGTGTAGTGGTGCCAGCATGGCTCACTGCAGCCTCGACCTCCTGGGCTCAAGTGATTGTCCTGCCTCCTGAGTAGCTGGAGCCACCATGCCTGGCTAATTTCACAATTTTTTGTAGAAATAGGGCCCACCATGTTGCCCAGGCTGGTCTCAAACTCCTGGGCTCAAGCGATCCTCCCACCTCAGCCTCCCAAAGTGCTGGGATTACAGGCATGAGCCACTGTTCAAGGCCTATACTCCTGTTTTTGAAGTGGATTTGGTTTTACAGTTGGGGTAATGCCTCAGTGCACAGATTATGCTTCATTGGTGCTAATAAATCTATAAAAGTTTTATATCTCTGCTCTGTATCTGTAAATCTCTGACAGATGTTCTTCCTGGTAATGAGTTTGCCTTGACATCTTCCCAAGTAAATCTCATTTTTAAGAAAAGAAATGATGTAGATGTTTAACTTAATGTGATAGATTTTTATAGTAATGGTTGTCAATGGATTCCACCACCTCAAACCCATGCATTTGAGTAGTGCCCTCCCACATTGACTTGGGCTTGGCCATATGACTTGCTTTGGCTGATGGGACATTAGCAAATTTGACAGAGGCAGAGGCTTGAAGCATGCTTGCCCATTGGGCTTGACTCTCTCTCTTGTTGCCAAGAATTTTTCTGGGACCATGTGAAGAAACCCAAGCAAGACTGCTGGAAACAATGACCTAGCCAACAGCCAGCATTAACCCCCATCCATATGAGTCAGGCCATCTCAGACTATCAGATCCCATCTGACTTGTTAGATGATTGCAACTGCATTAATGGCTTCAGGTGAAAATAGCCCCAGAAGAGATCAGCAGAGACCAGCTGAGTTCAGCCCCAACTGTTGACCTACAGAATAATGAACATATAAAACAGTTGTTGTTTTAAGACATTAAATGTTGGGATGGTCAAAGCAATAGATAACTAATACAATTAAAATTAAAATTTACAGATACATTGGCAGTTATTTATGTCTTCCCCTTTTCTGTGTTTCCAGCAAAGGCATTTTACTGCATAAAAGAATGAGATTAATGTGTGGCAAATCCAGAAAGCCCACTTATTCATTTTAGTTGATTTTGGATAAATGAGAAGTGAAGTGGAGTCTGTGCAATTTTCAAAAAAGTGTGGCAACAGAACCTTCACCTGAACAAAGTGAGAATTTCTGAATGGCAGGAGAGAGATTTGCTGGCAGCAAGGACATGCTGTGCTCCTAGGAATAACTCTCTGACATCATCTTGTGTGTTGCAGCACCAATTCTTCCTCCTGACACTTAGCATGCATGACTACACTGGCATTTTCAGCAGTTTTTGAAGAACATAGATTTTCATCTGGCAAATGGATGCAGCCAAGTGGTCAAGTAAAATCTGGGGGACACAGTTAAAAAGAAAAATGCCTGCACAATGTATATTTATGACAAGGAAGTGAATGGAAAATGAACTCTGAAAGAATCTGAAGGGCTCAAAATAATAATGAGAAACAAAAGAAATGGATGCATTCAGAGCAGAGGGATAATACTAAAGCCTCTGACTTCTATGTGGTTCTGGCCCACATCCAGGGCCTTTGACCCATCCAGGTCCAAATAAACAGCTGTTAATACTCGTTAACTTCCCCAAACAAACAAAATGCAAGCGGACTTGGAAGATTAGGTTGGGTTCTTAGATTAAGGTGACACCAAAACTGTCAGGATTGTGGGTGGCGAAGGTGGGGACATACTCTAAAATTTTCAGGATTCAGTGGAGAAGCCCAGACTCAATTAACATTTCTTACAGGAATCAGAAATGAGTATCTGTTGAATACTTTGTTCTGGAGGAGAAGACACTGTGGGGATTCTGACTGATGCTGGTGGTAACAAAGAGAAGAATGGAAGGTAAAGGAAGAAACCCAAATGCGAGAAACGGCTTCATTCAGCTGTCCTCAAACAACTGCTATATATATATAACTTTTTTTTTTCTTCCCCTAACGGGGACTCTTCTTTGAGATGGAGGAAGATTTTACCTTGGGATGCAAAGGCTGTTTTTAAATCTTAATTTAAATATTACATAAGGTCGCAAGGTCATTTATTGGTTCCCCACCCCAGGATTCACTCTCCCTTCTCATGGTGTTATAGTGTACTTCAATTCTGCACAGAGACAGCTACCCCTCCTCTCCAGGAAGCCAGTGCACTTACAGCGAGATGCTGGTTCCCCAGGGCAGGCACACGACCTAGATTAAGCCGCCACCGGCACATTTTAGCTGCCCGAGGGGCACGTGACCCCACTGAAGCCAATGAAATGCGATAGGCTTCTGGGACTGAGGCAGACACTTCTGCTCTACTGGAAGCTGAGGGCTGGCACCGCCATTTTCTACCGGGGCACTTAGATTCTGCAATGAAAGCCAAAAATATGGTGAAAGACAACCATATAAGGTGAAACATAGAGCTCTGAATCCAGCCACATCTGAAACTATACTTACCGCCCTGGACGTTTCATCTACACAGGCCAATAAATTTAATTTTTTTGCTTAAATTGATTGGTGTTCTGTTTTCTGTCACGTGCTACCAAGAGAGTACTAACTATGCATGCTTATCACATTTTTCATCTATGAAAATGGGAGAATTCTGCTAGAAGATATCATAAATCCACAGCCTATAATTCTGACTTGAAGAGAAGAATGGGGGAGGAAGAGCCTTGTAGTATTCTGAAGCAAAACAGTTGTTTCCAGAGAAACTGCCTCCCATGTTTGTAATCAGTTCAAAACAATTTATTGAGTGCCAACTGTACTTTAAGCACATGTTATTTCTTTCTTTCTGCATCACCATGAAAGGTAAATGTATATTATCACACTGACTGCCATTTATATTATGGGTTGAAACGTGCCCTTGAGCATGATATTGCTATTGTGATTAGAATCTAGTAGCAGAAAAAGCAATTAAAGTGAGACAAGTGCATTATCATCTTTTAAATAGCATTTGTTGGACCTGTGTGAACATTGTCTATACCTTTTATAAATATTGCCCAATACTGTGTTTTTAACTAGAGTTATGCAGGCATAAAATATCCTTGGCTTGCAAATTTTCTATTAACTTGAACATACTGGGAATGCTTAGCAGCAATGAAGTGCTGAAAATGCCAAAGAAATTAATGGCTTTGTGCTGTACTACTGAAACATGTCCGCTAATATTTAAAATTCCATGTCCCAGGACATCACTTATATCTGCTGACTGAAGCTGAATGGCCTGGAATCTGCTGGGTGCATCAGGCCATTTCTCAAGTCTCTCTCTGTTGGGCTTTTGTTTCCCTCTCTCTTCCATTTCTATTTTCCCTCTCTCCATCCTTTTTCCCTAGCTCACCCCCATTTTTCTGGGATTAATTGAGAATGTTATTTATAAGAGACTAGAAGAGAGTTATACATATGGAATAGGATATGATTTATCAGGATTTATTTCAGATTTCTTAAGTTTAAAAAAGGTACTAAATATCCATGTCTCATTTTAAGTATTCATATGAAGTCAACATTTATGGACCTTGAAATCCATTGTTTTCTGTGTCCTTGAGAGAAATTTTACAGGCCTTGTGCAAGGTTTATGTGTTCATACATCAATGTCACTGTACTCTGAGGTTCCCTGGTTCATGCTGTCCCTCAGATGATGTCTGCCAGAGAAAGCAGAGTGTCTGTGCTAACCAGGCCATGGCAATGACCTAGTTGAGGACTCTCAGTGTAACTTTTGTGTGATCTCTCATCACTAGAAGAACTAGTACATATTATATTCCTTGCCATGAAAATAAGGGTATGATTTTACATGGGTAATTAGTCAGTTCATGTATTGCTTACATGCCTAGTCTGGGTGGTTCTCATTTTGTTTCTCCACAAACATTTGTTAAGTACCCACTCTGTGCCAGGCTGTGAGACAGGCACAAGAAAAATTTACCTGCTACTCAACATCTCCTTGTCAATGGTCTACAAGTGCCTTTAACTTAACACATCTGCCACTAACCTCATTACTTACCCCACCCAAACAATAGAAATGACAACAACAGCAGCAATAGCCAAAACAACCCAGTCTTTCACCTCTGTATTTTCTACCTCGATGAATAGGGTCATGCGTACACTACTAGTCTCTTAACCTAAAAACCTTAGTGATCCATAGTCTCCCATTCTCTCCCTCACTCACCATATCCAATGGTAGACTAAGTCTATTTATGCTCCCCCTTAACATACCTCAGGTAAACAGACCTCTCTATCCCCATTAGCCTAGCCTTTGTCCAGACCCCTAAACTCTCTTGGTGTCTCTCCCTCAAGTGTCTCCAGCTGCGATTTATTTACATGCTGCTGCCAGAGTTAATTTTCTAAAATACAAATCTGACCATGTCACTTCCTTACTTACAAACCTCCCTTGGCTTCCTACCTACCTTGTAGGATCAATTCCCATATTCTTTGCATGAAAAGGTGCTTATAATCTGGAAGCTGCCTATTTTTCCAGGCTCCTCTCCTGGTGTTCTTTCCCACATCTTGCTCTTATCTCACCAGGCTTCACACACACCATACATGCCTCTGGACCTTTGAACATGGTGTTCTCTGCCCCTCAAAAGCTCTTCTCTACTTCTCTACCTAAAGAGCTTTTATTTTCTACTCAACCTTCAAGAGTCAGCTCAAAGTTCCCTTTGTGAACCAATTTCTCTAGTTGCTTGTCATTGCTCTTCTCTGTGTTCCCAGAGTCCTCGAGGCATATCTTTACTAGCTCTTTCATACCCAATTGTGACTATTTGTCTACATGTTGATCTATACTATTAGCCTGTGAGCTCCTTAATATATCTTGTTCTTCTCAGTATCCCCAGTATGCAACACAGCACTTGGCTTTACAGTAGATACTCACTTGGTGTTGTGTGGAAGGTAAAGAAATATAAGGCACATTTCCTATCCTCTCCCTCCCATCAGAAAGGTAAGATAAGATATACACATTATTTGTGAAAAATTAACTAGCAACGGGTAGTAGTAAACAGGTTGGTGGGTGGTATAGTCTTACTGATTTGGGAGAAATAAATATTTGGGAATGGCAAAGTCAACAAAGGATTTGATTTGGATCTTGAGAGTTTGCAATTCAGTAGGTAGAGAAGGGGAGGAGGAAGGAGAAGAGAAACATTATTAACTAAAGTGCAAAGGCAAGAAAGTGCAGGGCATGCTCAGGGCTGGAAGGTGGGGTGGGACCAGGCTGTGGAGGAACAAGAATGTCAGGACATGGACTTTCTCCCATAGGCAACTGAAAGTTTTTGATCAAGGAGGTAACTGTTGAAAATGATATTTTAGGATTAATTAGCAGGTAGTATACAGGATAAACTAAAGGTAGAAAAACAAGTTAGGAAGTTATTGCACAATCCATGTTTGCGGGGGCGATGAGCTCTCATCCATGGTGGTGACAAAAGGAATTAGAGGGAATGGGTAGAGTGCTGTCTCAAGAGTGCAATTGAATAACCAGGGCGACTCCTCAGCTAAAAAGAGAGAGACACAGACACAGATGACCCAGAGATTTCAAGCCAGGGAGGAAAAAAAAAGGTAACTTTTGCAAATAAGAAAGTCAGTGAAAAGACTATAATTTGAGAGGAGATAGTGAATTTTGTTTGAGACTGGTTACATTTGAAAGAACTGCAGAATATCTGAAAGGAAATGTCCAGCAGGGAACTGGAGATTACAGACAATATTGTGTAGTGGTCAAGAACATGGGTCTAACCAGACTGGGTGTGAATCCTGGTTACACCAGTTATTAGACAGGTGATTTTAGGCCTCTGTTGCTGCATCCATAAGAGGGGCATAATTACAGTCCTTATCTCATAGTGTCGTTGAGATGATAAAGCAGATAATGCACATAAAAGCATACCTCACACACAGTGTCTGGCACACGGTAAGGGCTCAATAAATATTGGCCATTATTATTAACTAAAACTGATAACAATTTTTAGAGTGCCGAAAATATTTTCATTTAATTTTTCCAACAATTATGTAATGCAAGTAATGCTATTACCATTCCATTTTAGAGTGAGGAAACAATAGCTCAACAAGGTTAATTGATCACGTAACAAGTAGGAAGCAGAACCAAAATTCAAATCCAGGTTTTCCAAGCCAAATCTTCCATGTTATTCTTTTTAACTTGCTGAGTTTGATTTAGTTTGGAGGACAAAGGGTGTCTGTCATACAACCTTCTAGCACTACCAAATTTTAGGACTGGGTTTTGACATAAGGTTCTTATTGTCACAACGATAATCTTACCTGAAATATACCAAAGCTATCAAGTTCAGCAAAGAATAAGAACTTTTTAGAGAAGGGAGTCATTAAAGGTTATTTAGATTCTGCCAAGTTTTTGTTGAGCGTAGGCACTTCAATGCCCACTCCATCCCTACCAACCTTCCAAGGCTCTAGTGTATATTCAGAGACAAGTCGTCTCCTTTAATTTAGAACACAAGATGCTAATAACCGTCTGATACCTGTCTGCAAGACTCTCACCCGGCTGGAACAGCTGCCCATAAATCTCACACTTCAAGTGATTCTTCCAACATTAAAAAGATGAGGAAATTTTGTTGAAGATGAAATTGATGATGAGTTTCTGCCTGGTAGCTGTGAAAATGGTTATTGCTGACCCCTTTCTGTCTTTGAATTATTGCTTAGCTTTCTGTCTGGACATACAGAAGGAAGAAATCTTTGGAGATGTTGCCAGATAAAGCTGACTTACTTTGGATTCCTGAACAAACAGTAGGTCTAAGAATAGACTCCAAGGGGAGACACAAGGGAGCTCTGTGGAACCATAAGAATTGGGCATATTGTTCACTTTTTCCAGTAACGCCTTTGATTTAAGAAGTGAATAAAGTTATGGCACAGTGCCATGGAGAATAGGAAAGAGCACTGGAGAGGTGATAGGCACTTTTGAGAAAGTTCTTTTCTTAAAAGAATTTAAAGAATGAGTTGGCCAAATCATGTTCTTCCACCAAGGCATCAGAACAGGAGACTGGTCTGTTGGTTTTATCATGAAAGGTGGAGACAGAAAATTTTGAATTCTAATCCTACCTTGGAATGCTGATTCCATCATGGCCAAGGGCATTTTCTATTATTTCCATGCCACTTTTCCCACATCCATAAAAAGGAATTAATCAAAGGTGTTGCTAAGATTTAATTAATTAATACTGTAAAGTGCTTTGAAGATGAAAAGATTATAAATATCTACAGTTAACTGCTCTTTTATAGTTAAAGTTAACAGTAAACCAATCACATGGTCCCCAAAATAGCTTAGGGCAAATGAAAGTGGCTTAGCTTTGATATGTACCTTTCCCTGACATTACATTATAGTTATTACAGTTAGGGGGAATAGTTACAGATATTACAGTTAGGGGGAAATTGCTGGGGCCCTATTCTTGGTCTTTTCAGGATTTTTTATTGTTATTGAAAGGAACAGAAGTAAAATAGTTTGTCTCCATCAGGATAAGAAAATTAGGAATTGGGAAGCCAAGGCAGGAGGATCATGTGAAGCCAGGAGTTCAAGACCAACCTGGGCAACATAGCGAGACCCCACCTCTACAAAAAAAAAAAAAATTAGCCAGGCATGGTGGTGTGCACCTGTAACCCCAGCTACTTGGGAGGCTGAGGTAGGAGGATCGCTTGAGCCCAGAAGTTTGAGGTTACAGTGAGCTGTGACCATGCTGCTGCACTCCAGCCAAAAAAAAAAAAAAAAAATCAGGAAACCTAGAGAAAAATAAAAACAGATTCAAGTATTCATAGTGTCCCCACCAGGATAATTTGACCACGAATTCACAATGGCAGTGGGGAGAAGAGAGAGAGCGCGCTCACAAGTGTGCTCCTGGGCCTTCCCAGCCACACACGCAAAAAATAGCTTTCCTCAGATCAGAGTTTTGTGTGTGGTGTTGTTAAACAGATAACAGAGAGAAGTGGAAAGAGACTGTGGTGTTAATTAGACTGATTCCAGGCATACTTCAACACTTTCCAGCTGTGTGATGCTGAGCAAGTTACTTTTCCTTTTGGAACCTTGGTTTCTTCCTCTGTGAAATGGGGATCACTCCTGCCTCCTAGGATGGTGAGGAAAACAGAAATAATTGGTGTGAAGTAACTGGCGGATAGTTCTTCCCCCACTTCTTACCATTATTTTCATCCTATTTCTTTTCTTCCTTCAGCCTAGATTTTCTTTCTCATAAGCTCCAGAAATACCAACACGTTGAATTACTGTTTCCAATTCAGAGCTGTTGGGATTGTCCTATTTGCTTTCCATGTTTTCAGTGAAGAATCATGAGGGCTGCATCCCACCTATGAAACAACATTCCATGGGAGGAGGCCTTATTTTCAAAAGCCAAGGTTTCTCAGGGGGAAACTCAAATTTAAAAAAAAAAGAGAGAGAGAGAAAAAGACCTTGGATTATTTTTCAAACCCCAGATTTCAATGCAGCTGTCTTTCTATTCCACCATCTTGCAATTGACATCCTGTGTTTAAATTTCTGAGAAGGATAGTGATCTAAAAACATAACTATTGTAAAGGAGAAAAGCCTGAAACTGCTGGGTGTGTGCTTTTTCAACTGTTATCAAAATGACCAAGAACCTCTCCTTTGAAGTGAAGGAGCTCCAATAGGCATCCCTGGAGGCTTTTGTGAGATAGCATTATGTTTCCGAAAGTTCCCAGAAAAAGCCGTCATTGAGATTCACAGATTCTGAGAATGGTTAGAGCTGGGGAAGCTGGGGGAGTGTGGGGGTGAGTTTAGAGATTATGCAGTGCTCCCCTGCCCTAGCCTATTTCTCTGATAGATACATTGAGTTCCAGATTCCCAAGAGACGTACACGCAAAATATGTTAGAATCATCCACCAGGCAGGTAAATATCACTCAGCAATCTGCCCACTCAAGAGCCAGTCTATCAATGTGTGACCATTGCCATAGGAAAAAAAAATCACCAGATAAACAGTTACAGCTACTTGGATGTCTAAAAAGCATAGAAAGGGCAACTTTAAAAATAAAACTTTAAAAAAGTCACCTTCAAATCGGGGACAGTGGATTGGGTGAATCCTGAAGATTTTTTCAAGGTAGATGAGACAAGGAGGTCAGGAAAGGATTGTTGATTCTAACAAGTGGATTGTTGAGAGTTCATCCACCTTTTCCTCTCCTGGCTCTCTTCGTTAACATCCTGAATGCTGTCACCTTTGACATGTCTGAGTACAGAGGACAAAGACATGAAATAAGCAGAGATAGATACTGTATATTTTTAATACTTTGAATATACCCTTTATGTTTGGCCATACAGAATAACAAGCTTGGATCAGTGTAGTTTTTGTTTTTGTTTTTGCCAGTGTTAACCTGCTGCACCTTGATTTATAAAGGAATTAATTTAGAGGAAAGAGAGAATGCTGACATCTTTGCTATCAGGCTACCTATTTGAGCTTCAGGCTACAAGCAGGAAGAAAGCAAGCAGGCAAGGATGTCACGCCCCTCAGATGTCCTGCCTTCTCTGGAATGCTTCACCATGAAATGAGGATTGAGACAGCCTAGCTACTTACAGTCTCAGCTGTCACCAGAGAAAGAGCATGTCTGCCACTCATTGCACTTATGAAGATCAGCAACCTCTAGGGTTCTTCAACCTGAGTTCAAGGCAGGTATGTGGCCAAGAGTAGGAACATTCGAGAAGAAATCCATAGCCAGATTCCATTTCACCTTCCCATTATCCATCTTCCAGTCTATCCCAAATCCTTTAACCATGAGAGAAAGAGAAGGCCATGCAGCAGAGCCTATTGCTGTGATTTTAGCAAGATCTTTCGGGGCTTTTCAGCCCTTGACTCCCTTGGCTAAGGTGGGGTGTGGGGGTGAGTGCAGAAGTGGGTTGTTCCTGGGCAATAAGTCTCCCTTGGGCTTGTTACTCCACAGATGAAAAACACAGACCCTGACCAGATCCTTGATGTAGAATAACTTCCTGTTTTGCTCCAATATCTTTAGTTTCTGTATTTTCAGAAACAAGATGAGTTTTTTCATTATCTCATTTCCCATCCCTGCTCAGCTACACTGCTCCCACCAGGCACCATCTTGACTCTCTGCTTTTATGCATATGCTCCTCCTGCCTGGGACTTCCTCTCCCACCTCTGCACTTAGCCAGTTCCTGCTCATTCTTTGGGTCCAGCTGAAACATTACCTCCTCTAAGAAGCCTGCCCAGTTATATTTCCTTTTTCTGTGTCCCACGGAATTCCATATCTATTCCTTTTGAAATAGGCATAATGGAAACATTTATTTATGTGTGTGTGTTTCTCACTAAATTCTGAATTCCCTGAGGATGTGAACTTTGATATTCAGTTTTTTTTTTAAAAAATTCTGTTACTAGCACACTCTTTGGCATGTAAAATACATCCAATAAATGCTTCTAGAATAAAGAAATGAGTGAAAAAAATCTCACAGCCAGAAAAATGGGAACTGACCAACAAAGAAAAATATTTTCTACAAATACAAGAAAAGAATAATTACTATCCATAATATATAAAGATTTTTTTTCAAATTAATAAGAAAAAGATGAACATACCAATGAAAACCAGGCCAAGGGCAAACACTAACAATGAAGGAAGAAATACAAATAGATAAGAAAATTTATGAACAGATTTCAACTTCATTTACTAACAAACGATGCAAATTAATTTCTCTATCAACTTGGCAAAGATAAAAAGATTAAAAACAAAAATTAAAAAGACAAAAGCAAAGTTGAAAAATGTTTACTGTTATTGAGGATCTGGTGAGATATGCACTCTGATGAGTAAAAAATGTAATCTTCCTGGAAAGCACTCTGGACATGTGTACGTATGTGCCAAAAGTCTTAAAAATGTTTATACACTTTGACCTATAATCCCAGTTATACAATCTATTATAAAGAACTAACTAGAGATGTAAGTTAAAATCCATGTATATGTATGACATTCAAAGAAATGTTTATAATATCCAAATTGAAAATAACATAAATGTCCAAAAATAATAGTTAAAAATTAGTCCCATAAAATACAGTGTCATACAGCCATTAAAAACATGTTTTTGGCTGGGTGCGGTGGCTCACACCTGTAATCCCAGCACTTTGGGAGGCCAAGGCGGGTGGATCACGAGATCAAGAGATCCAGACCATCCTGGTTAACACGTTGAAACCCCGTCTCTACTAAAATTACAAAAAAAGGTAGCTGGGCGTGGTGGTGGGCGCCTATAGTCCCAGCTACTCGGGAGGCTGAGGCAGGAGAATGGCGTGAACCTGGGAGGCAGAGCTTGCAGTGAGCCGAGATCGTGCCACTGCACTCCAGCCTGGGCAACAGAGTGAGATGCCATCTCAAAAAAAAAAAAAAAAAAAAAGTTTTCAAATAATATGCCATAGGATACATAAGAATATTCCCCACATAACATTATGAGAAAGAATAGAATGCAAAATTGTATCTTATGTTTCTAGTTTTATCAAATGTAAATAGCTAGATGAATAGATAAGTCTGCAGAAAAATACTAGAAAAATATATACTAACATACTAACTGTAGTTATATCTGAATGAAGAGAATTATGGATGGTTTTTATTTTGCTTTTTATGATTGTCTTGTTATCCATGTTTTTTACAATAAGCTTTTCTATTAGGACAAAAGTGAGCTTTTATACTAAAACTAAAAAAGAACTACAACAAGATATCACTACACACCTACCAAAATAGCTAAACTAAAAAATACTAAAACCAAATGCTAGTAAGGATGCAGAGAAACTAATCACTCATCCATTACTAGTGGGAACGTAAAATGGTACACCCATTCAGAAGAGAATATGGCAATTTCTTACAACATATGTACTTATCAAACAACCCAGCAACTGCACTCTTGGGCATTTATCCCAGAGAAATAATAACTTATGTTCACACAAGAACCTATGCATGAATGTTCATAGCAGCTTTGTTAATAATAGCCCCAAATTGGAAACAACCTAGATGTCCTTCAGTGAGTGAATGGTTGACTGTTTAACTGTGATACATCTATTCCATGGAATACTACTTAGCAATCAAATGGAACAAGCTATTCATACATGCTATAACTTGGATAGATGTCAGGGAATTATGCTGAGTGAAAAAGGTCCATCTTGAAAGATTATGTCCTGCATGATTCCACGTATATGACATTCTTGAAATGACAAAATTATAGAGATGGGGAACAGGTGAATGGGTTAGGAAGGAGACGCAGGAAGAAGGTGCCTGTGCAGGAGGGACCTTTGTGATGGAACTGTTCTGGGTCTTGACTGTGGTAGTGGTCACACAAATCTGCACATGATTAGAAATGCATAGAACTAAACACACATACAAATTAGCATGTGTAGAACAGTTGAAATGTGAGTAAGGTTGGTAGATTATATCAATGTCAATTTCCTGGTTGTGATATTGTACTTCTTTTAGGCAAGGTATTAACATTGAGAGAAACTGGGTGAAAGGCATAGGGATCTCTCTGCATTAGTGTTTACAACTGCATATGAACCTACAGTTATCTCAAAGAGTTAAAAAATAAAAGAAATAGAAAAGATTGCAATATGTGCATCTGATTGGGATCCTGATTCAATCTACAAAAACACACGACACTACAGATTTGAACGGGGGCTCAATAGTTGATGCTATTAAGAAATTGTAGGATTGTAGGTTTTTAGTTTTAGATGTGATGATGGAGGTTATTGTGGGCATTTTTTTAAATCTGTCCTTATCTTTTAGAGACCCAAACCAAAATATTTAGGGATGAAGTCATATGAAGCACTTACATATCTGTAAGTGCTTCAAAACAATGTGAACAGACCAGGCGCAGGGGCTCATCATGCCTGTAATCCCACCACTTTGGGAGGCCAAGGTGGGAGAATCACTTAAAGCCAGGAGTTAGAGACCAGCCTGAGCAACATGGCAAGACTCCATCTGTGCAAAAAATAAAGTTGAAAAAAAACAACAAAACAAACTAGCTGGGCATAGTGGTGCATGCCTGTAGTCCCAGCTACTAAGGAGGCTGACACAGGAGGATCCCTTGAGCCCAGAAGGTAGAGGCTGCAGTGAGCTGCGATTGTGCCACTGCACTCCAGCCTGGGTGACAGAGTGAGACCCTATTTCAAAAAAAGAAAAAGCAATGAGAGGCAATTCACAATTGCAAAATTGTGGAACCAACCCAAATGCCCATCAATCAGTGAGTGGATAAAGAAACTATGAAAAATACATATGATGGAATACTACTCAGCCATATGAAGGAATGAATTAACAGCATTTGCAATGACCTGGATGAGATTAGAGACTATTATTCTAAGTGAAGTAACTCAGGAATGGAAAGCCAAACATTGTATGTTCTCACTGATATGTGGGAGCTAAGCTATGAGGACACATAGGCATAAAAACGATACAGTGGACTTTGGGGACTTGGGAAGAGTGGGAGGGAGTCGAGGGATAAAAGACTGCAAATATAGTGCAGTGTATACTTTGGTGATGGGTACACCAAAATCTCACAAATCACTGCTAAAGAACTTATGTAAGCAAATACCACCTGTACCCCCAATAACTTATGGGGAAAAAAGCAATGTGAAGGAGGAAGAAGATGGGGTGTGGATTGGTTAGGCTTAGCTTGAGTGCATGTGTAATATAATAATCTAGTTTGGGTATTTTCAAAAATCTCCATAATAAAAAAGCTTTATCTCTCTCTCTCTCTCTCTTTTTTTTTTTTTTTTTTTTTTGAGACGAAGTCTCACTCTGTCACCCAGGCTGGAGTGCAGTGGTGCAATCTCAGCTCACTGCAACCTCTGCCTCCTGGGTTCAAGCTATTCTCCTGCCTCAGCCTCCTGAGTAGCTGGGATTACAGGCACCTGCCACCACACCCAGCTAATTTTTGTATTTTTAGTAGAGACGGGGTTTCACCATCTTGGCCAAGCTGGCCTCGAACTCCTGACCTCGTGATCCACCCACCTCGGCCTCCCAAAGTACTGGGATGACAGGCGTGAGCCATCATGCCCAGCCAAAGCTTTCTCTTAATGAGGAAACAAATGTAAAAGAAGGTTAAATCTTCTAGGAAACCCTGCTGAGTTACTTATCTGCTCATCAATAAAACATGTGGCTTCTATGTGAGCACCTTGTACACCAGGCTTTAAACTAGGCCATAAAGTTATGGTCAGTGGGGGTTGTGCCTTCCCAGATATCAAAGGTTAGTGGGAGCAGAGAGACTGCAAAAACAAATGAGTACCGTTTGAGATGGTAAGTGCTAATAAGCATAGTGGAAGAACTGACTGTCATCTGCACTATGAATGGTGTCCGGACCAAGTCTTCAAGGATGTGCTCAGCCTAAATCTGTTACAGTGGGGAGGAGGTTTCTTTAAACCTGAACCTGATTCCTAAACAGGACTTAGCATCACCTGTTTTCACATCAATGCTTTTCATTTAGGATCCCGTTCCAGCCCAAATTGCATTACATTCTCATTGTCAACTGACTCTACTGTCACCTTCAGGGAACAGCTAAAACAAAGCTAATGATGTTTACTGAAGTCTTCCAGTTCTCGTAATAGGCTGATATGAGCTTAGATTCAATCTCTGTCATCACCAACCACCATCTCCAAGGTCCTTGAGCCTTTCAGCTCTGGCTTCATTATTTGGATATTGAGTCAGAGGAAAACTATTAAATGAGACTTTTAGAGGGAAGAAAATTTGGTTATATGTCTTAGAGAAAAAAACAACATATTGGCTGAGCAGGGTGGCTCATGCATGTAATCCCAGCACTTTGGGAGGCTGAGGCGGGTGGATTGGTGGAGCTCAGTAACTCAAGACCAGCCTGGGCAACATGGTAAAACCCCGTTTCTACAAAAGTATACACAAAAATTAGCCAAGTGTGGTGGCACACATCTGAGCCCATGAGGTAGAGGCTGCAGTGAGCTGTGGTCGCATCACTGCACTCCAGCTTGGGTGACGGAGTGAGACCCTGTCTAAAAAAAAAAAAAAAAAAAGAACATAATCGCATTTGAGGAGGCCAGTGATCATTTTGCCTTGATAAAAGGGAAACTCAAATAAGAATAAGTTATTCCAGCTGGGTGCGGTGGCTCACGCCTGTAATCAATCCCAACACTTTGGGAGGCTGAGACGGGCGGATCACTTGAGGTCAGGAGTTCGAGACCAGCCTGACTAACATGGAGAAACCCCATCTATACTAAAAATACAAAATTAGCCAGGCCTGTGGCGCATGCCTGTAATCCCCAGCTACTCGGGAGGCTGAGGCAGGAAAATTCCCTGAACCCGAGGGGCGGAGGTTGCTGTGAGCGCCATTGCACTCCAGCCTGGGCAACAAGAGCAAAACTCTGTCTCAAAAAAAAAAAAAAGTTATTCCATTCACACACACACACACCATATTTATGTGTATATATTTTAAATTTACATATATTTAAGTTATATATTTTTAAATTTGTATATATATGTTATATATATTTTAAATTTATATATAGTTTCATTATGGCTACTGCCTAATCAGTTGTAATAATATAAAAGATGCCATGCGGTTAACAGTATTAAGGTCATAAATTACATTTCATAGAGTGTGGTTTCTCCAGAAGCCACTAGGCATGCTGTGATTAATGTCACACCAGGGAGGCATGACAGAGGTGAGATGGCGGTGGGAGGGATGTCGGGGAGAAGTGGCAGCAAATGAGACACAGGGACAATGGTGACAGCAGCCTCTGCACTACTGGCCCTGAGGGGCCAGGACCCTCAGACTTCAGGACTGGTGGACAACACCTGCTTTGCTTATTTTTTAAAAAGACCCATCCAACACTTCAGAAAAGTGTTAACCTCTATTCTGAATATTGTTGACATATATTATTTATCAGTCTCATGTTCCATTATTTGTAAATAGAGAATCAATGGATTAAAACATAAAAGACCCACAGAAATAACAATCACCAAATAAAGCTAAATCTCCTATTAGGACTTACCATGACACCTGGCCACTGGAGCAAAGCATTTGTTTCCAGCCTCGCCATTTGTCACTATTGATTCTGCCTGTGAAGGAGGACCAGCTCCACTGCCTTGACAAAGAATGATTTATCCTTCCTCACAATGCAATTTACAACCTTCAGTCTTATTTGAATCCTTACCTCTAGAGTCTTTATTAGGATAGGAGAAACCATAAAGGAATTAGGTTTTTGTCCGAAAGCCTGCCTATAATTACTTTTAGTATCGAATAGCTCGAAGAGCCGGAACATAATGATTTTAAGGGATACAAAGCTTGGCCATAGATAATAGGTTTAAATATAGTATGCAATTGGCTGTGCCTGGAAGCAGAGAAAGGAAAGTCCATGATGATACAAATAAGAGAAAGAGAAATGCCCTCACCTGAGTCCACCCTTGAGCTTTGTATGTTTCCAAGGAGTTGCTCATTTATTACCTCTAAATGGTTTAATCGCCTGGTCTTCTAGTTAGGAAAGACCATTCTTTGGAAAATGGCTTAATTATGCAAGCTGTCTTTTATTTTGATAATAAGGAAAAACAACTCATTCTTAGCAAGTCACATTGGTGAGATAAAAAAAATTTCTCCAGTATAATTCAACAAACGCCTGTCAAGCTTCTGTTGAACACCACCACTAGGCACTAGGAGATGCATGTTCATTCACCATATATTTGCTGAGTGTCTGCCCTTTGTCAGGCAGTAGGCTAGGTGCTAGATGAGACGATCCCTTCCCTCATAGAACTTGTAGCCTGTAAGTGAGACAGTCATTACACAAATAATCACACAATTAAGTAATTCATTGATATTGTGTAAATTGATGGAGATGTCCAGGTGCTATGAGAAAGTGTGGTGAGGGTCTGGTCTGAGCACTTGAAGAAGGCTTCCCTGAGGAAGTAATGTTGAAGGTGAGAACCAAAGGATAAATCAGAGTTAGCTAAGTGAGGATGGGGTTGCACTGGGATGTGGGAGGCAGCTCTGGTCTCTCCCTCCAAATGCTCCCACTAGAGCAGGGAGCCAGAAATATAAATGAGTTGTTCTGATCCTAGCTAGATGGGGATGTGCTGTAATGGAGACAACGTGTTGTGGAACTGTGGATGGATTCCAGCAGGGTGAGCCTTCTCAAGCCTGACCCTGAGCCCCTGGCTGCGGTATAGGGAAAAGCAAAACTGAGCAAGGCAATGTCATGGAGCAAGAGAGAATCATTCTTCTTGACTTGTCTGCAGAGAGGGGTGTCACTGCTCAGTAAACAGAAAATAATATGATCATCCTTGTTATTATTTCCTCTCTTAAACAAGATTTTAGTTTTTCATCTCTCTTTTGAAAGGTGAAAATGAGGACTTGGGAGAGATGCAACATATTTTAGATCTGAAAATTTAAAAATTCTTCTTTAGCTCAAGTGCAGCAAAATATGCCAAAGTGAATTTTATGAGCAAAGCATGATGGTTTTAGGAGGTGATGCCATGTGTGACTGAAAGTAGGCCAAATGTGTGAACTGATTCTGTGAACTTTTCATGCATTAATTTGACAACTATTTATTGAGCATCTGCTACTTTCCTGGCCTACAGCAGCAAGCGAAGCAGACAAAGACCTTGTCCTCATGGAGCTTGCACTCTAATAGGAGAGATAGATAATAAACACATATAATTTTAGGTAGTTGTAAGTGCTATAGGAAAATAAAGTGGATTCAGGTGGAAAAGATAAGAGTGAGGATACAGAGATCCTGTTAGGATATAGTGGTCAAAAAGTCCCGTCTGCAGGGCCAGCTTCATGAGTGTGTGTATGACCAGTGCAGTCGCACAAGCCACCACATTCAGAAGGTAGCCTTGTGATTGGGGTTTAATGCTCTGCAGTCATCATCTTCAAATTTTCTGAGTCTGTGACTTGTAAGTGAAGCCCGATGGGCTAGGAGCTTGGAGCCTCAGCGTGTATGTGGTCCCACTTCCATTGGGCCCTTGGCTGGCTGCTCCCAGACCACTCAAGCAATTTCTGCCACTCTCAGCCCCAGTGGGGGTCTGGGTGTGGGCACAGGGAGAGTCAGGGTGGGATGCATGCACCCTGCGGGCCAAATCCCAGTGTGGGGGCATCTATGAAGGTCTGCAGTTATGAGTATCCCTGTGCCCAAGGGGGCATGACATAAAATGACAAATAAAACACACTATTATGGACGGAGAGAGACCACAGAAGAAAGGAAAAAGCTTTTCTTCCTGCTTTTTGAACAAGGGGTCCTGCCCTGCATTTTCATTGTGCACTGGGCTCTGCAAACTTTGCAGCTGGCCTTGCCCCTCTGAGGAGGGGACATTTGAGCACAGATCTGAATGGAGGGAAGATGTGGGTGTCAGCACACCAAGCAGAGGAAACATTAAGTGCTGAGGCCCTCAGGCTGGAACATGCTTGACGTGTTGGAGGAGCAGCAGGAAGGCTGGTGCAGCTGAAGCGTGGCCAGCAAGTGGGAGGTGGCGGGAGAGAAGGCTGGAGCTGGAGCCAGGGGCAGGATCACGCGGGGCTTTATAGGTCACGATAAGGAGGTTTGCTTCCAGCCTGGATGGAAGCTGTGTACAGTTTTAGGTAGAAAAATATACCATCAGATTTACATTTTTAAAGACTAATTTTTTGGAGATGGTGAGACTTATTTTCAGTTTATTAATGTATTAACTCATCCCATCTTGTTGTCGAAGGGGTTGGGTGGCCCCTAATGAAGGCGGTGACAGGCTTGAATGCTGGGGCTATAAGAAGGGAAGAGGCAAGAATGCTGTGAGCCCAAGTGGAGAGGTGAGCCGTCAACCACTGAGACCTCAGGAGAAGCTGGGCGTGGGGGGAAGCAAGAAGGAGTGAGCTGAGAGGGAAGAGTTCAAGGCCTTCATCATCCTCAGTGCAGTGAGAAACAAAGTCATGTGCTAAGAATGAGGGATGGCTGGGCAAGGGGATCTGAGGGGAGAAGAGAAGGTTTAGAACATCTTTTGAGAGGAACAGGATGGAGAGCTGCCTTGGGACAAGAACAGAGAAGGATTCTGGCAGCACAGATGGCCCGGCTTTGGTGGGAAACCCTTCTCCTTTCTAAAAGTAACCTCCGCAGTTAAGTTGTGGGCCCCATTTTTTACCATTTCCTGAAGGATCTGCCACACTGAACCCCACTCTCCTTCCTGTTCTCCTTAAATATACACAGATCTCCAATTTTAAACCACAAAATGCTGTGTGATGCAGCTGTTCCAGCCATTTTCCTGTGTCTCTTCTCCTATATATACCTTTCAACAAGCGGCACTTTCTGCATCTGTTCGTCCATATTCTCACCACGTGTTCCCTCCCAAATGTCTTGCCATATGATGTCTGTTCCATCACATTATTGAAATTTCTCTTAAAGGTCACCCATCATTTCTGCCCTATCCTTCTTGTTAGAATCTCTGTGTGTGTGCATATGTAACCTGTAAGAGCTTCTTCTTTATCTTGCCTTCACCTCTCATTTGAAACTCTTGTTGTGAATTTGCTGAACACTGAGGGCCCATGAGTCTCTTTCTATCTCTGTGGCCACCATGCTCTTTCCCTTCTCTGCAGCTCTTTCTTCTTCTCTCAGTCCCTCATCGTGAGCACTGAGACTCAGCTCCTGCTCGCTGCCTGGCCTGGTACTCAGGGAGCTTGTCTACTTTTCCTGCTGTCAACTATTCCCAAATTTACGTGGTCTTCCAGCTTAAATTTCAACTATCAGTTTATGACTCCCAACTCACACCTTTAGCCCAAACTTCTCTCCTCAGACTCTGTTGTCATATTGCCAACCTAAAATCATCCATGTCCAAAAACAAGCTCAAAAATTTTTCTGCAACGACCCCTTCTCAGGTTCCAAACTTCTGTGAGTATTACCTTTCTTGAGTCCACCATAATTCCAACTGTGGAGTTAATTTTTCTTATCCTTAGCTCTCAGCCTTTTCCTATAATATATCATCACCTTTTTAGTGATGAGCTTATCTCAGATACAGTCCTTCTTCATTCCTGTTGACTCATCCACCCAAGATACAGACTTTGACGTGACCTCAAAGGTCTAGCCTCATCTTCTTCTGATGACTAGAATTCCCTCTCCAATGACCCCAGCCAAGATCATTCAATCATTTATTCATTCAACAAATATTTACTGAGTACCTATTAAGTATATTGGAAATACAGTGCTGGACAAAGAAGACAAAGTCCTTGCTCTCATAAAGTGAATATTATACTCAGACAGACAACAAATATGAAAATAAAATAATTTCAGATAGTAAAAACTGGTAGGCACAAAATATGATAATGTCATAGAAAGAGATGGTTGAGGGGATAGGATGGATTCTTCGTTAAATTGAATAGTCAGAGAAGTTCTTTCTGAGAAAGTGACATTTTAGTTCAGACCCAGATGAACAGAAGGAGACAATCATGCCAAGCTCCAAGGGTAACCCAGGCAAGGGACATCTGGTGTGAAGGACCTTATGTGGAAATGAACCTGGCTTTGTGTGGAAAATCAAGAAAGACTTGTGTGTTATGAATGCAGTAAGCTAAGGGGAGAACAGTAGAAGATGGGTTTCCAGAGGCAGCTGTGGCCAAACCACATGGGGCTTTTTCGGCTAGGCTGAGGGATCAGAGTTTTATCCTAAGTTCAAAGAGAAGCCATAGGAGGGTTTTAAGCAAGACAGTGATATGATTTGCTTTGCATTTTCTTTTTTTTTTTTTTTTTTTTGAGATGGAGTTTCACTCTTGTCACCGAGGCTGGAGTGCAATGGCCCGATCTTGGCTCACTGCAACCTTCATTTCCCAGGTTCAAGCAATTCTCCTGCCTCAGCCTCCCGAGTAGCTGGGATTAAAGGTGCCCGCCACCATGCCTGGCTGATTTTTGTATTTTCAGTAGATACCGGGTTTCACCACGTTGGCCAGGCTGGTCTTGAACTCCTGACCTCAAGTGATCCTCCCACCTCAGCCTCCCAAAGTGCTGGGATTACAGGCCTGAGCCACCTCGCTTGGCCTGCTTTGCATTTTCATGAGATCACTCTAGCTTGCTTAGTGCATGGAGAATGGATCATGCAGCTCATGAGAAGATGCAGGGAGGGCGGGTAGGGGTCCAGCTGAGGGATGATGGTGGCCTGGATGGCTAAGGACAGTGTAAGTGGAGACAAATGGACAAATGTATGTTAAAATATTTTTGACTTATAAATGATAGGATTTGTTGATGGATTGGACGTGGGAATAAAGGAAAAAGAGGAATTAAGAATGACTCCTGGGTTTTGGCTCAAGCAATGGGTGGATAGTGATGTTATTTCCTGAGGTGGAGCAGTATGGGGTGGGATAGGTTGTTGGGTGTAGAAAATCAAATCTCTGCTTGCACACTTTTAATGATGGGACACTCACTACAAGGGCAGGCTATGATGCCATTGATATCAGAAAAGTCTTGCACTGAATTCAAATCTGTTGTTGTCCAAATTTACCCAATTGTCTTAATTCCTCCTCTTCAACAAAATGAATTGTCTTTCCTCCTTCCTACATGACTGTCATTTTCTGTACCTATGCTGAGAATTACTATGCCCCTCTAAGTATTCTTTTCTGGGTGAAATATCCCTAATCTACACAAATTTTGTCTTATTTCTGGATCCCAGCAGATTCAAACTGGTCTTCCTTCTACCACACACCCATCTATCATATGAACTTGAGCTAGAGCCTTCTTCCTAGTGCACCAGTCACTACTCACCAAGGGCTAGGCACTGTGCTGTGTACTGGAGAAAGATATGTTAATAGGGTTCTAAAATTAGACTCTTCTATCTCCATTTTGCTAAAACAAGAAGACAATAGGTGCTACATTTTAAAAACACTACCATGCAAAAATTTCAAAGTCAGTGGCCAAGGAGATCCTTAAATGCCCAAATAAGATCCCACTGTAATATAAAAGACCTGAGACTGGAGATAGTGAGATGTGAGCAAAGGTAATGTGTGACCCGGCTGTGAATGCCATTCCTCCCAAGTGTAGGGGAGGGCTGCTTCCCTTTTCTACTCAAGTCAATAGAGATGGGTTTCAGGGGGATCATTTGGGGAGCGTGATGTGTGGCACTAGCAGTTGGGGAGACCTCATAGACTGGTGTCTGACTCTGGACTAGAAAATCCAAAAGGTAAAGATGAGCTGGCTAGTTGTTCTGATGGCCAGGGTGGAGGAGCACGGCTTGCACTGGGCAGCCTACACAGGCAGTTTGTGGAGACAAAAAATGTGATGATAATTCTCATGGAATGGATGTGGATCGTGTCAGGCTGAGAGCTGGCCTGGAGCCATTTTGAAGTCGGCCTGACAGAACCACCTGGAGGTCTGCCTAGAAAGGGCTGCTGCCTAGAGGGGGCTGCTGGGAAACTGGGGCTGAGGAGGGTGTCATTCAGAGGAAACTGCATCACAGGAAATGCTGCTGAAAGTTCCCAATGGAGCCTCCCAAGAACCCACAAAAAAAGTCCGTAAGTCAGCTTTAAAACAGGTGTCCAAATTGTGAAGCACTATTGGGATAGTACTAGTCAAATAAGAACTTCCCTGCTTTCTTCCTTTCCCCCTCTTCAGCCACAGAGAGGCCAGAAATCCCCGTTGGTTAGAAGGCTGAGGAGAGGGGATGTGTCAGTCAAGTGAAAGAGAAGCTGCAGCCCTCCTTTTCCTCCCACCTGCAGAAGGACCTAACAGAGAATAGAATAAAGTTTAGCTTCCAATTTCTTTTATTTTTTTGAGACAAGGTCTCACTTTGTCATCCAGGCTGGAGTGCAGTGGAGTGATCTCGGCTCACTGCAACCTCCACCTCCCAGGTTCAATTGATTCTCTGCCTCAGCCTCCCAATTAGTTGGGACTACAGGCATGCACCACCACACCCAGCTAATTTTTGTGTTTTTTTGTAGAGACGGGATTTTGGCGTGTTGGCCAGGCTGGTCTCAAACTCCTGAGCTCAAGTGATCCACCTCCTTCAGCCTCCCAAAGTGCTACGATGATAGGCCTGAGCCACCGTGCCCAGCCTAGCTTTGAATTCTAATCATTATGTTGGCCCTGCACACTATTAACTATTGAATTAAAACTATGAGCAGGGAAAGAACTTGCCCCATTTTAGACGCAGTGGAAGTCCAAAATAAAGTCTCTTTCTCATTACACTTCAAGAGTCCTCCTTGTTCAGCATTCTGGTTACACACAGATGAAGACACCTTCACTTTGTCAGTCTCTTGCTTTAAAAGCTCCCTTCAGTGCCTCTTTCTTCACTTTTAGATGAAATCCAGACTCCTGAGCATAGAGTTTGATGTCCTGTGTTATCTGAGCTCGTCTATATTTTTCAACAGAACCTCCCACAATTCCAAAAAGAGAACATTTGACTCCAGTCAGGTGGTCCTCTACGTTTTTGTGCTAAGCATTTTTTTTTTCATTTAATCCTCACAACAACCTTTTGAGATTGGTACTATTATTACCTTCATTTTACAGATGCAGAGTCTGAAACTAGCTAATAAAACAGAGAGGCTGTGATTGGAGCCCAGGAAGTCTGACTCCAGAGCAAAGCGTACTGCTTCCTCTCCTTATATTAATATATTCTTTGCTCTCAGCCTACTTTTGGCATGTCTTCCTGCCTCTCTTTCTTCTGCTTATGCCATCCCAGATATCTTTCAAATCTGCTCAAACACCTCCTCCTCCATGAAGCCTTCCCTAATTTCTTTTTTTTTTTTTTTTCTTTTTTTGAGACGGAGTCTCGCTCTGTCGCCCAGGCTGGAGTGCAGTGGCGCGATCTCGGCTCACTGCAAGCTCCGCCTCCTGGGTTCACGCCATTCTCCTGCCTCAGCCTCCCGAGTAGCTAGGACTACAGGCACCCACCACCACACCTGGCTAATTTTTTGTATTTTTAGTAGAGACAGGGTTTCACCGTGTTAGTCAGGATGGTCTCGATCTCCTGACCTCGTGATCCACCTGTCTCTGCCTCCCAAAGTGCTGGGATTACAGGCATGAGCCACCGCGCCCTGCCGGAAGCCTTCCCTAATTTCTACACAGTTATCTCTATTCTCTGAACTCAAAACATTTCATCTGTGCCAAGGACTTCAAAAGTTAAAGTCATGATGTTTGTGTCTCTATTGTCGTTTTGGGCATGTCATTTGGGCAAACCCATGTATGTTCCTTCCAGAATAAGGGTCTATGTTCCATGCTCTTCTTATATTCACCAGGGCAGTGGCTCTCAAACTTTAGTGCACATAGGTAGAAACAGACAGTATGCAAAATAAGAACTGTACATGATGTTTAAATGTTCTAAAAGATGCTAGACCTCATCAGAATAAGAGATATGCACCATTTCACTGACTGTCACCACCCAGATAAGCAAAAATGTGAAAAAAAAAAAAAAAATTCTGATGACAAAGCTATAGGGAAAAGGGACCTCTCATACACTGCTGGTGAGAATGCAAAAAGATATATCCCTTAAGGAAGGAATTTGGCAGCATCTAGCAGTATTATATGTATGCTCTTTTTGACCCAGTAGTCTCAGTTTGGGGACTCTATCCTGAAGATACACAGGCAAAAATCTGAAATGCTGTGTGTTCAAAGCTATTCTTTACTATTTTTACTATTTATAAAAGTGAAAGACTGGAAAATATGTCAATGTCAATCGGTAGAGGACTTGTTAACTGTGGTACATCCATACAAAAGAGGACGGTGCAGGGATGAGGAAGGATCACTACAGGATATTCTGGATGATCTCCAGGATCTATTGGTAAGTAAACACAGCGAGGTGAAGAGAAATGTGTGTGATATGCTACAATTTATGTTACAATTTATGCAAGAAAGGAGGCAATATGACTATTTATACATTTGCTTGTGTTTTCCAAAGGAAACAATGGAAGATTAAATTGAAAACCAACAAAAATTGCTATCTGTGATGGAGGGGAAATCAGTGGGGAGGGAACTGGGGTCAAAGATGGACCTCCCTGAAAGTATCTTGGTTTATGTTTTGACTTTGGAACCAAGCATTTTACATAATTCAAAAACAAAATTAACCAAAAGAAAACATTAAAAACAAATGGAAATAGTTATGTATGTATGCTGGAATTAAACAATTAAGTAAATGGTTGGCAGCCAGGTTTCTACTGTTGGGGTGGGAGGTTTCAGATAAGCAAGGGGAAGAAGCCAGAATGAGCCACACAGCAATGGCTTAGAGTTGGAGACATTAGTATGAACTCATGTCTAGCTGAATATAGACACAGATGCTTACACATAGAAATACTTAGAGATATGCGTATATGCACAAGTTAGTCTACATGCATATATTTCCTTGGCCTGTCAGCTGAGAGGAGCTAGAAGCAATGACACCCCAGTAGCAACAAACACATCTAGCGCCCAGATCTTAGTTTCTGATACCATTATCCAATGAGGGGAACCAGAGCTCCCTGTAGAAATGGCTGATTTTAGGATTGGGTCAGGAAAACTACAAGATAAGCCTGGAGCATCTTGTAGTACCAGAAAGTAAGAAAGTGCTCAAAAAGAAAAAAAAAATGAAGGGGTCATGTCTAAAGAACACAAAAGTCAATTGAAGCGCTCCCAATGGCTAATGCTGAACCAATTTGAGCAATAAAATAAATAAAATAGAATTGGGTTATAACTCAAAGTATTCAGTAAATATCTGAGTCCATACTGATGTAAATAAATTTTTAAATAAATAATAAGAGACAAATCTCACATGCAAAAGAATTCCAAATAATGTATGGAAATATCCACCTTCAATGAGATGGAGCATAATTCCCTATTCCTTATGTGTGCGCTGTGCATAGTGACTTTCTTCCCACTCCCCCCAAAAAAAATACAGAAAGGGTGGGAAAAAAGTAACTTTACAGTGGAGAAACCTGACCAACACTACCTCAGCCAGGTGATCAAGGTCAACAGCAACAGTGATAAGTTGTCATGTTGATACTATGTACCTTTGATATGTTATGAAAATAGCACTTTATCTCTGTTGTCTTCCTCCCAAAACCACATAATTCCAGTCTCATCATGAGACAAATATCAGATAAATCCCAGCTGAGGGACATTTGACAAAATACCAGACCAATATTCCTCAAACTGTCAAGGTTATCAAAAACAAAGTCTGAGAAACCATCACAGCCAAGGAAAGCCTAAGCAGACATGATTTCCAAATGTCCTGGAACAGAAAAAGAACATTAAGTAAAAACTAAAAAAATCTGAATAAAGTGTGGACTCCAGTAATGTATCAACATTGGTTCATTAATTGTGGCAAAAGCACCACATTCACATAAAATGTAAATAATAGGGTAAACTGGGTGTGAGAGAGATGAGAACTCTTTGTATTATCCTCATCATGTTTCTGTACATCCGAAACATATGAAATAAAAAGTTTACTTGAAAATCTAAAACGAATAAACCTAGCTATATACCAAGTTGATTCTATAAACATAAAGAGAATTATTTTAAGTGATTTTGAAACAAATATACACACATATATTTTGAGGACAAATATACACACAAAGAAATTTTTATTGCCTTCAGTATTATTATGCTAGTTGCAATATTGGTATTTTGTACCAATTTGGAGAAAGAGAAAGAGAGAAAATACATAACTATGTTAATATCATTAGGAGCCAAGCTTTTCAGCATAAGAGAAAAGGAATAAAAATATAAAACCGAAGTATATAAAAATATAATCTTTATTTGAATTGGAAATATAAGTATAAATTCATAATTTACTTTTTCTCTTTTAAAATAGTGCATATTTCCTAGCTCTAGCCAAAGAAAATGGCCAAGATTGATGAGCAATGGGCACCCCTAGAGCCCAGATTATAATCTCTAAGGACCATTACCCACTAAACAGAATCAGGGTTCCTTGGAGAAATGGCTACTTACGGATCTGCAATAGATGAGCCTGGAACATCTTGCCATAACTGAAAGCGAGAAAATCATGGAGATTACGAGTTCATGTCAAGAAGACAAACAGAGAAGCCAACTTGAAGTGGTCCCCATTGGCCAAGGAGGGACAGTTTGAACATGAAAAAAAGTAATGACTGCAATAGATTGAAACACATCAAGTATGTTAAAATCTATGAGCTCATAACGTCCCTCCTCTATAAGAAAGAAAACTTCATCAGTCATCTTTGGGAAATACTAGGGCATCAATCATTCGGATAAATATGAAAATGATAAATAAAAGGAAAGAATAAAGCTTTTATCTTGTCTTTCCTGTACAGACTGAATTTCTTGGTAACCAAATATTTTATAAAGAAAATGTCTTCTCTCTAGAAGAATCATAGCTAATAAATGCAGGAGGAAAGACAGAACTAGAAAATCACTGAAATAGAACCAGGCGGTGATCAAATTGCCTGCCGGAGCCATTAAATAAAATGTTAATGGAGAACTTTATAGTGGATGGATCAGGCTGACCACACTTGAACCCACTGATCAACCTTAACTAAAAGTGAAACAGCCAGGCATAATGTTCCCCCACCTGTGGAATATTCTTGCAAAAAAAAAAAAATTGAATCTAATCAAACTTCTAACCACCAGCTTACAGGAAATGAGAGAGATATGGAAACATGTTAAAAACAGCACTGCGAAGATATAATCAGTCAAATCCAGAAAGTGGGAAATTCTGCAGGAGGAATGATACAGTTTCCTCAACAAATAAATGACACTAAAATAATGGAGGTAGCTATTATAAATTAAAAGAGGCATCCCGACCAAACACAATGTATGGATCATTTTGAATCCTGATGTGAATAAACCAAATGCAAAAAGACATCTTGAGGCTACTGTGGAAAACTGATAACAGACTGAGAATTTGATAATTAATATTAAGAAATTATAGTTAATGTTGGGTATGATGCTGGCATTGTGATTATGTTAAAAAAAAAGTCTTTATCTGCTACAGAAATGCACTGAAGAACTAATGGATGAAAGGATAAGAGGATAAGAGTCTGGAATTCATTTTAAAGTACTCCAGTACTTTCGCCTCCAAAAAAGTGGTACAGCTGGGTAGAATTGAAACAAGAATAACGGGATGTTGATAGTTATGGAAGCTGAATGATGGGTGCATGAGATTCTTTATACTATTCTCTCTAATAGATAATATACTATTCTCTCTAATGTTTAAACATGTTCATGATAAATAGTAAAAAACTTTTTTTTAACATTTTAAAAAATTGGTACAATTCCAGGCACAGTGGCTCATGCCTGTAATCCCAGCACTTTGGGAGGCCAAGGCAGGCAGATCGCTTGAGCCCAGGAGTTCGAGACCAGCCTTGGCAACATAGTGAAACCCCATCTCTACATAAAATACAGAAAATTAGTTGGGCGTGCTGGTGTGCACCTGTAGTCCCAGCTACTCAGGCGGCTGAGGTGGGAGAATCACCTGAGCCCGGGGAGGTCGAGGATGCAGTGAGTTGTGATCACATCACTACCCGCCAGCTTGGGTGACAGAGTGAGACTCTATCTCAAAAAAAAAAAAAAAAAAAAAAGATTAGCACAAGTGTTTTGGGTACCAAGGAGATTTTAATTCTAGGTTGCGGGTCTTTTAAGCAAGCAGCCCAGGTGGCTTAATTCAGCCCTGGACTCAGATAGTCCAGGACCAGACTGAGAGAATCTTCCCTAGTTGAGCAGTGCTCTAGGGATGAGTCAAGCTCTTCATAGGGATTTATTGAATGAAGATGAAGTCTGTATTTTGGTCAGGAATTGAAGTTGGAAAATTCTGTCCATATGGAAGAAATATGGGAAAAAGGAAACATGAAAAAACAGGCAAAGAGAATATTTCATGGGCCTGACCAGGATGCCCAACCCCTAGGGTTGCATAACATCATCTTTCTGTGACAGCCCATTTCAAAACAGGGTATTCTGGATTCTCTGAACTCATTAATTGAAGGATCAGTTGGATTCTCAAAGACTTGCTAAGTGGATGCCAGTTCTGAAATTATTTCCTCCAGCTGTTGGACTGTGCGTGTATACGGTTGCTTTAGTCTGGTTTATTGCAGGATCCAGCAGTCTCCCTCTGTCTTCTACCCAGAGGCCAAGAAAAGTATGTTTTCTGAGGCTGGTGACCCTCCCATCTTCTTAATTTGCTTATATGCATATTTTAGCTCAGTTGCCCACAATAATAAAGAAGGAAATCATCAGAGTCTGTGCTTCTGTATAGCGGTCTCCTAAGATCTCTGAGAAAGCAGGTCTGTTTAGGTAAACCACAAGTAAGAATCCTCCGGAGGTATCTGAGCTACTGAGTTTAATTGGGCTGCAGCTGCTTTTCCTCCTCCCGCACTCGTTCCTGGTTCAGCTTGCAGACCACAGGGATTTACCAGTTAATTGGCTGTTTCTACGATTGTCATTCACTTAGGCATTCTTCCCTCTTCTTTGTTACCACAAAATGCTTCTCTTAAAATTAGTTGCCTTCCTGTGAATCCTGAAGACAAATGCGTGACACTTACATCTTTAGGATTTGTTAAAGAGGGAAATCTGTATGGGGAGGTGGTGTGTATGGTAGGATTTGGGGTGTTGCTGTGAACAGAGTCGGAGTGGAGCTGGAACTCGTGTCCTGGGTTATATGTTAAATAAAGGTACTGAACCTGTTTCAAGTCTCAGAACCAGTTGGGCAGGTTAAGGGAGTTCCCTTTTATTTCTTAGCACTCAGTTGAACAGAGGAAACTTTCAACTTCATTAGGTAAATGGTTTACTTGGGATTGTTGAGAAAGGTTAGCAACCTGGGCGTAGGTTTCATGGCTCTAGCATTTTTTCAGCTAGACATGAGGCCCCCAAAACAGATGCAAGGCTACAGAATTGAGCAGAGGCCCACTGGACCCCAGCTCTCAGTTCAGCTTTCGACCTAGGCTGCCAGTGGTTTTTCAACTTGGCTGGCTTCTGACAAAAAGTAATGGGAACCACTGCCAAAATCAATACATCATGTTTGTATGTCTGCCTGCCGCAGGTTTGACACTCCGTCTCCTCCCCTAATTGCTTTGTGTCAAACTGCTGCCTAACTTTCTACCAAAGTGTCCCAGAGCCTCGCTCCTTTGCCAATTTAGTGGGAACTTTCAGGGGTAATTCTAAGAGTGTGCCTCTTCAGAGGGCTTTGTAATTTTTTTTTTTTAATGGGAGTTTTGCCGTTTAAGGATCCTAATTGGTTCCTAGGAGATGAGATGATTCTTTTGGCTCCCACAACCTCTATATTTCTGCAAGGCCATTTTCTGTTTACCAAATAAATATACCAGTCCAGGAGCCAAATGGAAATCCGTTCCCAGCCCTCTCCACTAAAGAAGAAAAGAATGCTATATGTTGTAAATTAAAAAGAAAGTCTGGGGGTTGCATTTCAAAAAGAGGCTCTTTTCATTCAGAAGATCATGCCAGTGGTAGGTGAGGTGAAATGGATTACAGTAAATACCTTGCAAATGTGTAGTATGTGTCTTGCAACTCAGTTGCCTTTTCTGCTCCCTCTAGTACCCAGAGCAGGTGGGGTGCAGGGGGGTGGTGGGGCAGGAGGAGTGTTTTAAAATCTCAATATCGGCCAGGTGCAGTGGCTCATGTCTGTAACCGTAGCGCTCTGGGAGGCCAAGGCTGGTGGATCACTTGACCCAGGAGTTTGAGATCAGTCTGGGCAACAAGGCGAAATTCCATCTCTACAAAAAAATACAAAAATTAGTCAGATGTGGTGGCATGTGCCTGTAGTCTCAGCTACTCAGGAGGCTGAAGCAGAAGGATCACTTAAGCCAGGGAGGTCAAGGCTGTGGTGAGCCGTGATCCCACCACTGCACCCCAGCCTGGGCAACAGATGGAGACTCTGACTCTCTCTCTCTCTCTCACACACACACACACACACACACACACACACACACACACACACATCCCAATGCCCAGGCAGCTCCCCAGATCAGTTTAATCTCCATCTCTGTGGAAGGCGTTTGCTTGTGTCTTCATTTGCTTTAATTTCCCTGCTGATGCCAGTATGCTGCACAGTCAAGAACCACCTCTCTAGTGGAAAGACCAAAGGGCTGGGAATAAAATTAGCAATTTTCAAATCCTCCCTTTGCCATTAATAAATCTGTTGGACTAAAAATCATGAGTGACTCTATTCTAAGATGATTTGAGCTCTAAAATTCTATGATTCTCTTTCAACTGGTCTCTCTCCTGGAAACAAAGAACATAGCAGGGCCAGCTGTTTTTCTGTAACACCTGGCACTTCTCTAATGCTATCTACCCTGTAAAAAGATCTGTCTAATCGGGTCGTGTGTTGGTTAAGTCCAGATTCACTTACCAGGCTTAAGTAAACAAGTAGTGTTGGTTTACAAAGGAAAAATACAAGCTACACAGTGCTGCTGATACTTATGGGCCTACCAACTAGTTTCAAATGAGTAGTGGAATTTTTCTTAATGCATATTTAAGTCCCCTAGTTGTGCTAGTTTCCAATTCCTCCCATGCTCAGTTAATTGGAAATACACCTTCTCAGGAATGCCTTACAATATAAATGGATCCCCTACCTCTCTCCCTGACTGGTGGAAATTTAAATACTTAGAAAGCTAAGGAGACTGTGTTATCCAAAATGGGCATTTTTGTCTGGCCTGGACTTTAACTAGATATTATTGTAGTTGCCTAAATGGATAGAGAGAAGCTTTAACTCCTGAACTAAGGTGCAATTAGTCGGGCATAAAGGAATTCTAAAGGGATACTAATTACTTTTTAAAAGATAAATTGAATTGAACCAGAGAAGCAGAAAATTACCTTTGTTGAGAATAATCTTGGTTGTTTAAGAAAGGGAGGGCTTGTTGAAATAGGAACGACTAAATGAGGATGGCTAAGAGGAGGCCCTTACCACTTTCTTGGCCAAACATAAATCCCAAGGTGGAAACTTTAAACTTGAATGCCACCGGGTTAAGGCAAGGCTGTCTTTCCAGACTCTGGTAACCTACATGCACACCTTAAACCCCAGCCAGCAATTGTTTTGACAACTTAGAGCAAGGAGTCCCAGTGTTATGTGTAAATGTTATCTCAAAGGGTGTGTGATGAAACTGCCTAAATGAAGGTAATTTAAATGCAGTTTCATTTTTTTAATGGACCTTCAGGGCAGGGGTGAGGCAGTGCTCCTCTCTGTGAACTCCGCAGCCCTTTAGGGTGCTTTACGTGGAGAGTGAGTTCAGTGTGTGTGTGGAAACAGTTGTATTTATAGCTCTGTGAGTCAAGCTTAGGAGACGGCAAAATCAAACTCAATGTAGAGTGTCACAGCTACAAAAACACTGGGAGCTGGTGACCAGAGGCAAATCCAGAGATGCTCTTTTGAGAAGAAGACATTCAGAAAAGTCACCTTCCTGCCCCTAAAACATCTGAAAGAGGGCTGAGGATAAGTTTGGTTTTATTCAGTACCGTGTGCAAATAAATGGTCCTTGGTGTTTTCCTCATGTAACTGAGCACAGAAAATAACAAAATTCAGAAATATTAAGTTAACGAAGTCCACTGGTAACCACTGGACACTTCTCTGCCCTCACCCTCCTCTACCTCTCAACAGCATTTGAACGGCTGGCCAGCCCTGCCTTCACCTTCCTCCTCTCTGAGTTTCTCTTCCCACCTGCAACCTCCTTTATCTAGTCTCCTTTGCTGGCCCTTACTAGCCACCTGACTGGTGCTGGAAAGCCCTGTGCTTGGCCTTGCGCCCCGTCCTCTCTGTCTCACTCTCCCTCTCAGGGATCGCATCGATGGCTGTGGCTTTAAACACCACCTGTACACTGATAACTCTCTTGCTACTGAGCTGCACACTCAAACACCCAACCACCTGCTCACACCTCCCCTTGGGAGTCTAACAGGCATCTGAATCCTAACAAATCTAGAAAAGGACCTTCATTCCTACCCTTCCTGCTTTGACTCTCCCTGTGCTCTCCATTAAGAAAAGTGGGACCACCTCGCTGCTCCACCAAAACCTAATCGTCATTCTCAGCTCTTCCCTTTTCCTCTAATCCATCTGTGAACTCTGTCAGTTTTATCTCCAAAATATCTTCCTAATCCTCCCACTTATCTCCATTACCACTTTCCCATCCTCTCTGGCCCAGACGATTGTCCTAGCCACCTGGCTAATCTCGCTTCCTTCACCCTCGCTCCCCACAATGCATTCTCCACACAGCAGCCAGTGTGAACTTGTTAGAATGAAAATTAGATCATGTTAATCACCTGATGAAAACCCTGAACTGTTATCCCAGGAACGCCAGCATATCTAGTTCTGCAAAACACCATGCTAACGGATTAAAGGAGAAGAAGTGCATGAGCATCTCAGCTGATGCAGAGAAAGCATTCGACAAAACTCAAACTTTTTCCATGATAAAAATTAAAAATAGAAGAGAACTTCCTTAACCTGAAAAAAGTGATAAAATGCATTTTAAAAAAAAAAGAGCAGAAGTAAAAGAGATTGTGGTGCTGAGGAAGCTGAGTTCTGGATTGCAATGTTAAATTGAGTGGTCAGAGTAGGCCATGCTGAGAAGGAAAAGCATAAGAAGTCTGAGAATGGGAAGAAATAGGTTGGAGGGTGGGGAATGAGTCAGACAGGGAATGCAGGGAGCTTTAATTGCATCAGTAACGTTGTCTTTCTTATACTTGGTAGTAGGTTCATTTATTACCTGCATCCTTTGGTTTGCCTGAAATATTTCATCATGATATATATATATATATATATATATATATATATATATATATATATATATATTGTTTGTTTGTTTGTTTGAGATGGAGTCTCACTCTGTCACCCAGGCTGGAGTACAGAGGCGCGATCTTGGCTCACTACAAGCTCCGCCTGCTGGGTTCACACCATTCTCCTGCCTCAGCCTCCCAAGTAGCTGGGATTACAGGCGTGAGCTACCACGCCTGGCCCATAATATTTTTTAAAGAGTGGATTAGAAGCCTTAGTGGCTGGACACCAGCTAGGCCAATGGGGAGAGGCTGAGCTAAGACAGTAGCAGTGAGGATGAGGAGGGTCTGTGTATACCCACCATACCAGGGACAGGGATCCTTAGGGGGTTATGACTGGCTGAGCATGGGAGGAGAGAAGAGAGACGTTGAGGATGACTTGCTGGTCACTGCACGAGTGACTGGAGAAGGGTGGTGCTGTGCCCAGAACATATGAAGAGAAGCAGACCTAGGGTGAGCAGTGAACAGGGCGGGGGGCCCTGAGCTCAGTTTTGGACCAAGATGTCTCTGAGGTACTGGCTGATGTTCAAGAGCAAAAAAGAGGAAAGAGATGAAAGTGTGTGTCCCATCTATGGCTCTGTGATGCAAAGGTTGCCAGGTTTCTAGCCAGATATGAAGGGCAAGACCCAGGCTCAAGCTGGAATTCTATTCCCCCAAAGCATCTAGGTGCTCAGGTGCAGCTCACACCCCTGGATTCCATGCTCAGAAACTCTGGAAACCCCCCTCTCCCCTAGGGCCCCAGCCCAAGCCACTGCACAGACTACTCAGGGATTGTCAGAGCTGGGAAGGACCTCAGAGGTCAACTAGTCAGTAGCACCCCCTTCTTTTAATAGTTCTAAATTTTAAAATTGATTTACATTCACATAAAAATTGCAAAGAGAGTACAGAGTTCCCATATCCCCAACGCTCAGCTTCTCCTATGATTACCATCTTACACTGGTATATTTATCATAATTAATGAACAAATTTTGATACATTATTGACTAAGGACCACACTTAGGCATCATGTCTCATTAGGCTCCTCTAGACTGTGGTGCTTTCTCAGGCTTTCCTTGTTTTGGATGACCTTGACAGTTTCGGGGCGTGCTGGCCAAGTATTTTGTATGATGTTCCTCAGTTGGGATTTGTCTGAGGTTCTCTCCTTCCCCTCCTTTTTAAAGTAGCAGAGGTGGCCTCCTTCCCCCTCAAACAGAAAGAGGGAATAGCTACGGTTAAAGCCTGAGGTAATGGCAGAAGAGCCTCAGCCTCAATGCATCTCTGCAGACTCTGCGAGGCTCTCAGAAACGTAGTCTAGAACAATCCCTCATTTATAGACCAGGAAGCTGCTCTCCCCAGCCTCCACTCCCCTTTTCTGGGCAGGAATATCCCCATCACCCACCCACTTCAGTTGCATACATCTCCTTCCCACATGAATTTCCTGTCCCACAGGGACCTACAAATAGACAATCTCTCTTATTGTACTGATCTCCAACAGCCAGCCCCCTCCCAACCATACACATACTTGAATTGATCGTTGCTGCCAAAATGTACAGTCGTCCCTCGATACCAGTGGGGAACTGGTTCCAGGACTTCCTCATGGATACCAAAATCCATGAATGTTCAAGTCCCTCATATAAAATGGTGTAATATTTGCATATTACTAATGCACAGCCACCCCTATACTTCCAATCATCTTTAGATTAGTTGTACCACCTAATGCATGTAAATGCTATGTAAATACCTGTTATACTATATTGTTTAGGGAATGATGACAAGAAGAAAAGTCTGCACATGTTCAGTATAATCACAAGTTTTTATCAAATATTTTCTATCTGTGGTTGGTTGAATTCACAGATGCAGAACCCATGGATACAAAGAGCTGACTGTAATTATATTCAGATCATTTAGCTCAGCCAGATGGGTCAGTGAGTCAAGGACTGCTTTGAGAGGTTAGCCAGAAAAATGTACATTCAAAGTCTTGTTTCACCATTTCAAGGGCTCGTGAAACTTCTGGGAATGAAACAGATTCCAATGAGGAATCCCTGAGACAGGGCAACATATGGAACACACACTGTCTATGTGAAATTAGAGGTGACCAATCTCCCCAGCACCTTTAGACCACGGAGTACACCCAGAACACTCAGGTTTGTCAAGACCCAGCCTCTGGTGTCCAGCAGACCTGGGCGAATCCCAGCCTGTTGTCCTGCTAGTACCTAACTGGGTGAATCCTCCGCACCTCCCTTTGACATTCTGTAAAATGGGGATAATGTCGAACTCAGAGGCTTTGGTGCGGACTGAGTGAGACAAAGCCCAGCACAGTGTCTGGCCAAGCTCGATAGCTGTTGGTATTATCATTGCTGTTATTATCACCAGACACTGACAACATGGCCTGCTCCTTTTCCCTCTGCCATTCTCACTTGCCAGCGGACTGTGGGTGGAACAACACACAGACCTAACACTCTTCTAGGATCCATATTCTTTAAGGCAGTTACCAAAAGGGAACATTTCTAAGTCAACTGAGGCCCAGGAAGCAGCTCAAAACTCAAAATAACCTTTAAGATAGGGGACACTTTTGACTTCATCTGGATTGCCTTGGCTGGAGACAGGTACTCTTCGGGAAGGTCTCTGCATGTTCTTCCGCTAAGCAGTGCTTTTCCAACTGTAGGTTGCACCCCATTACTTGGATATTGAAATCAGTTTGGTGGGCTGTGACCAGGAAAGAAGAAAAGAAGGAATGAAGGAAGGAGGGAAGGAGGGAGGGAGGGAGGGAGAGAAGCAGGGAGGGAGGGAGGGAAGGAGGGAAAGACTGGACTAAAATATCAGAGGGCATCATTTGTAGAAAGTACAATATTACTTCAGGAAATTTGTTTTACATGTGTGTGTGTGCTGGGTCATGATATAAAATGTCTTTCTTTCTACGGTTAGTGGTCAAAGAAGTATGTGAACCACTACTCAAATGTCGGGGACAGTGAGGTATAAGCAGTGTTTATTAAGCCCATCGAAAGAACAAAACACAAGGGAGTACTTTTATGACCAAGGGAGTCAGGACTAAGGATAGAGACTGAACGGAAGGTACTGGAAGGTGTTGGAAACTTTCCCACTCCACCACAGGCCCCACCCATACCTCAGGTTATTATGGTATCCATTTCTGGCTCCTTTCAGGGATTAGCAGTTTAAAAACTAAACACCAACCCCTGAAATCATAAGGGCTTGTGTCCTCGTTGGCAGGGGCAGAGGGAGAAAGGAGGGCTCTGTCCTATTGTCAGTGCCATGGGAGCAGGCCTGAGGATGAGGGGCTTCACAGGAACCCTGAGTTCCATCTTGGACCAGCTGTTTTTGAGGTGCTGGTTGAAGTTCAATGGCAAAAAGGAGAAATGAGATGAAAGTGTGTGTCATATTTATGGTTCTGTAATGCTCAGACTCAAAAAAGCCCTAAGGGATAGAGTAGGAGGTGGCAGCATTAACAAGTCCAGGGCAACTGGAGCGAGAGAGCTGCCCAGGCCTGAGAGAGACCATTTGATCCAGCCCCCGCTTCCATGGCTTCCCCCACCCTCAGGGTAGAGTGGGGTCTCTTTAACCCTGCTCACAAGGGCCCCTCATCTCCCTGGCCCTCTGGATCTGCCGAGCCTCATCACTCCCTCCAGGGACTCCAGAGTCCACACATCCTAAAAAGCTTGCAGTTCCCACACCATCCTCTCTTTCTTCTGGCCTTGAATGTTTTACTCAGACTTTTCTTTTTCCTGGAACATGTCAGGCCTTGTTCCTCAGGCCTCATCTTAGCAGTCACCTCCTTCCTGCTAACACCAGGGGTGATTGTTTCTCTGTGACTTCCCTGTGGAGGCATTTCTGCATGTAGCTGCCGCCCTTCTAAGACGGAGCTCCTGAGGCAGGAACTGGGTCTAGCTATACTCCCACAACTTTCTGGAGCACTCCATGACACAGCATGGATGCTGGATTGATTGATTATTGAATGAGTAGGTAGAAAGGGTGAGCACTCTCCTGGGGTCAGATCTGGCAGGCTTTGTATCAGGAATTTCCAGGAGTCTGAGCCATTAGGGAGTCGCTGGGAGCAACAGGATTTGCAAGTCTAGGGATAGATCTCAGTCAGAGAGGCCAAGAGACCACACCAAGTCTGAAGCCTGCACTGCCTAGAGTCACAGAAAGATGGGTGGGGCCAGCCAGGACTGTGCTACAGAACAGGTTATGGCTGTTCCCTTAATTTTTGTTGCCCTGGCCATGAGTGGACTGTGGGGGCCCAGCTCCTGTCCCCAGGGCACCTTAAAAGAACTTTAGGATCTTTGACTCCAAGTTCAAATGTGGGAAAGCCACAAGGTGTGTTTGGGGCGTGGGAAAAAGAGCAGAATGGCTGGGACAGTGTCACTCCAAAGCCAGGTGGGGAAGAGGCAGAGGAGCAAGGGATAGATTTTATTTGAGGAAATGGGAGACCACCAGAGCGGGGGTGGGCTAAACCACTGCCCCCTATAATTGAATGCAAATTTGGGTATGTTTTTCTAGGAAGACCATAGCTTTCATCAGATTCTCAAAAATGTTGTGACCACCTACAGTAAGCAAATACTGCATGGAAGGCTCTTGAGCACATTTTGGGAATATTGCTCTGGCAACAGCACATGGTAGAACGGAGTTTCACCAGTTTCCCTGGTGGAAAAACATGTTCCATGGCAAGATAGTGTGTAAATATTTGAGATCTGACATTTGGTTGTTTGATAAGATTGTCTGCCTCTCTGCATATGAGTTAGAAATTTTTCTTTTCTAATAAAGGTTGCCCCCTACTTTATATGCCTGTTACCTTCATGGGAACTAGCTGTTCAGCTGTGTGGCCTCAGCGGTCTCCAACAGTGATGTTTTTCCCTTTGTTCCTTACCTGACAGCTAACTTTCAGTCTGCCTGGGGCTCCCATCCTTATGTCCTGCTTCTCATCTCATTCTAGATTGGTCTGGTGCTGGGTCATTTATTCATTAAACAAATTTCTTTTGAGTGCTGACTATGTGCTAGGCATTGTGCTAAGTGGTGCAAAAGTCCTGCTTCTTGACTTCAATAAACTACAGTGCAGTGGTGGGGGCACCTAAGGAGTCAGGCAGTGACAGCATGTGATAAAGGAAACCAGCATAGGGTTCCACTCCAGCAGAGGGGAGGGAACTAGTAGGGCCTGGGTCACCTGAGACAGGACCTGTGACAGCAAGGGGGGAGGGGAAGGCCACCAAGGTGAGGCCTCATCTTGTTTCTGTGCCAAAAATGCCTTGACGCCTCATTGAGTTTGAACTTTCCTCAAATATTCAGATGAATCTCAGTCTAGCTCTCTGTATAGTCTAAGACCAACTACTATTAGCTTTGTGTGTTTTTTCCTTTTTCTTACAGGTTCTAGGAGGTTGTCTTAGTCTGGTCTATTTTTTGCCACTATAACAGAATACCACAGACTGGGTAAATTATAATGAACAGAAATGTATTTAGTTCTGAGGCTGGGAAGTCCAAGAGCATGGAGTTGGCATCTGATAAGGACCTTTGTGCTGCATCGTCCCATGGCAGAAGGCAGAAGAACAAGAGAGCGCTTGAGAGCAAGATAGGAAGGGGGGCCAAACTCACTTTATAACCACCCTACTTTTCTGATTACTAACCTACTCCTGTGACAAGAACATTAATCCATTCGTGAAGTCTAGAGCCCTCATGACTAATCACCTCTTACTAGGCTCCGCCTCCAAACACGATTGCATTGGGGATTAAATTTCCAACACATGAACTTTGAGGGACACATTCAAACCATAGCAGAGGTGGAAGCAAAAAGGAAGAAAACTAGCTTCAGGAGAAACTCAAAATGTGTTATTAAGATAGTCAGGTTTGTTATTTTTGAGAATGAGGACATTTGTCTCCCTTTATCCCAGGGATGGCCCCCGAATCATCCACCTGGCAGGTGCCTCTTCTGCCGCTCATGGCTCTGCCCACATCTGTGCCTAGATCTCCTAGGCAGAGACACCTTGAGAGGATATCTCTCCCTCTCCCAGTCCAGTGGGTGATGGGAGGCAGGCTGCCCTTCCCTTTCTGTCCTGTTCCTTAATTCTCCACCCTACCACCATGACTGCACAAAGGGTACTTGATGTCAGACCTACCTAAATGGGGGAATTGTGACACCAGAGAGAAATCCACAGAATGTGGAGAAAGAGAGAGGGAGAGAGGGACTTTAAGGAATCAGCTCACATGATTGGGGAGGCTTTGTGCGAGCCTAAAATCTGGAGGGTAGGCCAGCAGGCTGGAGACCCAGGGAAGAATCCAAAGTCAGTCTGCTGACAAAGCTCCCTTGAGAGACAGGGAATTCTACCTGAATGACTGACTTTGGACTCCGTTCCATCGAATGGATGAGGCCTACCCACAGTATAGAAGGCAAACTGCTTCACTCAAAGTCTACTGATTTAAATCTTAATCCCATCCAAAAATACCTTCACAGAAATATATTGGATGATATTTAAGTAGCTATCTGGGTACTGTGGCCTAACCAAGTTGGCACATGTGATTAACTATCACTAGCCTCCCTCAACTGTAGTTCTCTAACCTCCCCATCATAAGGCAAGGCTGTTGTCACTGCAAAAGAGACAGAAGGCAGAAGCATCGCATAACCCAGGAATGAGATAGTGTGCTCCTTCTACCCACGTGCACCCTACCCTGAGTGTTAACATCTCATTTCTTTCCTCTTGCTTCTTGCTGTAAGTTTTAAATGGATTTAATAAACCCTGTTATTGAAGCATCTTAATTTGACCTATGAGTCTTTCCCTTCTGTGACCTTTGAAATAGCTTACCTGGTAGTGTACTTGAAGAGTACCATTACAAAAGGGAATTTCCACACTACAATGCCTAAAAACTTGGCATCGGCTTTGCAATGACACTTTCCTGAACCTTAGGCCACCTCTTGCTTATTCTCAGTAGTCAGCAGGGAATGGAGACAATGAGGATCAAAATCCACCCCATCCCTGTGTTGGTAAAACAGCTTTCCACAAATATTTGTATTTTTCAGGAACTAGAGGAGTGGGAGAAACTGTGAAGTTACCTTCTGTTCTGCAGTAGCTGGTTATTAGGAAGGACAGGAACACTAGTCAAAGGCCCTGACAAACGACAGAAAATAAAAGCAGAAGTCCCCAGATCCATCTCCCTCACTACCTCCTCCTGTAAGAGCTCCAACCTTTCAGGCTGTCTTGAAGGTCACTTCCAGGTTTGAAAGGGAGTTTGTTTTCTCCTGATGTGTACACGATGTGTACAAGAGGGAAGAATGGCACAGGCTGGCAGTTCAGCCTCTTAAAAACAGGAATACCTCTTTTTTAACCCCCAACACCTATAGCCTGCCTGGCACATTATTTTTTTCAGGTAAACCTTACTGAATTAAAGAGAAGTTGGAAAGAACGCCTGCTGACTGGCCTGCAGGGAGCACTGGCCTGCCATGAGCACTGGCTGCAATGAGTATGGGCTGCAGGCCAGTCAGCAGGTTCTGTCTCAAACTTCTGGCATCCCATGTTAGAAATCTGAATGCAACTGTCCTGAGAAGCACCGTTAGACATGGTGATTATGTTCTTTAGAACCATGGCACTGCACCAAAGGAGTTAAGTAGGATTTTTCTCAACTGGTCTAGGGGCATAACTAGCATATTATAACATTATTTTCCTATGCAAAATGCACTGCTGATTTCAACAGTGGATTTCAGAATCCACTTATCTATAAACTGAGAACCGCCTATACATACCATCCCTATTGCCACTCAATCCTGAAATTCAAACAAGTTCAAATACCCATGAGTCTACAGGAAAGGGTTTGGTTTCCACCTAAGGTGCATGCAGTGATTCTGCACTCTACCCTGCACCTTGTAGCTTAAATGTTGTAACACCCCAGTGCAGAAATTGTTCCTTGTTTTCACACCTTCTCAGTGTTCACTCTCAGCCCCTAGCAAATTGTGAATGCAAGAAATAAAGTGATCACCACACTGCTTTTTATTTCCACTCACACCTTCTCTCTGGAAAGTGGGAGGGGTAGGTTGTGATGGGTGGGTGATGGGGAAGAGTATGTGCAGCTGCAACTCCCCCCAACGGCACACCCACGCATTCTCAGGTAGGATGAGCCAAGACATTAATATCCTCATTATTCTTTCACTTAAATTATTCTGCCTGACTTAATCCTCTAGTCTTATCAGTAGAGGAGGAGCTTCTGCCCCTCAGAATGAATGTTGTTAACAGGAAAAAGACTCAGTTTACTAGAGACTTAGTATATTGAATGAACGCCACATGTTAAATGATTATGAACTATAGAGGTTCCTATAGCATCAGGCAATGCAAACTTTCAAAAAAACATATTATGCAAACCTCTTAAGAGTGTCTTAGGAAACAAATTTTGGAGAATATATTTGCAGCCTCATATAGCAGCAATTCTCAGCTGAAGAAGATTTTGCACCCCAGGGGACATTTGGCGATGTTTGAAGACATTTTCAGTTTCCACGATTGGGGGAAGGGATACAAACCAGAGATGCTGCTAAATGTCCTGCAATAACATAGGACAGCCCCAGACAACAAAGAATCATAGTGTCAGGGTTGAGAAACCCTAAGTTAGATGGATATGTCTGGTTTGTCACCATTATGATGTTATCTAGGGAGACAAACCATTAGCAAAACCTCATATTTGCAAAGATTAAAATGAATATAAAGGCAAATGACTTTCTTCTGAATTTTATTTCCTCATCAGTGGTTTACTATACAGGTTTTCATACCGTAATTTAAGAATTTTGAACTTTTCCTTGAAGTTTGATTTTGATTTCTTATTGTTAACCATTTTTCACACGAAAATCAAGTTTTTATTACTCTAGGCAAGTAATTGTTGTGGGAACAGAAAAAACTACAAAGTGTATTGAAATGAAATGACTGGCTCATTCACCCAATGACTGTGGCAGGTTATATTTTCTGAAAGTGGCTGCATCAATATCCTCCTCCTCCACGCTCTTCTTACAGAATGTGACTTTGGCATTCCTCCCATTGAAGGGTGGGGCCTATGTTCCTCCCTCCAGTTGAATCTGGGAGGTTTTTATGACCATGGCACACTATGTGACTTCTGAGGCAAGGTCACAAAAGGCATATAGCTTCCTCTTCCTTATGGTTTTCTTGGAACATCGGGAAGCACAAGCAGCTGCATGTAGGTGTTCTGGCCAAAGTCCCCGGTGGGGCGTTGAAGTCCCACTGTTAGGTCTTCAGCGTTAATTGCCAGACATGTGAGTAGTGACAAGCTTTTAGATGGCTCTGCCCTCAGCCATTGGGTTACCTGCAGCCTTTCAGTCTTTTTAACAAAGGCCCCAGACTTTGTGGAGCAAAGAGAAGCTGTCCTCACCTTGCTCTTTCCAAATTTCTGAGCTACAGAATCTGTAAGTATAATAAAATTATTGGCATTAGGAGAAATACCTAATGTAGATGACAGGTTGATGGGTGCAGCAAACCACCATGGCACGTGTATACCTATGTAACAAACCTGCACATTCTGCACGTGTATCCCAGGACTTAAAGTATAATAAAATAAATAAATTTTTAAAAATGTTATTGTTTTAAGCAACACAATTTGGAGTAATCCTTATGCATCAAGATATACATGGAATAGGAACTCTCCCTCAAATATATATATATATATACCTATCACATTTACCTGTTATATATATTATATATGTTAATATATAACATATACATATGTTATATATATATGTTATATGTATATAAATAAACATTTATCTGCAATAAAACTTCCAAATTACTATACATCATGGACTTTCATTTTTTTTTTTACTTTAAATTTTTTTTATTATACTTTAAGTTCTGGAATACATGTGCAGAACATGCAGGTTTGTTACATAGGTATACATGTGCCATGGTGGTTTGCTGCACCCATCAACCTGTCATCTACATTAGGTATTTCTCCTAATACTATCCCTCCCCTAGCCCCCCCACTCCCCGACAGGCCCCGGTGTGTGATGTTCCTCTCCCTGTGCCCATACATCATGGACTTTCAGGACAGCTGAAAAGTGGTCAAAACCACAAAGTCTAAATTTTTCAATGTCAAAGATCTTCTGTCAAAATCGTAAGTAAGTGGCAAACATGCATGACTCTCCTACTCTGCACCTAAGGCAGACATCACTCATCATAGAACTTTTCCTAATGAGCAGGAATCCAGCCTTAAAATGCTTCTCAATAAAGCTCCCAGCAAAACACGAAAACCAAGTGATCAGGGCTGGCACACAATTTGAAATCACTTTGCCATCCCCAGTGTTCTTTGTAAGAATTGAGGCTGGTTTTCACTGGCTCATCCCCAGACAGAAGGATTTAACTATTGTTTAATCAGGTGCACACAAAAGAATGTATGGCTTTGCAGAACTGTTTGCAAAAATTTTGTTATATTAGCTTCGTACATGAACATTGTGGACATGCTTTTATCATGGTTTTTGAGAATTTGGCCATAAAACAACAATAGCAATCTGTAGATGCCAAGAACCACTTTTATTAAAAACAAATAAACCCAAATCCCTGGTACATAAGAAAAATATTTAACCCCTAAAAAAAAAAACCAGGGAAGAATCTCTAAAAAAACAAAAAGGTAAATATGATGAGATGAACCCATAGTCTAGTCAGTGATTGAAGATTGCCAGCTTTGTGGGATAGTTCAGAGGCAGGGTCTTTGCTTTTGCTTTGATGAGGTGAACACAGAGTGAAAGGGCACAATGGTACATGTATTATTATTATTATTATTATTATTATTATTATTGAGATGGAGTCTCACTCTGTCACCCAGGCTGGAGTGCAATGGCGTGGTCTCGGCTCACTGCAACCTCTGCCTCCTGGGTTCAAGCAATTCTCTGCCTCAGTCTCCCGAAGAGCTGGGACTACAGGTTGCGTGCCACCATGCCCAGCTAATTTTTGTATTTTTAGTAGAGACGGGGTTTCACCATGTTGGTCAGGACGGTCTCCATCTCTTGACCTCATGATCTGCCTTGGCCTCCCAAAGTACTGGGATTACAGGAGTGAGCCACTGCGCCCAGCCATATTATTTTTGATGTTTGTTCAATGCACATTATTTTAACAGGTCTAGGGAAGAGCATGAAGTGAATATGCCCTCTCTTTTTCAATTTTCTGTTTATGAATTTGATGTCTTCACCTACAACTGACAGCTAAATTTCCTCTCTCATCTATCAGGGATTCTGGGAAGCCTAAAGTTGTTTATTTTTAAAAGGAATGTAATAACGGTTACTTGAAGAAAATGACTGAGGTGATTGAATTCCTGGGCAGGCAGGCGGACCACATGACTGAGACAGTTTTTAACCCAAGATTGCAAGGATTCTGCAGACCTCACGCTCATCTATCTTATTCTTTCATGGTGGCCTTTTCAGCTTTCAAGCAAATTACCTATAGAAAAGGGGTGGGGTGGAGAGAGAAAGAAAAAGTCACAGTGACTGAAATTCTCTAATTGTCCTTTTGAGAACATTTTAAAATCATAGTTCACCAAGGAATAATCCTGAGAATGTTGTAGAGGTAACTACAATTATCCTCTGCACCTCTCTGCTTGCTGTCCTGTGGCCCCTTCTCCCTTTCAAACACCCCACTCTCCTCGCATCTCCTTTCCCTGCAAACAATCCTTTGTCTTCATGTGTAGACACTGAAGCCATCCTTTTCCTCCCCAGTCCCTTCTAGGACTTCTCTATTCCACCCTTCTAGAAAAACTGCTTGACTCCTTGGCTAATCCAATAAACTGATTCAAGCTGAGGTGTTATTTTAGTCTTTTCCTACTAGGAGCCACTGCCCCATAGGAAAAAAATAATAATTGAGAACCATATAAATTCAAAGCAAGTGGATTACATTGTCTTGTTTATTTAGAAGACTACATAAAAATTAAAAATTCCAAATAAGGTAAAAAAAAATCTATGGACAGTAAGTTCTCACAACTCTGTATGATACATATTATTGTGTCCATTTTCCTCATGTGGAAATGAAGGCTTAGGCCTGTCAAGAGACTGCTCAGGATCCCAGGATTCAAACCCAGACTGACTTGACTGCAGAGCACATGCTCTCAACTGCCATGCCTCTCTGTCTCCTGAGAGAAGTTTGGGAGATTTAATAGGGTAATCTTCCCTGGGCGGCTTGAAGGAGCAAGGACATTTTACCACCCTGGTTCCTGATAGCCAACATTAAAACTCAGAGCACGTGGTTATGACTGTGGCTATTCTGGAACACTTAGCAAATGACTTGCTTTGGAGAGCTTAGGTTTTACTCATTTAAACACCAATTTTTAAATGTGCATGGAAATTTTTCTTAAGTGTATTATGTAATTTGTTTGCCTTCTTAAGCTGGATATTCTAAACATAAGTTAGCCTCTAGCCTTTCCTTATATACTCAAGGTTCACCAACATGAACATTAGCTACAGTTAACGAGGCTGTAAGACAGCAATGCCTTTGGGGACTGTTGAAGTACAGAGGGCTGTTTTTAACCTACATTTTAAGTGGTCCCAGACTACTGTGCTATTTGAGTTCTTGTGTCTGCTCCTCATAGATTTTCTGCCATGCTGTCAGCCTCTCAGTTATTGACTCTCAATGCTATTAGTGTCTGTCTGTATTAGTCCTTCTTTGCCCCCTTACTTTTGCTACTTAAAATCTGTGGTGGGCGTGAAACTCAGATATTTAGGCATATTTTGCCTGAAAAAAGAGTAAATACTCATCAAATGGCTGAGAGGATTTCTTGTGAGAAGGAAACATGGGTTTTTGTGAATGGAATTTATAACATCCATTTTAACCTTCTCATTCTCTGGGCCAATAGTTAATGAGATTGTTAGTTAACCAGTGCACTAGCAATATCCATTGGTACCTGCCTGCCCACAACCCCCTTGGAGGGAAACTGTCTAGCTACCACAGCCCCTGCTTCTTTGGTGGCCATGTTTTGCCCTGTTTAACCACAATCTCCCCACATCACACACACTATGTGTGGTAGAATGAGTGCAGCATCTGACCCCAGGCCAACCAGACTGGCCAGTGACCGTGATAAAAAGACAAGCTGCACTTAGCAGATCCTAACTATGGAGAATGTGAATTGGGAAACAAGGCAAAGTGGTTAGGGGTGGTTTTGAAAGAGAATGTCCACAAGTAGAATTGAATTGTATCCCACGAGGACACGATGTAGTATGGGCCATCTGAAGTGCTGAAGAAGTAGACTCTCTAAGAAAGCTGGTAGAAGAAAGAGAAGGAAGCAAACGCACAGAGACAGGCAGCAATGCTCTGAGGCAGAGGCGGACATGGAGAGGAGAGGATGCTGAGATTTGTCCATGTGCATCTTCACTCTAGACACCATTTTTCTTGAGGCAACTTGAGTGAGTCTCTGTGTCCCCCACGGGAAAGAAGCTAACTATAAAAACGAACTTTTTGAGAGCTGAGTTGTTAGTGTTAACTTCCTATATTTTCTGGACCCTATGAAAGCAAAAAAAACACCAGCAATTTAACTATACAGGAGAAATAATGGATATTGAAATGAAGACACTTAGACTCGCAATTAACACAAAAGATAAGTGTGCATGAGAAAAAAGACAATAGCTGATAGTGATGGTGAAATACAGGACCCACATCCTATTATAGCTTCAATAATCAATCCAACAACACAGAAGCAAAGATGAAGAATCCACTCAATGAAAATGTAAAACAATCAGAAGAAAGCCCTTGAGTCCTGCTAAATTTCCTTTTTAATTAAGCAATTACAACAGGCATACAACTTCCCATTACGTGTGTGTGTGTATGTGTGTGTGTATGTGTGTATGTGCATATGTGTGTGTGTGTGTGTGTGAGATCATTCTGGGGAACGGGATGGAATCATTCCTGTGAGGTCCTACAACAGCCTGATGAAGAGGCACAGCTAGACAGGTGCTCCCATGGGAGCTAGGGGCAGACAGTAACAGAAATTAGCCAAACAAGAGACCAAGACCCATTTCTTATCCATTCTTGATGGCTCTGGAGAATGCAGCTCCACTGATGCCTTGTTTCCACTACAGAGGTGAGTGAGGCCCACTGGAGGACTTCTGAACACTGTTTCACACCATCAGGGACTCCACCTAAGGTCAGAAAATGGTGAACACACACCTTCCCTATGCACCACACATCACTCAAAAATCTCTGGCCTCCAGGGATTTCTCAGCAATTGTCCTGGCCTCATACCTAAGGCTGGGAAGAGGCAGATGGAGCTGCCATCCATCCAGCTGATGGCCCAGGTTCCAAAGGCATAATTGCTGGAACAGAGAGGCGGAGGCAGGCCAGTCTGAAAGGAAGCCAGGCCTTTGTTATCATGGGCAACAAAAGAGAATGTATCAAATCCGAAGGGTTGGGGAAGATGATAAACAAAAACAAGTAGCAAGGCTGATGGCTAGGAGAGGTGAGTCACACATCATGCTGGGTATCCAGGGCCGGGTTCTTCAGGCAGTACCTAGAATACAGAAAGCCCATGCTGGGAGGCTGCCGCCCCGGCTCACCCAGAGGAGCCAGGCAGAGGGGGCCGAAAACCAATAACTTCCAGACACAATATTCTCTGCCTACAGTAGGTAGTTAGGGGAGAGAGATAAAAGGGGAAGGGGAAAGAGAGGAGGATGTGGAATGGGTGAGACAAAGGTGGGCAGAGGGACAGGGAGAGCAAGAGATCATTTAAGGGTACAACTAGAGTTGACAAACTGTGGCCTGAGAAGTTAATATCTTCCCCAGAAAACTTCCTTCATTCTTATGGCAAAACCAAATCACTACCAAAACCTAAAAAATGATTGAGGTGATCTTTGTGAAACAAGAAGTTTCCATGAGATCATAATTAACAAGTCAGTAACCTTTGGTCTAGATTCTGGAAGCTAAATTTGCATCGTGCTGGTAGCTTCACTAACTCCCCCTTGAACGCTGTGTCAACAAATCTTTTAAAACTGAACCCTGGCACAGCATAAATTAGAAAGGGAAGCAGAATAACCTCCCCACCTGCCTCAGAGGCTCTGACTCCTGCTTGCAAAATTGCTAATGTTCCAGAGTAACCAAGGATGAAGCTGGGACACTCAGTGAGGAGACCAAGGGGATCCCTGGCCCAGGAGCATTTCCTGGGCGGCAGGGAGCACACCCTGAAGTGAGAGAGGCCAGAGGGATGTGGGTCCCTCCCTGGAGACACTGGGTGACAGGCTCAGTGCTGGGCACCTGACCCATCAGCAGCATCTGATCCACCTGGCCACACCCTCCTTCTAGAGGCATTTCTTTCCTTGCATCCCGGGATATGACACTTGCCTGGGTTTTCCCCTCTTCTTTCATTATAGCTGCTCTTTCTGAGAGTCCTTTAAAAAAATGCATCATGGAAAACTCCAAACATTCATAAAAGCAGAGAAAATAGTACAATGAAGGCCTACGTATCCATCTCTAAGCTCCGACAATGATCAACTTGTAGCCTATCTCAATTGCACTAGACATCCCCTACCCCCAACTTCCCTGCTCCCAGAGGATTGTAAAGTAAATCCCAGTCATCGTTTCAGCAGTTAGAATTTCATTGTGTGTCTCTGCAAGACTCCATCTATAAAATCAGAACCTCAATTTACCCAACCACACTCCCCCAATACAACTCTTTAATAGCATCAAATACCTAATCAGTGTTCACACATCCCCAATTGTCTGATAATAAATAGCTTTTAAAAATAGTTTATTTGTTTCATTCAGGTTCTAAATGAAGTTCATACGTTGCTACTGCTTAATATGTCTCTAAAGTGTCTTTCAACTTATAGATTCTCCTTCCCTTTTTCTCTTTTTCCTGACATTTTTCTGTTGAAGAAACTGGACTGTTTGCCCTATAGATTTTTCCACATATAGGATTTTCCAAAATCCAAATAGAATTTGGATTTTGCTCATTGCATCCCATAGTTTCTTTACCATGTTATTCTGTCCTTTTTATTTCCTGTACTTTGGTAATCAGATCTAAATGTTTGATCTGGTTCAGGGTCTACTTTTATAATGTTAAAAACTATTCATGATCATTGCTTAATGATTGTTTCCACTCTTTCAGTAGGGAGTTGCAAAATGGTGATATCATTCCTCCTTCATGTACTAGCTGCAATACTCCTATGAAGGGAAACTTCTTTTGTCAGCTCTTTGGTGACCCTGAAGTTCATGTAGGAAAGTCAGCCTGCCCGGCTGATCCCAGGAGCACCATCAGCTGGCTGTGTGACTATGGGCAAATCATCCAATCCTTCTGAATTTGTTTTCCCATTTATACAGTGGGAATGATCATATGACCCAACTTCGAATTGTTATAAAGATTAAAGGAAATAACACAAGTCAGGGGCCTGACACGTAAGCCTTTCATGGAAGTGAACTGGCATCCTTATTTTCATTGTTAGAGTGAGGATTTTTCAACCAGCGCCCAGAGAAAACATCACAAGGATGCTGAGCAAGGTTTGGCTTTTTATCATTTGTCATTACCACAGGCTTATTGCAGCCATCAGTTTAGCTGTTCCCAAAAAAGAGAGTCATCCCTCTGCATAGAGCTTTTATCTGATGCTTATGACAGTAATCAACAATCTGCTCTGCAGAGAGGGCTCCGGGAAGACCCACAGGAGTCAGCCATGGGAGTCACAGCAAGGCAAGTGCCAGAGGCCTGTGGAGGCCTGGGCAGTCCCGTCCTCCCAGGGAAGAGTGTTGGACACAGAAAGGATTCAGTGGTGCCCTTTGAGCAACAGCTCTGGTCCAAGATGTCCTTTCTTTGGAAACTCCTATTAGCTACATATTTACTCTTCCTCTGGTTTTGGCAAGTCAGTAAATTAATTTAACCCTATTGTCAGAACAGTTGGTTGCTCATTTACAACGAACATAATTTTATAAGGCTTTATAAAAATCACACAGGCATATTTAGGGCCTAAAGGCATTCATCTCAAAATTGGCTCTCAGTTTGATTTCTGTATTTCTGTGCATATTAAATCTTTATATTGTCACTTACATTCTCTTAATGGTCTCCACTGAGTGGAAGATACTGGAGTCTCTGGTAGAAGTTATAAAAACAAGAAGCCAGTTGTAAGTCTAATTCCGTTTTAAAGGTAAATCTTATTTGAGTGGCTTAACACCAGCAGTTGAGTTTCTGAGTATTTAGCAAGAGTCTGTGCTCTTCAGCCTTTCTTTAAAAGAGGTTGGACAGCTAGTGTGGCCTGTAGGGAGACGACATTCATGAGGGACTCAGCCTATGGCTTTTCTCCCTTTGAGGCCTACGAATAAAACAAATAAAATGGTGTCCTGTTTCCTCAGCACATGCGCTTGTTAAGAGCTTAGACAGTGGATCAGGATCAACCTGGTAGCTGCTTAACCCTGAGAAAGTACTTAACCTCTGTGAGCCTCAGCTTCCTTATCAAAAAAATGAGATAATGAAAGTTGTGGTGGTGGGGATTGAATGAGATAGGGTAGGGAAAGCACCAAGCACAGTGTCTGGCAAATCTTAAGTACTCAAGAATTGTTAACTGCTATCATTATTAGAGCTATGACTAGATTCTGGTTATGGTTGGCCATGTGTTGTATTGCAATTTTTGTTTAAAAGAATATTTAGTTGGAATATCACTCAACAATAAAAAGGAAGAAACTCGATGTAAGCAACAGCTAGGTAGATCTCAATGGCATTGTGCTGAGTGAAAAAAAAAAATCTCAGGCTGGGCACATTGGCTCATGCCTGTAATCCCAGCACTTTGGGAGGCCGAGGTGGGCAGATCACCTGAGGTTGGGAGTTCAAGACCAGCCTGACCAACATGGAGAAAACCCATCTCTATAAAAATACAAAACTGTCTGGGCATGGTGGCACATGCCTGTAATCTTAGCTACTCGGGAGGCTGAGGCAGGAGAATCACTTGAACCCGAGAGGCAGAGGTTGCGGTGAGCCAAGATCGTGCCATTGCACTCCAGCATAGGCAACAAGAGTGAAACTCCATCTCAAAAAAAAAATCTCAAAGGGCCACGTTATTTATGAATCCATTTATATAACATTCTTGAAATGACAAAATTAGAGAGATGAAGAACAGATTAGTGGTTGCCAGGGTAACATTGGAGATGGTGGAGACGAGTGTGTGACTATAAGGGAGCAGCACAAGGGACATCTTTGTGGTGATGGAATGGTTCTGCCTTGATGGTCGTGGTCACATGGATCTACACATGTGATAAAATGGCATAGAACTATGCACACATTGTACCAGTGTCAGTTTCCTGCTTGGTGTTTTTTTTAGGTATGTAAGATGTAACCACTGGGGTAAAGATACATGGGACCTCTCTGTACCATCTTTGCAACTTCCCGCGAATCTATAATTATTTCAAAACAAACATTTTAAAAAGTCAATATTTAGTGTTTACATTATGAAGTTGAAAAACAGCTCACAGCTGAGCCACATAGAGTATTATCATCACATTTCCTTTCTTGTGTGACATTTTTCCCTTAGATTTAAAAATTCCCTCACATTTTATTTGCTTTGGTTTGCTTTTTACCTAGTATCAATTCTTTCCAACAATGTCAAAAGTATAAATTCCTTCTCAATGCAGTTGACTACATTAGGAAACTCATCAGTTACTTTTTTTTTTAAGTGACATCCCTGCTAGAACTCTGCCCTCCAACTCCAATCTGTACTTGCTGTTCTCTAGGCTGATTCTGTACCCATTTGCATAGGAAAGATCTACTAATCTACACACCAAAGTCTTACATTGTGTTTTTTTTTACAGGATACTGAGATTTCAGAATATGGTTTGTTGCTGTTGTTGCTCACCTGTGTTTTCTGACTTTGCTGCAGGTAACTTGTATTACTTGTGTTATGTATGCCATCATTACTATATCCTTTATCATGGAAAGAGAGAAGGGCATACAGTTCAGAAAAAAAAAATAAAAGGTCTCACTTTTAGCTGCTTGAGCATGTACATGGAATCCTGGGGAACATACAGTCAGGCCTGTGCACCTCTCCAACTGACACAGTCCATACAGGGTGGTACTGGGGGCCTTATAGTGGCTCCCGTGCATCTTAATCTGGGCCCTCCCTTTGTGCGCTGGGGCAGGACTCCAGTCCTATACTCTTGGTGGACACCACAGGGTCACCCTTATTCATAGCCACACGCTTTCATTACCACTTTCTTACCTTTCCCTCTTCCAAACCCTTAGATATTTGTAGCCCCTTGGTCTCCCGCCCCCACCCAGGCTCTAGCCCCAGTTATTGGCATTTTTGACAAATTCTAATCCTGCAGCTGGATGAGGAGGGGGATGTAAGGAAGCTTCAGATCCTGAAGCTGGAAGCAGGCAGGGTAGAGGCCATCACAGAGATCTGGCTCCAGAATGAAGTATTTAAAAGACAAGCAAACCGAACTCATTGCTAAGTCTAACCTCATTCTGATTCTTTCAAACCTTACTAGACCAAAGAGGCTCTAATCTCCTTCCCAGACTTGTGGTAGTTTACAAAAAGCAACCTCCTCTTAGGTACCAGGAAAAGAGGGGGGAGGAAGTTCTACCAAACTGTGTAAAAGGGATTAAAGAAGCAATGTTTGGGGATGGAAGGGAGGAGAGCTCTCACATCTGCAGAAGGGGCAGCTGACAGTGCACCTCTGTCTCCTGAGGTAAAGCAGGACCCTGTGCGGGCCACCTTCCCACCTTCGGGGTCAGAGGAGCGGTGAAGTGCGCGCCCACCATCCCCTCAGCTCACCGGCGGGGCCCTGGCTCCCGCCTTGCACGCGCATGCGAGTGTGTGTGGACTCTCAGAAGCATGTGTCTGTGCAATAAACTCTGAAGAGAAGAGCTTTAAAATCCAGCGTATTGGCCGGCAATAAACCTCATCACCTCAGAAATTCTGAGGCAAAAACACACAAAGTAAACCACAGAGCATTCTCAGTGATTTTCTGTTGCAGATTTTCTATGAATGGATTTTCTGCCTTCTGGTAAAACACAAACATGTTTAACGGGCCCCCAAATTCCCCTGGCTGGATTTGTTTTACATTCAGGAGCAAAGCCATTAATGCAATTTCAGGTAAGCCTCGAATTCTCTATCTTCTATAATCTCTCAAGGTTCTTCAGTATATTAAAACACTTCCCAAGAACATTATAAGAAAAATGATCTTCTAAAGTACAGCTCAGCATATAATAGGATTTTTTCTTCTGTGTCTGTCCCATAGTTCCTCTTAACAAAATGTCATGATTCAAGTACAGAAGTCCCTGGGAATCCTTTGGCATAATAAAGCATTTTAAATTTGTTAATTTGATTTAAGAAATAGCCTGGGTAACCTATGTAGAAGACATATCAAACCTCCACTTAATATGTGGTATATTTCCTTAAGTACATAAAAGACCTTGGAAATGCTTAATTTAATCAAGATTATTCACCTTGGCACAATACTGCTGTGCGGATAGCCAGTGCACAGATGAAAGCAAATCTATTTGCATAAGGCAAGAAGAGCTGTGATTTTACTGTGGAGGCAGAACATGGGCTGGATACAATTCCAAAATTTAATTATTAGAAATAGAGACAGCACAATTTTTTACCATAAATTGAAATTTTTTGAAAAGCATGTTAGGATCTCTCTGTCTGTCTCCCTGTGACATTAGCCACTTACATAGACAAATCATTAACAAAGTACATGGTTCTACTGAAACATTCAGAGTTTTTATTAAAATCCCAGGAAAAGACAGTGCGGTGGCTCACACCTGTAATCCCAGCACTTTGGGAGGCTGAGACGGGAGGATCACTTGAGGCCAGAAGTTGGAGACTAGCCTGAGCAACATAGTGTGACCCCTATCTCTACAAAAAATAAAATAATTAGCCAGGAGTGGTGGCACGCACCTATAGTACCAGCTGCTTGGGAGGCTGATGCAGGAGGATCGTTGAGCCCAGGTGTTTGAGGCTGCAGTGAGCTATGATCTTGCCACTGAGCGACAGAGTGAGACCTGTTTCTAAAAAACAAACAAACAAACAAAAAATCTGAGGCAGTTAGAGCCTAATGGGAAAATATATGAATCATAGGGAAGAGATGAACTACTCATTGTTTCCTTAATTTTATTTTTGTGCCAAAAGTTGTTTTATTAATGATAGAACCATGTTGTTAAATTAAGAGACCTTAGGCCCTTTTATGCTAGCCAACATCTTTAAAGATAACGCAATTCATTTCCTGTCTCCTTTTCCTCCCCTGCCTACTCTTCCTCTGTGCTTAGGAGCCTCTTGGATTCTCCAGGGAAGTGTTCATCTCTGCTCCTTTTTCTGAGTTTTAGCAAAATTGTCATCTCCTGGTCTTCACCTCACCTCATTTTGTTTTTCTTTCCATTTGCTTTCATTGTATTTTTTATGACTTTTTTTCTGTAAGGATATACAAAGCAACTCTAAATTGGGGTTATCTCTGTGGAGGTAGGGGTGAGCAGCAGGGGACCTTTAACTTTGCTTTCTTCAGCACTATTAAAATTTTCTTTTAAGCATAAGTTACTGTTGTAATTTTTAAAATATTTTTTCTGATTACCAGTAGCATATGTCTATTGTAGATAATTTGAAAAACAAGGAAAATGAAAAAAAAAGGGAAAACTCAGAAGACATTCCTGTGCTTGGCAGTGCCTAGTGAGCCATGCTCCATGGTGTGGCCGCCACATATACCTCCAGAGAGGGACCCTCCAGGCTCCTGAGGGGTGGAAGAGTGAGGAAGTAAGGGACCCATGGTTGGGGAAAGGTATCTTGAGGTCTAGATGCTTTTCATAGTCTCTCAAGCAATCCACTATTTTTAGCCTTGCCTGTTCCTACCCTCATCTTCCTGAGACTTTCTAGACTTCTGAGGAGCAAACTGGCTTGCCTCCTAGTTCCCCAACTGCCCCCTACCCCTCAGGCATTTAGCAGTCACCTTCTTTTTTTTTTTTTTTGGAAAGAGTCAGGGGTCTCACTGTGTTGCTCGGGCTGGACTTGAACTCCTAGGCTCAAGTGATTTTCCCACATCAGCCTCTTGAGTAGCTGGGACTACAGGCTTGTGCCACCATGCCTCAGCAGTCATCTTTTGGTGTGTCAAGTTGGTGAATGCTCATCTGATTGCTTTCAAGCTTCTAAAATTTTGTTGACATATCTAATATGCTGCTGTCTGCACTCTTGTTCTTTAAGCCTTAGGAGCTTTTCCCTTTGTGATCCTGTTAATGTAACTTTGTAGGGTTTTCCTAGCAGGCAGAGGTAAATATATGTATTCAGCTTGCCATCTTTAACAAGGAGTGCCCATATACCTGCTCATACACTCTTTGAAATATTTTACAATATTCTTAATGATCGCATAGTAACTCTTCTCCTCCTCCTCCTCTTCTTCTTCCTCCTTCTCTTTCTTCTTTAGAGACAGGGTCTTGCTGTGTCACCCAGGCTGGAGTGCTGTGGCACAATCATAGCTCACTGTAACCTCAAACTCCTAAGTTCAAGCAATCCTCCCACCTTAGCCTGCCAAAGTGCTAGAATTACAGGCATGAGCCACTGTGCCCAGCATGAACTCTTGTATATGGATGTGCCATGATTTATCTAGCCTTATTGTATAGGTATGTTTTGCCTATATTATTTATTTCCTTAGGATAAAACATTAAATACAGACTTGTTGGACCTAAGAATATGAACAATTTAAAGACTCTTTGTAGGTACTTGTACAAATTGAAAGGTTGTCCACCTTATGTCACCCCAGACAGTTATGGGGATGTACCTGTCCCTCTCCCCATGAGTCTGCCATCCCCCTGATGCTCCCCTTCTTTTAGATCATTTCTCCTTGAAGAGTCATCCTCAATTCTGTTTGATTTTGCTTCTCTTTGGCTGCTGTTTCTCACACAGCTCCTCTAGGCTTTGGGGAGTCAGCTTCTTGCTCTGAGCTCACCTCAACAGGATCAAAATGTACTCTGAAACACTTTTCAGGGCTCCTTTCCAATAATGTTTTGCATTTTGCATTAGCCTGAATTTCCGTTTTGGCTCTTCTGAATAGGAACCGTCATCGGGATGCTAGTCCTTTACTTTTCAGCCATTACCTCTGCAGCTTAGGCTGTGATCTTTTCTCTGTTCATCTACTTATTGGTAGAGTGAAGATTTGTGCCTCGAGTCTTGTTTGTCTGTATCTCAGAATCTCTTAGGCAATTGCATGACTAAATCTGCCTAATGATTTCACTGATCTGCTCTCAATAAAAAGAGAGCTTGACAAGTTCAAAATCTAGACAAGTTCTGTGGATTTTTTGCAGCATTTTGCAATAAATACTCTTATTTTTCAAGCTGCTAAATTTTTCAGTCTAAATTTATTGGCTTGAGTATATTTTGGCGATGAGGGAGGAGGTTCTTGGGCAGTTTGGGCTCACCCTCTCCTAGTTCCAGACAGCATGAAGAATTCCTGAGGACATTCTAGCATACCCTGACTACAGATAAGGGCCTGAGTGTCTTTCCAGGATCAGGGGTCCCTTCTTGATTCCATTTATTCTTCTAGCAAAGAATGCACCACCAATACTGTACCCCATAATGCCTGAAGTCACAAAACACAAAGCACTAATTTTATTTTTTAATGATAACATCAGAGAAGCCAAAAGATGGGATTAGATTTCATGAAATTCATTCAGTGTCTTTTCCTTGCTGTATCTTTGTGTGAGTGTTTCTCTCTTTTTATATTTTCTTTCTGTGCCTATTTTTGGATGTGCATCAGCTTGTCCATTTCTATTGTTCACTAGATATATCTCTTTCTCATTGTTTTCTGTCATTGTTTTTCTACCCTTCTTTCTCTCTTCTTTAACAAGGCTATACTACAGAATTCTACCATTTACATTTTTGCTCTGTATTTTGAGTAGTTGTTCATTCCCAGTCTTATTGTATTCAATAGTTTTCTGTTCTCAATTTTAAAGAAAGATGACTGATGTCTTTTGTGTCTTTGTCCTTAAAATATATATTACTTTTGAATTATTTGTCTCTTGGCTGAATTTTTGTCACCGTGTAGGTCTGTATCACTGGGTGGCAAGGTTTCTTGGTACAACTAAGCATTCCTTGACCAATGTTTCCAACAAACTGTGCTGCAGTGATTCTGCTACCAATTCCAGGCATTTCTAAGTATCCATGTACTCTTTTTCTTCTTGGTCATTCAAAATGTTTTCTTATTAATATAAAAATAAGATATAGTTCAAACATAGATAATTTTAAAAAACTAACATTTATTGAGTGCCAGGCACTCTTCTAGGAGCTTTGTAGTAAATATTACCTCCTTCAAGCCTTACTCAGATGTCATAATGTCACCTTCTCAATGAGGCATTCCCTGGCCACCCTCCCTAAAATGCCAGCCTCTTTGACCCATCTTATCTTTGCTTTATTTTTTCTCCTTATTGTTCATCTCTATCTAACATGCTGTTTTTCATTATCTAGCTTCTTATTGCTCTCTCTCTCCAGAATATATGCTCTCTCAGAACAGAGATCTTTGTGGGCTTTGATCATTGCTATATCCCTGGCACCTAGGACAGTACCTGGTACATAGTGGCCCTCAGGAATACTTATAGAATGAATAAGTGAGGTCATTTGATCTTTACCATAGCCCCATACAATATCTTCTATTATTATCCCCATTTTAAAGATGAGAAAATTGAGGCACAGAGTTGGGTAACTTGCTAAGGTTATACAACTTGTAAATAGCAGAGCTGGTATCCTAACCCTAGCAGTGTGGTTCCATAGTCCTTGCTCTTCACAACCAACAATGCCCAGGTACCCACTACTACCTGCATTTACTTTTTAAAGAAAACAAAATTTTTTTTTTAATATTAAGAAGTTGAATTAGCTGGGCATGGTGGCTCATGCCTGTAATCCCAGCTACTCGGGAGGCTGAGGCAGGAGAATCACTTGAACCCAGGAAGTGGAGGTTGCAGTGAGCCAAGATTGCGCCATTGCACTCCAGCCTGGGCAACAAGAGTGAAACTCTGTCTGAAAAAAAAAAAATTAAGAAGTTGAAACCCCCTTTTAAGCTCTTCTTGTTTCTGATCCCTTCCAGCGCTCCCCAAAGACAGCCACTGTCTGGAAGCTGGCGTATGACCTTCCCACCTTCACCTCCTTGTGTGTGTTTTACACGCAGGCCTTTACTGTCTGGAGCTGTCTTCCCTGGAGCTTCTGAGCCATAGGCGAGAATGGTGTCTGGAGATACATAGGATCTACATAATTGAAAACTCCCCAAATCCATCTCTCATGTGAAGTATCGACTGCTTTTGTTCCTTTCACTTTCTTATTATTTTTTTTCCTTTTCTACTTACGGAGACTCATTTTTCTAACTGAAAATAGAAAACTTTATCAGATTGGAATAACAGTCCCTCTTGCTGTAGTTTTTTTTCCCCAAAGACTGGATGAATTTGGGCCTCGTCAGAAAGCCATCTGCTGTGTACGAACAGACCTATTCAGAGCCAGGAAAAGAAAACGAAGGAGGGGGAAAGCCCTGGCTTACTCATTTTAAAACAAAGAGCTGCGGCTTGCGAACTCCACCACGCCTTTGACAAAAGCTGACCGTGGGCAGCGGGCACTGACTGGGAAGGGAGGATGTGAAGAGCTCTGCATTGCACACGGTGGTGACCTTGCAGAACTTTGCTACCAATAAAGAAAAGATGTTTACTGAACAGGGAAGGAGGCTCCAAGTCATTCCCTCTAAGTTGGCACCAGTTCTCCATGGAAAATGGCCATTTGGTTTGTGTTCCATTGCCTGCTTCATCAATGCCCTCTCCTTACTGGCTCTATTTAACTTCTTGTTATTCCTGCTGTGTCAGGCCTCACCAGTCTTGGTTCAGGACTGTGTGGAAAGGTGTCATGAGGTTTTCAGTGGACACTTCAATCCACAGGGCTACCCTTGCTGCTTAAGGGAAGACTCACATTTGCTGTTGTAGATGAGCAGATCTTAAACTATGGGCTGCCCACTCATGGTTCCTGCTGAAATGCTTCATTTTACCTTCCTCAAGTCACCACAGCAAAAAATAAATTACAATATGAAAGTCCATGTTCAAAATCAAATAGTTTCAGTCCAGATGTGGTGGCTTACGCCTGTCATTCCAGCAACTTGGGAGGCTGAGGTGGGAGGATCCCTTGAGCTCAGGAATTTGAGACCAGCCTGGGCAACATAGACCTCATCTCTACAAAAAAAATTGTTTTTGAGATGGAGTTTTGCTCTTGTTGCCCAGGCTGGAGTGCAATGGTGCGATCTTGGCTCACTACAACCTCCGTCTCCTGGGTTCAAGCAATTCTCCTGCCTCAGCCTCCTGAGTCACTAGGATTATAGGCGCCCGCCACCACACCTGGCTAATTTTTGTTATTTTCAGTAGAAACGGGGTTTCACCATATTGGCTAGGCTGGTCTCGAACTCCTGACCTCAGGTGATCTACCTGCCTTGGCCTCCCAAAGTGCTGGGATTACAGGTGTGAGCTACCAAGCCCGGTTGAAAAAATTTTTTTAATTTTCCAGGTGTGGTGGTGCATGCCTGTAGTCCCAGCTGCTTGGGAGGCTGAGGTGGGAGGATCACTTGAGCCTGGGAGGTCAAGGCTGCAGTGAGCAGAGATTGCATCACTACACTCTAGCATGGGCAATAGAGCAAGATGCTGTCTCAAAAACAAAACAAAACAAGACAAAACAAAACAAAACATCAAAATCCAATAGTTTCAAGTCCGGGCGTGGTGGCTCACGCCTGTAATCCCAGCACTTTGGGAGGCCAAGGCGGGTGGATCATGAGGTCAGGAGTTCGAGACCAGCCTGGCCAACATGGTGAAACCCCGTCTCTACTAAAAATACAAAAATCAGCCAGGTGTGGCGGCACGCGCCTGTAGTCCCAGCTACTCGGGAGGCTGAGGCAGAGAATTGCTTGAACCTGAGAGGCAGAGGTTGCAATGAGCTGAGATAGCGCCACTGCACTCCAGCCTGGGCAACAGAGTGAGACTCCATCTCAAAAAAAAAAAAAAGAAAAAAAATCCAATAGTTTCATATTCTTAAGAACCTGTAAACTCTTTTTAAAAATTAATTTAATTTTTGATGTCTTTTTTTAATAAGTACAAAAGTAGTATACTCTGGTTGTAAAACATTTAAATAATACATAAATATATACCTGAGAGAGTTAAAGGCCTTTGTTATTCTACCTCATAGATAGTTGTTAACAGTTTGTCGTCTATTCATGTAGAACTTTTTGCCATTTGCACGCTTTTGATTTCTATAAAATTGTATGCTTTCCAGGACCTTGTACCTCCCTCAGTAATTTAGCTCCCGTCTCATCTCTAGTTACTCACTTACCATCTGTCTTTCCTACTAGCCTGTCATGTCCACGAGGGTGTAGACACAGGTCTTTAGAATTCAAATGGGAAGCTCTTTCCATCAGCACATCTTCCTCTTAACAACTGCCAGGGAATCAAGAGCATGTCCCCAACAAGAGACCTCATTGGCATCCAAACACCCCCTATGAAGCCTTTCCATTTCACACAGAGGGAAAACGTTGCATTCAGTTTTGACTCTTTTTTTTTTTTTTTGAGACAGAGTCTTGCTCTGTCGCCCAGGCTGGAGTGCGTGGCATGATCTCGGCTCACTGCAACATCTGCCTCCCAGGTTCAAGCGATTCTTTGCCTCAGCCTCCTGAGTAGCTGGGATTACAGGCACACACCACCATGCCTGGCTAATTTTTGTATTTTTAGTAGAGACAGGGTTTCACTTTATTGGCCAGGCTGGTCTCAAACTCCTGACCTCATAATCCACCCACCTTGGCCTCCCAAAGTGTTGGGATTACAGGCGTGAGCCGCTGCGCCGGGCCCAGTTTTGACATTTTTGAGTTAGAAGTAAATGAGTTAGAGAGGAAAGATTATCACTCATTATTTGAGAAGATAAAATAGCGTTCAAGGCTGATTTGGGAGGTTGCTTGCTGAGTTAATTATTCAAATACGGAGTTCAATGCTGTCTGGCCACGCTAAAAGAACGCAGGCCTGTCTTAACTCTTGGCTGTTTCCCACACCTCAGGGATCAGGGCTGGATGCAGTTAGCTTCTAGGAGCTTGCGCAAGCTCAGATCTCCCTGGTGTGGGCTGGAGGTGACCCGCTCCACGTGGGCCCTGCAGTGCTGTGAGGCTTTCCACAGGCAGCTGCACAGAATGAGATTTCCATTCACACATCCAGGGCTGGGCAAGGAGCAATAGAAGTGCCATCAGTCCAGAGATAGCCGGGTGTGAGACCCCGGGAAAGAGACTGACTTCTTAAATGACTCTCCTTTGTGGTGTAATCTTATTTATTTGTTTATCTTCCACTCTTACAGAGACTTGGATCCTTCATTTTCAGAGGTGACAATTTTCTTCTGGAAAGAATTGTGGTAATTTCTCAACATTATATTTCAACTTACACGACTTTTGTCTTTCTTCCCTTGTTTTGATTTTGCTTTGAGCTAGTTTCGTTTAGTAATTCTGATATAGAATAGCTAAAGGCAGTCTTTTCAACATTCATTGCTTTAATCATACAAAAAGAAATATTCTTTCTCCTTTCCCCCTTTTTATTCTCTCCCTTCTTTCTCCCTTCCTTTCTCTTCCCTTTCTTTTCCCTCCTTCCTCCCTCACTTCCTCTCTTCCTTCCTCTCTTCCTCCCTCTCTCCCTCTCTCTCTTTCTTCATGTATACAGTATTTGATTTTTAAATATTTTTTGGTATTATAAACCAGCTTTATTGAGGTAAATTTATTTACCACAAATTTATCACTTTTTACATGTACAATTCAATAATTTTAGTAAATTCACACAGTTTTCCCATCACCTCAATCCGATTTTAGAATGTTCATATCATCCCAAAAGGATTTGCTTTCCCCTATGGTTGGACTAATTTACACTCCCACCAACAGTGTGTAAGTGTATAAGTGTTTCTTTTTCTTCACAACCTCACCAGCATCTGTTATTTTTGACTTCTTAAATGTTGTTTTATAAAGTGCTTTGTTCATTAAAAATGTTGATTTTTCCCCAAAAATAGTATGCACAACTGCTTGTCAGATATTTAAAATGTCTTAAAAAGTCCTAGTCACCAAAGCAATGAAATTAGATGAACAGATCATGGAAGAGACTGTAACACTCGTATAGTGCCAAGTATAGGTACATTAGAGAAGTAACATTTCAAATCAGTACAGAAACAGAGGCAATTCAAGAAATGATGGTGAAAAACACTGGCTAGCCATTTGGAAGAAGTAAGCCTGGATCCAAGCCTTAATTTTTATATCAAAGTAAAATCCAGAATTATCACCAAAAGTGTATGTAAAAATGAAACTGTGAAAGTAGTAGAAAAATAAGTGAAATTTTTCATAATTTTTGGATGGAAAAACCTTTCTAACAAAAAAATTTAGATAGAAAGTACTGGTAAAGTCTGGGCGCGGTGGCTCATGCCTGTAATTCCAACACTTTGGAAGGCTGAGGCGGGCAGATCACTTGAGGTCAGTCATTCAAGACCAGCCTGGGCAACATAGCAAAACCCTGTCTCTACTAAAAATACAAAAATTAGTGGGGCATGGTGGCACACACCTGTAATCCCAGCTACTTGGAAGGCTGAGGTGGGAGGATCTCTGGAGCCTGGGAGGCAGAGGTTGCAGTGAGTCCTCATCATGCCACCGCACTTCAACCCGGGTGACAGAGAAAGACCCTGTCTCAAAAAAAAAAAAAGAAAAAGAAAGAAATTATTGGTACATCTTGCAATATAAAAATTAAATCTTCTCACCAAAAAACTATGTACCATTTAAAAGTTTGAATGATAGAGGACACATTATGAATATATATATATATATATATATATATATATATATATATGCACACACACACACACACACACATATATATATAAAACCTGCATATGGTTAATATCCTCAATATACAAAAAGCTTTTACAAATTTATAAAATTTGGCGATCACTGAGTAGTAGAATTTGGGACAATTTTACTTTCTTCTTTATAGTTTTCTATAATTTTTATCTTTTTACAGTAAGTATTTTTAATACATTAAATTCATTGTCAGTTTTTTAAAACCTGCTTTTTAAAAAATGTGGATGGGCATCTTTTTTTAGTGCTTAAAATCTAAAGCCCAAAATAATGTTTCCAGAATTGTCCACTGATTCTGCTTTGTAGTATTTATCATTATACATAGCCTTTAATGTATTCATGTAGTAAGACAAGACCAACTAAAAAAGTAAGATGAGTGAGAAATAGCAGGGAAAAAAATCACAAGACAAAAAGAATGGATTTTAATTTGAAAGGGCAAACTTCACATGGAGGCCCTCTGTTTTTTCAAAGCCTGATTTGAATCTAAATCTTTGGATTTAAATTTGACATTTTTTTAAAAAAAGATAAGAGTCCATTTAACAAAAGCTCTTTCACCCCTGGAATAGTTATTTTTAGTGCCAAGGTCTTTTCTTTCTAACATAGGTTTTTTCTTTCCTCTCTCTCCTTCCCCACACCCCCCCAGGCATCTAAGTTGTGCCATTAAATAAAATGCATGATTTAAATTTCAATTTTACTGAAGCTGCAGGTAGGATTAAAGGGATCATACAGATGAGTGATTTCACTGAATGTCACTTCACATAAATTTACATAAAGCTTCAAAAAGCCTACACAGCCTCTAAAAATTCTTCTGAAGGAGAAGGGAGGAAAACGTATATTTATTGAACACCTATGGTTTGTCAAGCCTCATACTGGACTGCTTTATTTATGTCACTTTGTTTCATCCTTAGAGCCAACAGGTGAAGTCAACATTATTATGCTCCTTTTATAGGTGAGAGAACAGACTCAGATTCAGCGATCTACTGGAAATCACTCCCACCTGATTCAAGCAGCCTTACATGACCTTTCCCCTACACCTACAAGCTTTCTCCAATACATACATCTTTGATTATAGGAGGGCTTAGACAGCATAAGTTCCCATGCGGTCCTAGAAGTCCTTTGGTGGTGTCTCAAATGGCCTGCAGACGGCAGGTGCAGATGCTTCCTCTCGGCTGCTGGGAGGCATCTGCATGGTCCCTTCTCCATGCTCAGATGAACTGTGGGGAGCACCTGGTTACTGCTGCCAGTGCTCAGAGTCCAAGGTGGTCACCTTTTGCCTTGACCAAGGCTACCAGAGTCCTGACTTCTTCCCTCACTGCAAAACCTGACCACTAGAAGCTACTGGCTTCGGTGACATTCCTGTTTTGTATTTTGTTTCTTTACATTTTATTATTTTTATTTTTTGAGACAGGGTCTCACTCTGTCCCCCAAGCTGGAGTGCAGTGTCGTGATCACAGCTCACTGCAGCCTCGATCTCTTGGGCTTAAGCAATCCTCCTACGTCAGCCTCCTGAGTAGCTAGGACCACAGGTGCGCACCACCACACCCAGCTAATTTTTGTATTTTTAGTAGAGACAGAGTTTTGCCATGTTCCTGGTCTCAAACTCTGGGGCTCAAGTGATCCGCCTGCCTTGGCCTCCCAAAGTGCTGGAATTACAGGAATGAGCCACTGCACCTGTCCAGTTTCTTTATATTTTATTTTCCCGTACTCATGTCTACTGATGTTTGGAGTCCGGCAGAGGGGGGCAGGCAGTGACCTGGCTCTGCACAAGCAGCTTAATCCCTCTAAGCTTGTCTTCTTATCTGAAAAAGGGAGATCTCACCAGTCCATAGCTGGCAGGGTTACCGATTGAATGACTGAGTGCATGAAGAGTGATCAGCACAGTGCCGAGTGCTGCATGCGTGCTTCATAAACGTGAGCTATTGCTGTGGCTGCTCTTGCCTGCTCTTTTGACTGCAGCCCCTCTGCCTGGCCTCAGAGGCCCACCTAAGGGAAGATGTCAAAATCACCCTCTCCTGCTGACTGGGCCATTGTGTCTGGACCAAACGGGTGTGCTGGACTCCTGCCTTTGAGGCACATTTTCCCCAGCCAGCTCCATAAGCCTGGTAGGCCCACCTCCCACCAGGCCTGTGGTCACTCTGGGCCTGGATTCTAGGATGGCCCCAATTTAGGCACAAATTTAATCAGGGGTTTGAGCCGGGTGTCCTCTAGAACCAAAAAAAAAAAAAAAAAAAAAAAAACCACAGGGCTGACATGCTCATGTAATAAATGTCTAATTAAATTTTTTCCTGAGGACAATTCTGCCAGAAATTTGTCCCAACAGAGTAACAGAGTGGCTGGCAGAGGAGTGAGCATTGCCTAGGTGGGTTGTCAGTGGCTGATGGTGTCTCCCCCTGCAGGTCCAACTCCCAGAGCAGCTGTCCTCCTGGGGCAAAACAGAGCTACTGTGAAGCACCCTCTTCCCGGGCTCCTTTTTGCCTCCCTCACGCCCACCTGCTTTTCTGACCTTCCTAGCAGATCACTGCTGAGTGGACAGATGCCAGGGGCTCACTTTTCCATTGCCAGTGGCCTGACTGACAGAAGCATGGGCAATTCAGGTGCAAACTCAGTCCATATCTGTTACCGGTGTGAACCCCGAAAATCTGAGGCATGTCTCAGTTAATTTAGAAAGTTTACTTTGCCAAAGTTGAGGACACGTGCCCATGGTACAGCCTCAGGAGGTCCTGATGGCATGTGCCAAGGTGGTCAGAGCACAGTTTGGTTTTATACATCGTAGGGAGACATGAGATCAATCAACATACGTAAGATGAGCATTGGCTCGGTCTGGAAAGGCGGGACAACTTGAAGCAAAAGTGGGGAGGGGGCTTCCAGGTCATAGGTAGATAAGAGACAAATGGTTACGTTCTTTTGAGTTTCTGATTAGCCTCTCCAAAGGAAGCAATCAGATATGCATTTATCTCAGTGAGCATAGGGGAGACTTTGAATAGAATGGGAGGCAGGTTGGCTCTAAGCAGTTCCCAGTTTGACTTTTCCCTTTAGCTTAGTGATTTGGGGACCCCAAGATTTATTTTCCTTTCACATTGGCTAGGATTCTAAGAGACAGAGAGAGGACCCAGGTACAAGCACTGGGTGCTTCCTGCAAAGCCCCAGCCTCACTTGATTATTCTGTTCCCTTTAATGCATCTGCACGCCCTTGTTTCCAAACGATTGCTCATGCTGTTCCCTGTGCTTGAAATGCCTTCCCCCATTTCTGTGTGTAGAAGTCTTTAACGGCTCCTCCATAAAGTTTTCAGACACCCCCTGACCATTATGATCTGCTCATACCTCTAAATTAGCAATAATACTTCCCTCCATGTGTGCATGAGACCTCGTGTGCTCCATTCGAGTTGGTTTCAATTGTGATCTCATTTCATTTCACACATTTAAAAACATTATTCTGAGAAGGGGTCTATACTTCTGATTTCCAATGACACCAAAAAGATTAAGAATCCCTGACCTAGCTTGTGTTTAATATTTCAGGAGGGTGGAGACCATGTTATAGTCCCTTTTCGCCCTCTACCTTTAACACTGCCTAGCATAGTTTGTTGACTTGAACTTGCCAGTGTGGGGGACGGTCCCCACAACCAGTTGTGACAGTGAGTCCCACGGATCCGGCTGCTCATGGCTGGTAGAGTCCAATTAATAAGGAGTTCTGGCGGAAAGAAAGTGACTTTTATTCCAGAGCTTAGCTGAGAGGAAGAAGTACAGGCTCCTGCCTTAAGGGTATTACTTCAGCTTTCAGGGCAGAAAGCAGGGGCTTTTAAAGGGGGACTTGGAGTCAACCTCATGTAGGAGGTAGGGGAGGAGGTGTGGGGCCCATGTGACTTGCTTCCTGGGTCTTATCTATCAAGTGGTCTGGCTAGCACCATTGTGGGCAGGGCCCTGTTGTAAATTGACAATTTTAATTTTATCTAGGGCAAAATTTAGGTTGTAAATTAACTGTTATCTTGAGGCAATCTCCTGGCGAGAGAGAGTTCCAGAAGTGCCTGCTGTGTTTCAAGGTTCAGCCTCCAGAACTTCTAAGTAAACACATAGTTAGATAAGCTTGCCGTGTAGGGAGTGTCTGGTGGAGAGAAGGTAAAGGTTATAATTGCATTCCTAAAGAGCTAAGTAGGAGGTGGGGGAAAAGGAAAAAGGTTAAGAAAATCCATTTTTTTCTTTTAAAAATGTGGTAATCAGTTACACTCATGCAGCATGCACTGCTCAGGAAGGCAGCGTGTCCCTCATCAAGGCCCAGGGTCACTTTGATTTTGCGTGTGCTGCTCTGTTGACCAGGCCCTGGACTGGCCTTGAGCCTCCTGTGCTCCTGACCCAGACATGGCCACATCATGCTGGGATCCAGCAGTGAGCATGCACGCAGCTCCTCAAGGTCACACAGAGGCTCCGTCTCGGGGCTTAGGATCTCAAACACTAAATACAGTTTCAGCTGAATTTCCTTTTGACTAATTTGTCTTCTTTAGTATCCAAAGAGGAAAATCAGGCCCATTGTTCTGCTCTTAATAAAATAAAATTCAATCTGCAGAAGCAGAAGAAAGCTGGTGGTGTCTGCTCAGATATGCAAGCCTGCTTTTCTCTGAAATTGATTGATAGTTACACATACAAACATGATATCACTTTTATGTCACTAGAAATTCCTATTATCCATTTTACCCCTCCTTGAGGGTTTTTAGTAGTTGGTGGTTTGCAGTTAGAGATGTTCTAGGAAAACCGCAGAGATCTGACTAATGAAATGCAGGAAGACAGAGCCAAGAGGGAAGGGGAAGGGGACAACTGTTTTTCAGCAATTGCTGTGATCCAGACCCTGCATTAGGTATGCTACAAAGCTTCTTTCATTTTTTCTCCTAACAACCCTCTGGGTTGGGTATGATGATCTTCACTTTACAATTGGTAAAGCTATGCTTCAGAAAGGGTAATCAATGTCCATGGCCACACAGCTAGAGGAACAGGGCCAGGTTTGAACTCAGCTTTGTCTCACTGGAAAGCCTGTGCATTTCCCAGTCTTCAGGCAGCCACAGGTGAGGCCAGCTTGGAGCTTGACCTCCTCTCTGGAGTGACGATGTTTGGCCCTTGCAGCTGAGGCTGTCTGTGTGTCCGTAGCCCCTGGTGCTGCCCGACCTAGCACAGTCCTTGATAACTGGTGAAATGTCCAGCTACTTTGCTGATAGTAAATGAGCAAACAGGCAAAGCAAATGCCAAGAAACTCCAGAGCAGGCAGCAGGGCTCAGCAGCACCTCCAGAATTATAAAGGACAGGATGTCAGAGTTTCTGAAATCCCCAAATTATTGGTTGTCTTTGCTCCTTGGTCCTACTGTTCCCCTTTCACCACCATCTTCTCTACCCTCTCCTCTGAACATCCTCACAGTGGCTTCCTCTTCTTTTATTCTCATAAAAGCCTGCCCCCAGCAGAGGATTGCATACACCAATTCTCCCTGACTCTCATAAGACCTAGACCATCCCTTCCAGAGATTCTCTGTTTTCCAGGAGACAAAGAGTCTTATGCCTAAGGAATAACTTTGTGACTGTGGAATTCTTTGAAGGTAATGGGGTAGGTCATCTGAAGGAAGGTATGGGAAAAGGAGAGGGATGGAATGTCTTCCCCATGAAGCCACCAAAATTCCACTGGATGGACAGTTGCTAATATAGTTTGGATATTTGTCCCCACCCAAATCTCATGTTGAATTGTAATCCCCAATGCCGGAGGTGGGGCCTGGTGGGAGGTGTTTGGGTCATGGAGGTGGGTTCCTCATGGCTTGGTGCTGTCTTCATGATAGTGAGTTCTCATGAGATTTGGTCATTTAAAAGTGTATGGCACCTCCCCGTCACTCTCTTTTGCTTACTCCTGCTTTTGTCATGTGATGTGCCTGGTCCCACTTCGCCATGACTGTAAGCTTCCTGAGGCCTCCCTAGAAGCTAAGTCAGCACCATGCTTCCTGTAAAGCCTGCAGAGCTGTGAGCCAATTAAACCTCTTTTCTTTATAAATTAGCCAGTCTCAGATAGTTCTTCATAGCAATCAAGAATGGACTAATACAGAAAATTCATACTGAGGAGTAGGGCATTGCCATACAGATATCAGAAAATGTGGAAGCAGCTTTGGAACTGGGTAATGGACAAAGGTTGGAAGAGTTTGGAAGGCTCAGAAGACAGGAAGATAAGGGAAAGTTTGAAACTTCTTATAGACTGGTTAAATGGTTGTGACCAAAATGCTGATAGTGATATGGACAGTGAAGTCCAGGCTTTTGAGGCCTCAGATGAAAACAAGGAACTTACTGGGAACTGTAGCAAAAGCTCATGTATTATGCTTTAGCAAAGAGCTTGGCTGCATTCTGTTTATGCCCTAAGGATCTGTGGAAGTTTGAACTAAAGAGTGATGATCTAGAGTATCTGGCAGAAGAAATGTCTAAGCAGCAAAGTGTTCAAGAAGTGGCATAGCTGCTTCTAACAGCCTACACTTCAATGCAGGAACAAAAAAATGACTTAAAGTTGGAAATTAAATAGGAAGCAGAGTGTAAAAGTTTAGAAAATTATCTGGCCATGTAGCAGAGAAAGAAAAAGCTTTTTAGGGAGAGGAATTCAAGCTGGCTGTGGAGCAACCACTCGCTAGAGAAATTTGCATAACTAGAAGGGAGCTAAGTGCTAATAATCGAAGACAATGGGGAAATGGCCACAGAGGCATTTCAGAGACCTTCAGGGCAGCCTCTCCCATCACAGGCCCAGAGGCCTAGGGTGAAAGAATGGTTGTGGGGGCAGGCCCAGAGCCCCAGTGCCTGAGGCAGTCTTAGGACGACCTGGGCAGCCTTGGGACACTGCTGCCTGCATCACCCTCTCCAGCTCCAGCTTTGCTCAAAGGGCCCCAGATACAGCTCAGGCTGCTGCTTCAGAGGACACAAGCTATAAGCCTTGGCAGCTTCCATGTAGTGTTAAGCCTGCAGGCATACAGAATGCAAAAGTGAAGGAAGTGTGAGAGCCTACACCTAGATTTCAGAGGACATACGGAAAAGACTGCGTATTCAGGCAGAAGCCTGCTGCAGGGGCAGAGACCTCATAGAGAGCCTCTACTAGGGCAGTGTGGAGGGGAAATATGAGGTTGGAGACTCCACACAGCTTCCCCACTGGGTCAGTGCCTAGTGGAGCTGTGAAAAAGGGGCCACCATCCTCCAGATCCAAGAATAGTAGATTCACTGGTAGCTTGTACCTGCACCTTGAAGAGAGGCAGTCATTCAACTCCAGCCTGTGAGAGCAGCTGCAGGACCTGAACTCTGCAAAGCCATAGGAGCAGAGCTGCCCAAGGCCTTGCACCAGTGTGCACTGAATGTCGGGCATGGAGTCAAAGGAGATTATTTTGGACATTTAAGATTTAATGACTGCCCTGCTAAATTTTGAACTTGCATAGGGCCTGTAGCCCCTTTCTTTCTGGCAATTTCTCACTTTTGGAATGGCAATGTTTACCCAATGCCTGTACCTTCATTGTATCTTGGAAGTAGCTAACTTGTTTTTTATTTTACAGGCTCACAGGTGGAAGGGATTTGCCTTGTCTGAGATGTGACTTTGTACTTTTGAATTAATGTGGAATGAGTTAAGATTTTGTGAGACTGTTGGGAAGGCATGATTGTATGTAAGAAGAATACAAGATTTGGGAGGATCTGGGATGGAATTATATAGTTTGGATATTTGTCCCTGCCCAAATCTCATGTGGAATTGCGATCCCCAATGCTAGAGGTAGGGCCTGGTGGGAGGTGTTTGGATCATGGAGGTGGGTCCCTCATGGCTTGATGCTGTCTTTGTGGTAGTGAGTTCTTATAAGATCTGGTCATTTAAGATCAGACCCCTTGCTTGCCCCTGCTTTCACTATGTGGCGTCTTGCTCACCTTCATCTTCTATCATGATTGTAAGCTCCCTGAGGCCTCCCTAAAAGCTGAGCAGATATCAGCACCATGCTTCTTGCAAAGCCAGCAGAACTGTGAGCCAATTATACCCCTTTTTCTTTATCCATTACCCAGTCTCAGGTACTTCTTTATAGCAATGCAAGAATGGGCTAATAGAGTTGCCAAGAGTGAAATTATGCTATTTTTTTAAAGGCAGCCTCTGGATGAGAATCCTGGGCCTGGTTCTGAGCTACTGAAGCAGTCTTTCCTGAAACCTTTTCCTGTATCCTTTTAAATTCCTTGCAAGATTTGCATGGAGCCATTATTTTTCCCTTTGTTTCTGATCTTCACCTCTTTGCAATGATGCCGCTTCTTTAGCTGCCGACTTGGCTAAATTGTCTGAAAATGTATCATGGTACTAGGGTAAGAGTGGTCGTCTGGTGAGCTGGTACAGGCCTGTGACTGCTGGTCTTAGTGAGGGTTGGCTGAGTCAGGCTGGAGCCTTCAGGACAACACAGAGGCCAAAACTCTGTCCCTGCCCAGGAGGAGCTTAGTGTGGTAGCGACTTGTGGTGACTTTACAATACTGTGGGTACCTAGAAATGGGGTGCTGCCATAACAAAAACCTAAAATGTGAGAATGGTTTTGGAAATGGGCCTGTTAAGTGAACAAATGGATGAGTGAATGGATGGCTAAACATACATTGAAAAGAACAGGGCATGTTCTGAGAACTGAAGTTATTTCGGAATTACTAGAGCAGAGAGTCCATTTTTGTGAGAGTGGCTGGAACTTTCTTCATTCAAAAACTATTTCTTGCAAACTTTGTTCCTGATAGTGCATGACCAGCTGACTCTTGCAGTGATGGGCTGGACACATACTGCTGTGAAGCTGGACAGGTAAGCTGGCTGGAAGCTGGATGAGGATGCACAAGCTCCTGTCTCTGCAGAGACTGCTCTTTCTCCCCGCCTCTCAGCCTTCAGTGTTTCACAGGGGCTTCACCTCAGCCTCTTTCCCTCACACTCCACCTCCTCACTCACTCCTTTGGCCCCCAAATCTGCATTCCTAGATGCTGCCTGAGCTTCAGATCCATTGGTGGTGGGATGAATGAAGTACCCCAAAGAGAAGGCTCGAAGACACTGCTGAGTGAATGCCAGGCTTTTCTTATGCTCCCACGGGCATGTAGGCCAAGAGTCAAAGATGAACAGTTCAGTTAATGGAGAGTTTAGAGATCACATGGGGAAAGAGAATGAGAAGAGCCAAGCTGGCTGGCAGGAGAGAAGACATATTTAGGTTTCTGCTATCTGCTGGGCAATATCATTATTATTCCCAAACTCCCCTCGAGAACTGCGGCCTATTACTTGTTATCTATACATCTCTATATAATACACATTTATTATTATAATATATTCTATATTAATATAATTAACACATCATCGATCCTGTATTGATTAACATTAATATGAGATTTATCATTGATAAATATTTATTGAGCACTTCCTACGTGACAGGCACAATTCACTGACGCATTGTGGATATTAGCTTTGTTTTAGGGTTGGGGGTGGCAGAGTGTGCAATAAAATGCTAACTAAGCGCAGCATCAAGATGAATGTGGGCAACAAGTGAGGACTTCCACGGGGGTGCCTCCACATCCGAGCTACGCACCCACTCCACGAATATGTACTGAGCACCTCATGTGTGCCAGGCACTCTTGCAGGTCCTCGGGATGCAGTATTAGATGGCGTAGGCTGAAAGCCCTGTCGCCCTGGAGCTTGCCTTCCAGTGGCTTATCTATCTACCGGTCACCAGTCGGTGTCATTCCACCCCAGATGCAGCATGTCTAAAGTTGGGCTCATATTCTTACATCCACCACACTTGCTTCTTTCATGTTCTTTATCCCAGTTTGTGGCAACTGTGTTCATATCTTAGCCAGGAGCACTCTCATTCATACAGTCCCTTAAAACAGAAATATGGTGCCATCCTGCACTTTTCCCCATTATTAACTCCTAAGCCCACTCTGTGCTGCTGTAACATCATCCATCAGAGCCCAGCAAGCAGCAATCATTGCTTTCAATGTTTGCGTTCCCCACTGGATTGTATGCTCATCTCTCTGTCACAGTACCTGGCATAGAGAAGAAGCTCGATAAACATGTACTGAATGGAGGAGGTAATAAATTGTAACAGAGTGAGCATGAGTAAAACTGAATTCCTCAGACCTTGGAAATGTTATTATGCTCCTCTCCCTTCCCTTCTCCTCTTCTCCCCACTTCCTCTCCTGTCTTCTCCCCTCCCCCCATCTCCCCTCCCTGTCCTCTGTCTCTTCTCCTCCTCTTCTCTTCTTTCCTCTGTCCTGCTCTGCTTTCCTCTCTTATCTTCTTCCTGCCATCGGCTCTGACCAGTTAATGACAGCTTCTGCTGTCTGTTTCAGCTGCCATCTGACAGCATCAAAACACCTCACTCTTTCTACTCCAGAATCGTTCCATCTACGCCTCTCAAAATCCACGCTGATTCCTGCCTGTGCCTAGACTCACCCTCACTCCCCAGTAGTGGCTGCAGTTTCCATTCAGCTCACCCCGCAAAGCATATCTGTATTTCTAAAGAAGCCCCCTCCAGGGGTGACCACTACTCCCCCACCAGGTGTGTGGGACCCCACCTGGTACCACTCTGTCAAGTTAACAGTGGGGGAATAGCCTACTCAGCTATATCGCATTAATACTTAATTCATTTTACACCTGCCTTGCCCCCAAAAGGCTCTGCAGCTTACCTTTGTAGTACAAGATAAGAAAATGATGAGCATTAACAGGGCTACCACATTCAGCTATGCAGTGTTCACTGCACAAGAATACCCACTGAGGGGAAAATTGGGGGCCCAAGTCCAGCCCATCATCTGCCCACCCGGCCATGCAGCCTGGTACAGGCTACACCTGCCAAGAGAGATGTTCTTTTTCCAGTTTGCATAAGGTCTCCTGTGGGTTAGGGTGAGAGTTAAGAGTAGAATGAAAAGATAGCCAGACACAGTGGCTCACGCCTGTAATCCCACCACTTTGGGAGGTCGAGGGGGGCCTCTTGAGGCCGCTTGATGTCAGGAGCTCGAGACCAGCCTGGCCAGCATGGTGAAACCCCGTCTCTACTAAAGATACAAAAAAAAAAAAAAAAAAAAAATTAGCTGGGTGTGATGGTGCGTGCCTGTAGTCCCAGCTACTTGGGAGGCTGAGGCAGGAAAATCGCTTGAATCCAGGAGGTGGAGGCTGCAGTGAGCCAAGACCGTGCCACTGCACTCCAGCCTGGGCAACAGAGCAAGGCTTCGCCTCAAAAAAAAGAAAAAGAGTAGAATGAAAAGAAAAAGAGAAACAAGGCAAAGCACAAAAGGCGACAAGGTCCTTAGGATGGAAAAGCCCCTGGGCGCAGACGTATTCAAATCTTTGCCCACGTGTGTCCCTCAGGAAAAAGAGAACCCTAAGTGACTTCCAAGATGAGACCCACCTTTGGGCTAAAGCAAAGAAAAAGGGGAACCATTGTTGCTCTATGGGGAAAGATAAGGAGGTCTTTCCGGAAGACATGCCACACCCACAGTTTTGCAGTCTGGCTGCTGTTAGTCTCATTCCTCACCACGCTGTACCTGGAGAGTCTAATCAGTTGAAGCAAATGCTTATGGAGCTAAAGGCGGCACCCATCTCCTCCTCCCATGCTTCAAAGTCATCACCACTAGCTGACTCGCATATATTTACACTGGCCAATGATTGTACCTGGGCACCAGCCCTGCCCTACCAGGTAAGCCTGGAACAGCCTGTTTTCTCAGATATTTCCCTTTGCAGGTTCCTGTTTCTGACTCTGATATAAATTCTGTGGGCGAAAATGAGAAATGGGTTCCACAATGCTACAAGACTCTCAAAACTGAAAAATAAAGATCAGTGGCAATCTCTAACCCTCTCAAACCTGGTCTCTACTTACTGGCTTCCCTACACTCAGCAAAAACAATTAAAACATGTTTTTGCTTTAGGATCCGACAGTCAATACTGCAATAGCATGTCGCTCTGGCTGACTGACATTTTATTGACATATTGATAATTCAGAGCCATTCCAGAATTTAACTCACTAGTGGGACTAGGAAAAGATTGTGACCTCTGCTTACTGACCCAAGGAGCTCAGATTGAGAGCTTGGTGAATATTTTGCTTTGTTTAGCATGTGTAATGCCCAGGAGTAACTATTACAATAAGCCAAATGAATATTACCTCAGGCCCACATCTTTTAACACCCATGAGCACAAGATTATATTAACAAACGGAATCAAGAAAACCTACAAAATTTAACATCAACTCGGCAGCTATTTCTGGAAGGTGATCTATGCCCCTCTCTCACCCCACTGCAGGGTGCATCTGGCTTTGCACTTGAGCTGCCTCTCCCAGGAGCACTGGGGACTAGAGAGGTTCTCACACAGGCCACCTTCCTGGAGCCTGTCCCAAGGCCTCTGTTTCTAACTCCTCGGGGTCTGCAGGCCACCCCACAGCTCTCACCTGGGTGCTTGCCACCTGCCAGCACTCAAAAGCCCAGGGTCACCTCTGGCTGCGTGACAGCCTTTTAACTTCTTCAGGTATTCTCTCAACATCTTTGAGTTTGTTTATGTATAAAATGGGAATCATATTCTCCACCTCATAAAATTCTTTTAAGGTTTAGATAACATATGCCAAGCACTTAAAGTATCTGGCACATTAACAGTACCTCAAATAGTGATAAACATCGTTAATCTTAGGAGAAATAAAAGTGTGGCATGTGGGGGTTACGAGTCTAGGTCCTCTCCTTGGCGTTCCTTCTCTGGGTCCACTAGAATCCCAAATGATGAAGCAGAAAGTGACCCTCTTCCTTCTGCATGCCATCTACTGCTCTTGGCTTACGGCCTGTGTGCTGAACACCTGCAAGGAAGACTGCTTTGTATTCACACCACTGTGGGACTAGAGGCTGAACACAGACTGGAGAAAGGTTTCCAGCTCTTGACCTGGTTAAATAGGTGAGTCTCCTGGAATAGTGTATCTTTATCAATAATGAAAAGCATTTTATACAGATAGGGCATAAGACACACAGCCACTTTTTTTTTCCTGCTCCTAAGAAAGGACAGGAAGCAACCTTTAAGAAGACACAATTTGACAGTAACACAACAAAAACATTAAAGGGTAATAGTTAAACTCCTGTCCAAACCTTCATGCTGTGTCACATAGCAAAGAGAGAAACCAAAGCTGCCGCAATTACTTAGAGGAGGAGAAATGACACAAGTACCCTGTGCAAAAGGAAGCAGAGGATACTGTCAATCAAATGTTCAGGTTGAGTCTATTGTTACCTCTGAAAATTGAGTTAGAAAAGCTTTATAAGACTTCGGAGTCGGAGTCGGAATATGTACTCATTTGCAAACAAAAGTAAATACTGGAAGAGAGGCCACGCCCCTCAGTGGATCTTGACTCTCAGTCCCAAACCAAACCCACATGTAAACTGCTATGGTTGGCCGGGCGTGGTGGCTCACGCGTGTAATCCCAGCACTTTGGTAGGCTGAGGCAGGCAGATCACAAGTTCAGGAGTTTGAGACCAGCCTGGCCAATATAGTGAAACCCCATCTCTACTAAAAATGCAAAAAATTAGCCAGGCGTGGTGGCAGGCACCTGTAATCCCAGCTACGGAGGCTGAGGCAGAAGAATCGCTTGAACCCGGGAGGCAGAGGTTGTAGTGAGCCGAGATTGTGTCATTGCACACCAGCCCAGGCAACAGTGTGAGACTCTGTCTCAAAACAAACAAACAAACAAACAAAACTGCTATGGTCGTGGGCAAGATAATCCAGTAGACTCCCTCAAGTTTAGATTCATACAGGCAATAAGACATTAGCGGAAGGGAAATGGCATGTTCTGAGGCTAGAATGACGTGCATATAAAATGGCCAGTGGGCCACAGGGTAATTTGGAGACATGGGGAGAGGTTGACAGTAACGTGAATTGAGGAACTCACAATGACAGAGGAAGGCAGACAGGTTACACTGCCTCAAAGCCAAAGATCTTCATTCCATCTGACCCCACCACCCATGCTCATGCGTGCAGCGCAGTACTCCTCTGCAGTCCAAAGAACTATAGGAAACCTGTCATGCATGGTAAATACCTTCCTGCATTTGATATGGAGCCTGGGATGTTCCTGAGACCCCTCCCCAAGGGGTGATTTGAAAATACACACTCAGAAAGTAAAGAATAGAAACCAGAGTTTAAAGGCCAAAGACATAGAGGGAAGGGTTTAAGTGTGAAATGACTCTCTAGTCCACAGCTTACTTCCAAGGGGAGTGGTCCTCAGCAGTAATCTCTGCATAAAATTGCAATGCTTTGTGCCCTGATCTCTGAGTGAATGTAGTCCTCATACTCTGCCCGTAATTAGTTTAATGAGAATCAGGGCTCCAGCCAAGGGTAAACACCATGGGCCAAGCATGAGAAATGCTGACTGTCTCTGAGGAGGCTCAGTACAAAACCCTGTTGCTGCAACAGTCAGTTTTCCAATCCCAGTGACAGAAACCCAGCTCAAAGGAGTATAAGCAACATAGGAAATGTATTAGCTCCTGAGAAGAGATGGATCCAGAGGCTCAAAGATTGTCTTTAAGGTTGCCTTTAGCTTTCCATCTCTCTGCGATTTCTCTTTGTACATTGGCTTCATTTTCTCCAGATGATGAAAGTGTCCTCTGTGCCCCTGTACCACTGGAGAAGATGGCTGCAAGCAGTTCCAAGCCATCCTTAGAGCATGTTATCCAAGAGGAGGGCGGAACTGCTCTCCTGTGGCTGCCACATCAATGCCTGAAGCAGACTCTGTTTGGCTGTGCTTGAGTCATATGCCCAGCTCTGTGCCAATCACTGTGACAAGGGCTAGAGAGCTACTCCTATTGGCTAGACTAAGGACAGGGCACCTTCCCTGCATTGGGGGAGGTGAGGTCAGCCCCACCTGAACCACATAGAATGGGTTCCAGGAAGGAAAGTGTGGTTTTATTTCCAAGAGAAGTGGGAGGTAAGCTGGGCAGGCAAAAACGACAAATGTCCTTTGCTTCTGGCAGATAGCAGAGCTCCGTTTTGGAGAAGGGTAAATTGACACAGCTAGATCCTCTGCTAGGATAAATTCTAGACATTCAGAAAGAGGGTAAATCTATTGGCCTTAAGTTGAAATCCAGATTCCATGAAAAGCACTGAACCCTCTCCTCACCCCCACCACCTTGGAAGCACTGGGACGCAGCAATGTTGAGAGGATGGGATTCTGTGCCACTGAGAGATGGCTCGCAGGTAACGTGGGCATGTCTCTTCCTTACATCCGTAAAGAGGCAAAATAAAAAATAACATAGCAGCACCAAATAACCTATCTTCCTGACCAGGGCCCTCCTACATTCTGCTGGCACAAGTGAATTCCCAGCTCCTGAACCCACGGACTCTCTCTCCTCCTTGTTGGTTGAGCAATGTCTGTATTTACTAAACAGGCCCAGTGAAGCAGTACATTCCTTCCAGACCCAGCACAGCCTCAGGCACAAAAGAGGTCCTTGATAAATGTTTGTTGAGGTCTTTTCCCAGCAGATGAAAGTAAATACTTTGGGAAGAATTTGGAAGAAAAGTGACCTGGCCTCCCTGTTGGTAGTTTTTCCTTTAGCTGGTGAAAGCTCCTTAAAGGGCCTGGATGGGCTGTTCCAGAAGACACTTACAAATGTAAACAGAGACAAATGCCCACAGCCCATGCACACCTGTTTCTCCCTGTTAATACTTAACAGTTAGTAGCTGTTAAGTATTTGATTATTCCTTTCCTACAAAAAAGCATTTCAAACCCAAAGGGAATATGGCTCATTTATTTGCTGAGTGGGACTGGAGGCCCATAGCCGCAGAAGATCCTGGCCCCACAGCAGCAGAGAGCAAGCTCAGAGTGCTGTCAGGTCTCTCCTGCTGCCTCTCGCCATGATGATGTAGTGGAAAAATGGTCAACAAAGCTATTTCCTACTGTGTGCTAAATGCCCATCATGGGAAGTCCCAGGTAAGTCCAGAAAAATATTTATATTGTGTTGTTATGGCTGAATTGTGTCTCCAAATTCATATATTGAAGTCCTAAACCCCAGTACCTCAGAATGTGACTGAACAGGCATACCTTGGGAATATTGTTGGTTGAGTTTCAGCCACTGAAATAAAACAAATATCACAATAAAGCCAGTCACACACATTTTTTTTTTGGTTTTGCAGTGCATATAAAGGTTATGTTTATACTATGCTGTAGTTTACTATGTGTGCAACAGCATTATGTCTAGAAAAAAATGAGCATACCTTAATTAAAAGATGCTTTATTACTAAAAAGTGCTAATGATCATCTGAGCTGTCAGGGAGTTGTAATTTTTTTGCTTGTGGAGGATCTTGCCATAATATTGATGACTGCTGACTGATCACAGTCGTAGTTGCTGAAAGCTGGGGTGGCTGTAGCAATTTCTTAAAATAAGACATGAAGTTTGTCTCATTGATTGACTCTTCCTTTCACGAAAGTTTTCTCTGTAGCATGAGATACTGTTTGATACCATTTTATTTTATTTTATTTTATTTTATTTTATTTTTTGGAGATGGAGTCTCACTCTGTCACCCAGGTTGGAGTGCAATGGCACAATCTCAGCTCACTGCAACCTCCACTTCCCAGGTTCAAGTGATTCTCCTTCCTCAGCCTCCGGAGTAGCTGGGACTACAGGCACATGCCAGCACACCCAGCTAGTTTTTGTATTTTTAGTAGAGACAGGGTTTTGCTGTGTTGACCAGGCTGGTCTTGATCTCCTGACCTTGTGATCTGCCCAGCTCGGCCTCCCAAAGTGCTTGGATTACAGGCATGAGCCACCATGCCCAGCTTTGATACCATTTTAACCAGAATGTCTTTCAAAATTGGTCTCAATTGAAAGAAATTGAAGAAGACACCAAAAAATGGAAAAATATTCCACGTTCATGGATTGGAAGACTAAATCTTGTTAAAATGTCCATACTACCCCAAAAAATCTACAGATTCAATGCAATTCCTACAAAAATACCAATGGCATTCTTTACAGAAATAGAAGAAACAATCCTAAATATATTGAACCACAAAATACCCAGAATAGCCAAAGCTATCCTAAGCAAAAAGAATAAAACTGAAGGAATCACATTACCTGACTTCAAATTATACTACAGAGCTATAGTAACCAAAACAGCAAGGTACTGGCATAAAAACAGACACATAGACCAATGGAACAGAATAGAGAACCCAGAAACAAATCCACACACCTACAGTGAACTCATTTTTGACAAGATGCCAAGAACATATACTGGGGAAAAGACAGGCTTTTCCATAAATGATACTGCGAAAACTAGATATCCATATGCAGAGGAATGAAACTAGACCCCTATCTCTCACCATATCCACAAATCAAATCAAAATGGATTAAAGATTTAAATTTAAGACCTCAAACTATGAAACTACTATAGGAAAACATTGGGGAAAATCTCCAGGGTATTGGTCTGCGGAAAAATTCCTTGAGCAATATCCCACAAACACAGGCAACCAAAGCAAAAATGGACAAATAGGACCACATCAAGTTAAAAAGCTTCTGCAGAGAAAATACAGTCAGCAAAGTGAAGAGACAACCCACAGAATGGGAGAAAATATTTGCAAACTACCCATCCCACAAGGGATTAATAACCAGAATACATAAGGAGCTCAAACAACTCTATAGGGGAAAAAAAATTTAATAATCCAATAAAAAATGAGCAAAAGATCTCAATAGACATTTCTCAAAAGAAGACATACAAATGGCAAACAGGTATATGAAAAGGTGCTCAGCATCACTGAGTATCAGAGAAATGCAAATCAAAACTACAATGAGATATACTCTCACCCCAGTTAAAATGGTTTATATCCAAAAGAAGGCAATAACAAATGCTGGCAAGGACATGGAGAAAAGGGAACCCCATATGCTGTTGGTGGGAATGTAAGTTAGTACAACCACCATGGAGAACAGTTTGGAGGTTCCTGAAAAAACTAAAAATTTAGCTGCCGTATGATCCAACAATCCTACTGAAAGTAAACCCAAAAGAAAGGAAATCAGTTCATCAAAGAGATATCTGCACTCCTATGTTTGTTGCAGCACTGTTTATAATAGCTAAGATTTAGAAGCAACCTAAGTGTCCATCAACAGATGAATGAATAAAGAAAATGTGGGGCTAGGCACAGTGGCTCACGCCTGTAATCCCAGCACTTTGGGAGGCCGAGGCTGGTGGATCACGAGGTCAGGAGTTCAAGAACAGCCTGGGCAAGATAGTGAAACCCCGTCAGTACTAAAAATACAAAAAAATTAGCCAGGCATGGTGACAGATGCCTGTAATTCCAGCTACTTGGAAGGCTGAGGCAGAGAATTACTTGAACCCGGGAGGCGGAGGTTTCAGTGAGCTGAGATTGTGCCACTGCACCCCAGGCTGGGCGACAGAGAAAGACTCTGTCTCAAAAAAATAAATAAATAAATAATAAATGTCATACATACACATATAGAGTACTATTCAGCCATAAAAGAAAAGAGTGAGATCCAGTCATTTGCAATAATATGGATAGAACTGGAGATTATTATGTTAAGTGAAATCAGCCAGGCACAGAAAGACAAACTTTGTATGTTCTCACTTATTTGTGGGGTCTAAAAATCAAAACAATTGAACTCATGGACACAGAGTAGAAGGATGGTTACCAGCTGGGAAGGGTATTAGGAAACATGGGGGGAGGTGTGGATGGTTGATAAGCATTTAATGTAAAAAAACAGAATGAGTAAGACCTACTGTTTTATAGCACCATAGGATGAGTATAGTCAATAATAACTTAATTGTACATTTTTATTTTTATTTTTTATTTTTTTGAGACAGAGTTTCACTCTTGTTGCCCAGGCTGGAGTGCAGTGGTGCAATCTTGGCTCACTGCAACCTCCGCCTCCCGGGTTCAAGTGATTCTCCTGCCTCAGCCTCCCAAGTAGCTGGGATTACAGGCATGCACCACCATGCCCAGCTAATTTTGTATTTTTAGTAAAGACGGGGTTTCTCCATGTTGGTCAGGCTGGTCTTGAACCCCTGACCTCAGGTGATCCGCCCGCCTCAGCCTCCCAAAGTGCTGGGATTACAGGTGTGAACCACTGTGCCTGGCCGAATAGTACATTTTTAAATAATGTAAAGAGTGTAATTGGATTGTTTTTATAACTCAAAGGATAAATTCTTGAGCGGATGTGTTAGGAATAAGGCTCAAAATCCTAAGGAAATTGAACACTCAAACAAAGGATTCTTAGCGAAGCAATTTTACTTCTGTGCAGAGGGATGCCTCCTTGGCCAGTCGCCATGAGAGCACACCTGAACAAAGGGGCATGAGAGCCTTTATTCCTGACGCAAGTCCTGCCCCTGTACCCTTTCCTCATTGGCCGGGGTCAGGTGGTACAATCTAAACTAATCCGGTTGGCTAAACATATGATTTTTTTAGATAGGGTGGGCACATAAAATAAAGTGGAGAGGAAGGGGAAAGGGTGTCTGTAATGAGCTAGAAAGTCCTCTTTCCAAATAAGGAAAGGAATGTGAGCTGGTACTCATAACGCTTGGTACTGTGGCGTGCCTGCGCACCTAACAAAGGCAAAACGGAAAAAAAGGAGAAAAAAGGAGAAAAAAAGAGGGTGGGTAACTATGAATTAAAGAATAAAAGATTGATCAGATTATTTGAAGAGAAACCTCATCATATACCACAGATGGAAAAAAAAATTGGACACAGTCCTCTCAAACCCTGTCACTGCTTTAGGCTTCTGTAATATTCTAAAACCTTTGTGGTCATTTTAACAATGGTCACAGCATCTTCACCAGGAGTGGATTTCATCTAAAAAAAAAAAAAAAAAACAAAACAAACAAACAAAAAAACACTTTCTTGGCTCATCCATGATAAGCAATTCCTTATCCATTCAAGTTTTATCATAAAATTGCAGCAATTCAAAATGTCAAACTGAGGCAAAATTAGTGTAAGTAGAGAGTTTATTTGGGTCAAGTTTGAGGATTGCAACATAGGAGCATAGAATCAAATTGCCCTGAACATATGCTCTAATTAGCAGCAGGTATAAGTGGGTTTTTAAAAGAAAAAAGAAGAGCAAGTTCTGAAGGTGTTTACCAAGAATTTATATTAAAATAACATAAGCTATTCATTGGCTATACATTGTCCTTTGTATCACAAATTCCAGGAACAAGAAGATCATGGGTGAGGCAGCTGCTCAGAAACAAATGTCTTTCAACAATTACCCCCAGGCATGGGTAGGTATAAGTCTTTCTGGTCTGAGCTGTTTTTCTTTTCTCAAGTTACATCTTCAGGTTCCACTTCTAATTCTAGTTTTCTTGCTATTTCTACCATATCTGCAATTACTTCCTCCACTGAAGTCTTAAGCTCCTTGTCAACCATGAGGGTTGGAATCAACTTCTTCCAAACTCCTGCTAATGTTGATATTTTGACCTCCTCCCATGAATCACAGATGTTCTTAGTAACATCTAGAATGGTGAATCCTTTTCAGAAGATTTTCAATTTTACTTTGCCCAGGTCCATCAGAGGAATCACTATCTGTGGCAGCTATAGCCTTACAAAATGTATTTCTTAAATTACCAGACTTGAAAGTCAAAATTACTCCTTGATCAATGGGCTACAGAATGGATGTTGTGTTAGCAGACATAAACACATTAATCTCCTTGTACATCTCTATCAGAGATCTTGGGTGACAAAATACATTGTCAATGAACAGTAATATTTGGAAAGAAATCTTTTTTTCTGAGCAGCAGGTCGCAACAGTGGGCTTAAAATACAATTGACCCTTGAACAACACAGGTTTGAACTATGCAGGTCCACTTATCCATGGATTTCTGCTCAAGGAGAGGGAGAGATTGGGGAACTGCCAATCAGTGGAGCAATCAGAACACACAAATTCATCAATTAAGTTTGCTGTTTTATATAGGTACAGTCCATGGCACCCCAAAACAATCATAATAGTAACATCGAGTATCACTTATCACAGATTATCATAACAGAAAAAATAATGAACAAGTCTGAAATATTATGAGAATTACCAAAATGTGACACAAAGCCATGAAGTGAGCACATGTATTTGGAAAAATGATGCCAATAGACTTGCTCAATGCTGGGTTGCCACAAACCCTCAATTTGTGAAAAAAGCAGTTTCTGTGAAGCATAATAAAGCCAAGTACAATAAAACAGATAAAATATGTCTGTATTTGGAGATAGGGTCTTCTAAGAGGTAATGAAGTTAAAATGAGGTCATTTGGGTGGGCCCTAATTCCATATGACTGGTGTCCTTATAGGAAGAGGAGACTAGGACACGGACACACATCGAGAAAGATCATGGGAAGACACAGAGAGAAGGCAGCCGTCTGTAAGCCAAGGAGAGAGGCCTCACAAGAAACCAACCCTGCTGACACCTTAATCTCAGGCTTCTGGACTCACGAATTGTGAAAAAAAAAAAATTAATTTCTGTTGTTTAAACCACACAGTCTGTGGAATTTTATTATGGCAACCCTAAAAACTAATACATGTGCTTTACAATTTACAAAGCTTTTTCTCATAAACTCGTTTAAATGTCAAAACAATCCAGTTGCGCAGAGTATTATCCCCATTTTACTGAGGAAACAGACTCAGAAACTAATAGCCTAACGTCCCAGTGTTCATGCGTGGCAGATTTTGGCTTGGATCCAGACTTTCTGACTCCAGATCCCAGGTTCTTTCAAATGAACTCTGTTTCCTTTTTGCAAAGTGCTCAGCACCATCGTTTTCATGTTTTTCTGTCCATCAGCCATTTACAGGCAGGCTACAATCTGTTCCCTTAGTCTGGAGAGTGGCTAAGTGATGTGCTTAGGCTTACACAATGAGTTGGTGGCAGGAATGGTATTAAAGTGGCTCCTGAAATTCTGGGTCATTTTAAAGTGATGATTTCTTAATTTTCCTGTTCACTCAGCCAAATTCAAAGAGTCAAGGATTTTTGAGTAGCTTTGTTCCTGGTGCAGAACAGCCCCACCTCTAATGTCTACTTCAGGTGAGCCTGCCGCAGGTGATCCAGGAATTCAAACGCTGAGCACCTGAAGAATCTAAGTTATTTACAGGCCTCACTGCAGGGTTTGGCCCTTAAGGAGCTGTTTTGGGCCCTTAAGGAGCTGCTTTTGGCCCTTAAGGAGCTGCTTTTAACTGTCACCACCTACTGGGAGGATAATTGACCAGGGAACTGAGTTCGTCTGTGGTTTGCTTTCAACTTAAAATAGTCATATCTTTTCCTGAGAATATTGATTGAAAAGTTGATATCAAAATAAGCAAAGGAGCTACACTAGCAAATTTCAGTGAATGAGGCTTTTTCCTCTTTGGGGGAAGGTGAAAGTGCATGATAGGTTAGTGAGCAAGATTTTAAAATGATTTTCTTATTTAGTGCACAAACAGCAGGAAAAGATACCAGAATACATGAAAGGGGAAATTGTACCCACCATCCTCCCACCCCATTTTTTCTCTTTTTTGGTGTGTTTTTCTTTATCCAGATATACATATAGTTTTTACCACTGCACTCATGGCAGAGATGAGATTTTATATTTTCACTGAACATCATAATATAACCATATTTCCAAGTCACCACATAATCTTCATGATTTTTATATATATATATATATATATATATATATATATATATCTCCTCATGATTATATATATCCTCATGATTTTATATATATATATATATAATTTTTTTTTTTGAGACATGTGTGCCTTTATTAGCTGAGCCACTGCTTGAGGGGGATGAAGCAGGAGGAGTGGGTGGCCCTGAAGCCGGCTGTGCTTCACGGGCTTGTAGGTGATGGAGAACTCGCCCAGGTAGTGGCTGATCATCTCCGGCTTGACCTCCACCTGGTTGAAGGTCTTGCCGTTGTAGACGCCCACCATGCTGCCCACCATCTCGGGCACGATGATCATGTCCCGCAGGTGAGTCTTCACCACTTCCGGCTTCTCCATGGGCGGCACCGCCGTCTTGGCCTTGCGCAGGCGCTTCAGCAGAGAGTGCTGCTTCCGCCGCAGGCCCCAGTTCAGCCGGCACCACTGGTGCGCACTGTACAGCTGTATCAGCTGCTCGTAGGACATGTCCAGCAGCTAGCTGCTCGAGGTCCACGCCGCAGCAGGTGAACTTGCGGAAGGTCCGCTTCTTCTTCTGCTCTACCTCTGCCATCTTGCTGGATCCTCAGAAAAATGATTTATATTTTTTAATGGCCACATAATATTACTTGAAATGATGCAACCATCGTTTGTGCAACCAATCCCTTTTCCTTAGTCATTTAGGTTGTTTCCAATTTTTCGCTTCAGGTGATACATCCTCTTCGCAGACAGCAGAAAAACATCAGATTTGTGATTTAATTGGGAGTTTTCTGGGATCGAACAGTGGCTTCGTTTACAGGTGGGTTGCCGAGCGGCCATGGTAACTGATGGAGCAGTCACTATGGCAGTCAGTAGGGCTGAGTGGGAAGGGTGCCCTGGGAGCCTGGAAGCGTGGGAACCAGCAGGGCCGCAGTCGTCCATTTCCCACCCAGTCTTTCCTGTCTCTCGGGGATCCCTGGCAGTTGCTCAGCTGATGCTGAATTGAGAAGCAGCCTGTGAACATGAAGGGTATATGGCAGAGGATCCCAATTTGGCTTCTGCAAGAAGTAGAACCAACAATGAGCTACCTGGGGAGGCCCTGTGCCTCCGACTCTTGCTACTCCTTGGAGCCTCGGGTCTCCGAGAATAAACACCCAGTATACTCTAGGGACCTAACCGCTAATCCCAGGAGCCCGAGCTAAAGAGAAATAGTGTGTTTTGCTTGTTTCATCAAGCTGAAGTCTGGCTCACCTGATCCTGGCTTATTTTTTGCTTCTCTGCAACTTCTGCCTGAGGGGACAGGCAGTCCCAGCGTATACACAGCCTGGGCACAGCCCTCCAGGTCCTGCTGGGGCCAGAAATTCCTTCTGGCTTTACCACTTCTCATCCTGGTGCTTATTGCCTGAGCCCTTTGGGAAAGGCACCCTGTAGATGAGAATTGCTGACAGTTTGGGGGAGTGAAAACGTGCAGGAAGGCAGAGGATGTTCCCGTTGCGTTTAAGATCAGCTGTATTTGGAGAGAATTCAAAATGCAAGCGTACTTATACAGTCATTGGAGGTCAAGTTAATTTATTGCCTCCTGGTTACAGCATCAGTCCCGCCCCTTAGAACGAGCTGAATTTTGGAGTCTGGTGGCCAGGCAGAATCCTATGGAACCTTCTCCAGCATCTTCTTCATGGTCGATCTCAAGGTCACTCAGGGCTTGTCTTGACTAGTAATAATAGAAGAAGCCAGCACTTTTAGAGTCTCTCTTGCTTAGTACCCTATGAAATGCTTTACATACAATATCTCAATCCTCACAAGAACCCTATAAAGAAAGGATTATTGCTGCCTCCATTCTATAAATGAAAAAACTAAGATTCAGAAAGGTCAAGTAACAAACCCCAAGTCACAGAGCTGGTAAGTGGCACGAAAAAAAACTCAGATTCGGGCAGGCTTGCATGTACACTCTCCCTGTGAGGGATACTGCCTCCTGCTAGCCTAGCCACAACCAAAGGAAAGTAATAATAGCTCAACCCTTCATCAGTGCCAGGCACTTTGCTAAGGTGTTTGCTTGCGTTCTTCTAACTCTTGAATGAGGAAACTGAGAATCAGAGAGATTAATTCCTTTCCCCAAAGTCACACAGCTAGTATGACAGAAACTATTTTCCTCTAAAATCTAATTTCTCCTTATTGTACAGTAGTAGACCCTCATTTTTAGCTGAGCATGTGGCCTTCTAGAGTTATGACTACATTCTCCAGACTCTGTTGAAGCTAGGTGTCCATGTGACTAAATTGTGGGCAATAGGATATAAGCAAAAGCGGTATGTGCAACTTCCTGGAACTCTCAGCCTTCTCTCCGCTGCTGAAATGCAGACGTGACAGCTTGAGCCAGAGGGTGCCAGCCAGTGCCATGATGTGACCAAGGCCATCAACAGCAGAGCCGCAAGGGAGCAGGAGCCTTGGTCCCTGAGGACATGCTGGAGCTAACTTGGGAATCCTGAGGTGGCCACCTCCAAAATGTTACATGAAAGAGAAAAGTAAACATCTAACTTGCTTAAGCTGCTATTGTTTTGGGGTTTGTCATTTACAGCCAAACCTAATCCTCATTAAAATAGTGGTGGAACTGGAATTTGAACCAGTTTACTCCCAAGACCAAACTTAACCTCTTTGACATATTATTTCTACTGTAAAACTCTACGCCCACACCAGTTCATCTTTAAAAAAAAAAAAAAATTTATTTTCTCACATTTCTGGAGGTTAGATCCAATATCAGTGCGCCACCAGGGTTGGTTTCTGATGAGGTCTCTCCTTCCTCATGGTGGGTGGCTGCCTTCTGGCTGTGTCTTCATATGGCCTCTTGGCTATTCTTGTGTGGAGAGGTTCCCTGGTGTCTCGTCCTCTTCTCATGAGGACAACAGTCCTGTGGGATAAGGCCTTGCCCTTATGACCTCACTTAACCCTATTACTTTCTTATAGACCTTATGTTTACTGGTTTATTATAAAGGATACAGATGAAGAGACACATAGAGCGTGGTTTGGGGCTAGGAGTGTGGAGCTTCTGTGTCCTCTCTGGATGCACCACCCTCCATGTGTTCAGCTATCTGGAAGCTCCTGGTTCATCTTATTACCAGTGTCTTCCATTCCCTTCCTTTGAGGAGTCAGTCAATATGTACCAAGTGCCAGGCTCTGTGCTAGGGAATAAACCAAAAATATAAATATGAATGAGGCTTGGTTAGTGCCCTCGAGGAGCTGGCAGTCCATCTTGGAAGACAGATGGCTAAGCTAATAAATGAAAGACAATGCAGTGAGTCGTGTAATAAAGACATGGGCCCAATGTTGTGGGAGCCCAGAGGAGTGGCTCACTGCCCCCGGGGTCTGGGAAGGTTTTGCCGAGAGTGCAGCAGACAAGGTGGACGTGCTAAGTGGCTGCTGGAGTATGAAATGTATTTGCTTCTCAGTCACCAGTACATTTAAACCACGGTCCTCCAAAGACTCTTGCTTGTCTAGAACATAGCCTACTCTCCTTACCCTAGAATTTTAGACTCTAATTCTTCAGCAGCGGAGACCCCTAGAGTCAGCCCCTTAGGAATCCAGACTTTTTCTTCTTGCTGGACCCAAGGCCGTGAAGAAAAATGTGTGTTGGACCCGGAAGTTCAGCTAACTCATGACAAGGAAGAAAATGGAAGCAGGAAGCCGGAAGGCCACTATCAGCCGGGCTAGACAAATAAAGATTCCTCAGCATAGCTGTGAAAGCCAGAATGAGTTGTAATTACTCTGTGCTTGGAAATGGTGTTTCCAGTGTGACCTTTCTACCTGCTCTTCTAACGGTGGAGCTGCTGTCACTGTTTATAAAGCCCAGACCTGGCTTTCCCTGATTGGAGCCAATTAGAATAACCCCAAGAGGGCAGCCAGGGCCGCTTCACTGCTAATGAGGGCAGCTGACGTGTTGGCGTCGGCTTATTTGCCCGGTGAAGAGGAGATGGGAAAGCTTATCCCGCCAAGCGGTCCCTTTCTTTCCCCTCCCAGTGCCTCCAATAAGTCTATTAACTATTCTGAGCACCAGCTTTCAAAAAAGGGATGAGATCTACTGGGGGAAGAGACTATTTCCTGGGTAATGAGGCCAAGCAACACTTTTCCTTACTCAGCATATATTTATTAAGCAACTACTATGTGCCAGGCGTGGTGCCAGGGGTCGCACATAATAATGAATACGATACAGGCAGAGGCAAATTTACCATGAAGTTAATGAAACTTAAGCTTTAGGGCTGCCCATTAGGACAAGTTCTGAAGGGGACCCTAGTAATGTGTTCGTGGCGGTCACGTTTTGTGAAACTTGCCAAAGTCAGCTATTTGAACCACACTCAGTTTAGACTGCTATCTCTTTCCCCTCAGACTTCCCCTCTGTCACACTCCCCTTCATGTTGCCCAGAACTGAAGTGGCCATGGACATTTTTGTGATCTGGCTAGGGGGAAGTTAAGTTGGGGATACAGTTGTTTTATGGGACATATTTAGGTGGTTTGCAGTCACTTTTATGTAGAGTTGGTTTTTGCTAGCCATCTCAGTGCAGAAATGGCTCCCAGAAACATGCTTACTGCCTGTGGTGCCAACTTATCTGGCATTATGACACTCAAATGCCGGGCCAAAGACCATATGAGATTTGCGAGTGTCCTATGCAACCTGGCCCTGGAAGCATGTGGGTAATGGAGGAGAAACAAGATTTGAACTGTATAGAGCCAAAAGCTAGTCTGTAGGAAATTCTTCCAATCATCGGATGTGTAAGATTGTAAGTGCAGAATCCAGTTCTCACTGATACCTAGTCATATGCATTAGGCATATATATATTGAGTAATGCGGCGATACAAGTACATGCTTTCCTTTTTTTCCCCTTTTTAAAATGACAAATATAATTTATCAGAATTCCTGTGTTCGTAGGATACAAACTGTAGCGGTCCTACAAACAAGTATGTCTGGCTGTGGTCACATGTGTTTATGCATCCCATCAATCATAAATATAATTTTTATTATGCCAGAGGACTTAATTCTCATTCCATTCTCTATATGGAAAATATTACAAAATCATTACATATGATGAGGCAATAAGAGTATTATTCAGCCAAAAAATGTGGAGAAAGACTTATTGCAGTGTGTTAGGCAGTTAACTAAGAAAAACATGATATTATTTTTCTATATTTTGTGATATTTGAAGTATTTTTCCACTTTAAAAGCTTTACAATTTATTTATTTTCCCAATCTACATAAAGGTCCACTTTCCTGCCTAATTTTGTTTCTGTAATTTTGTGTTTTTCTTAAAGAGAACCCTCGGCCGGGTGTGGTGGCTCATGCCTGTAATCCCAGCACTTTGGGAGGCCAAGTGGGGGGTGGATCACGAGGTCAGGAGTTCAAGACCTGCCTGGCCAAGATGGTGAAACCCATCTCTACTAAAAACACACAAAAATTAGCCGGGCACGGTGGCAGACACCTGTAATCCCAGTCACTTGGGAGGGTGAGGCAGAAGAATCGCTTGAACTCGGAGGGTGGAGGTTGCAGTGAGCCGAGATCGCGCCACTGCACTTCAGCCTGGTGACAGAGTGAGACTCCGTCTCAAAAAAATAAATAAATAAAACCTCAAATTGTCTAAGCTTCAGGCCCCACAAAACCTGAGTTCACCCCTGGAACATACAATTCTTTATTCCTTGTCATGGTCTAATGGGAGAACCCTATTGCCTCCCTCCTTTACCACATATGTAACCAGTGCCTGCTGCATGCCAGATTTCTGAGCTAGGGATGGGCACACTATCATGGATAAAACAGACCTGGCCCCTTCCCACGTGGAGAGAAGCAGACAGACATCAAATAAACGAAGTCATACAGGATGCTGTGGGAGAGAAAAGGGGTGGGGACCTCTTGCAGGAAATAATGTTTCAGCAGAGACTCAAAGAATATGTAAGAGTTACCCAGATGAAGAGTAGAAGGATGAACGTGCAAGTGGAAAGAACAGCATGAGAGAAGGCCCTGAGGTGGGAAGGGCTTGGTGCATTACAGGTACTCAGTAAATATCTATTGAATTAATTTTTTAAAATTATGATTTGGGCAGGGCCAGGGTGCTATGGGAGCATATAAGAATGGCACAGAACCCTTGCCTACCCCAACCAGCAACAAAGGAATGAGGAATGAGAAAGAGTTACGTTAGAATTGACTTCCTGACTTTCAGGAGGAGAAATAGCATGTGCAAAGGCCCTGGGGTCAGAGAGAGATCAGAGAGCAGTTCTGTATGGCTGGACCATAGTGGGATGGATTTGAGGAGGGGCATTTGTTGAGGGGAGAATGAGAATTGGCAAGAAATGAGGCTGGAAATGTAAACCAGAGCCAGATCATGAAGGGCCTCATAAGCCATGGTAAGCTGTGTAGATTTCATTTGGATGCTGTGGTGAGGTGGTGTTAGGGAAGGAAATCATAGGCTCAGGCCAGCACGTTGGAAAGATCTGGTTGCATGGTCAAGAGAGGACTGGATGGGCCGGGCGCGGTGGCTCACGCCTGTAATCCCAGCACTTTGGGAGGCTAAGGCAGGCGGATCACAAGGTCAGGAGATTGAGACCATCCTGGCTAACATAGTGAAACCCCATATCTATTAAAAATACAAAAATTAGCCAGGCGTGGTGGTGGGCCCCTGTAATCCCAGCTACTCAGGAGGCTGAGGCAGGAGAAAGGCGTGAACCCAGGAGGCGGAGCTTGTGGTGAGCCGAGATTGCACCACTGCACTCTAGTCTGGGTGACAGAGTGAGACTCCATCTCAAAAAAAAAAAAGAGGACTGGATGAGACGGCAAAGTTGTTAGAGAAATTCAGGCAAGAGAGGGTGGTGGCCACAGGTAGTGTGGCATGGGGAGAAAGAAGTAGACAGCTCCAAAGGGGAACATTGTGTACCTGATGGAGTTAGGTAGGCAAGATAAGAGTCACATCAGGGCAGACGCCAGGCTGGTGCATAGTTCCTCTTTCTTCCTGAAGCTAGCTAACCTCATGGGAGACAGGGTTCCTGGTTTACAATGGAGGGTGTTACAGGACTGCCTGCATCCTTGGCTACTGGTCACCATGCCCTGCTTATTTTCTGCTCACTCTGTCCTCTGACTTTTCACTGGGTTTGGCCAATGGGGAGCTCACAAATACTGCAGAGCAGAGGAACAGGGTCCCCCATAAGGACCTTGCCTCCCCATGAGGAGGCCCAAGGCTGGCTGTGCCCCTCAGTCTCTCTCAAGGTAACCTTGTCATCTCTACCTTCCTCTACATGACTTTTTTACTTCCTGGTTTCAATGTCCACTCCCTCCCCTTTCACTTGGGCCTGGGGTGGTATACAGCTCAGCTTACGGGCTGCAAAAACACCCCAACATCCCTTCTGGTTCCCACGACTTCACCCACACCTTTGTTAAATTCACCCTCCTTGAGTTACTCTAATGAGTGTGACATCTGTTTCCTGTTGGGACTCTGAGTCACACACTTCTGACACCAGGCTGAATTGTTCATAAAATAATTCCCAGTTCCTTTAAATCAGACCACACCCCCGCAAGCCCAACAGCCAATAAGGCAAGAACACACGCTCCAACCGTTTACCTGGTGTGCAATCAGGATCTTCGTACGCCTCCTTCCCCTGGTCAAGTTCTGCTCCTAGCCACCCAGATTTGAGTAGGGCTCAGATTCCCCAGCTGTGACCCTGGGGATTTTCCTAGCGCTGGGCACCGCCCACCACACTGCCCCACACAGGATGCCGCTGCCAGGTTCGGCGCCTTGGGCTAGGACAGGGTATGCAGGGACAAGGGAAGGTAGGTAGCCTCAAGGTTCCTTTTCACCAACCCTGCTGAGACCTGGGGATCCCATCATCAAGTGGCCACTGACCTCCCCTGAGAGGGCTGGAAAAACTTGCAAAATGGTTCTGACTCACTGTTCTCTAGGCTTTCTGCTGACCTGTGATCACCTGCGTGTCTGTCTGGGTGTGTATAAATGGGTCTGTGTCTGTGGTATTTTTGTCTGTTTTTCCCTCCCCAACTCCAGAATGTAAACACACTGAAGGAAGGGACTTGTCTTGTTCTCCACTGTATCCCAGTGCCCAGCCCAGTGCCTGGGACACAGTAGTTAGTGGATAAGTATTTGTTGACCAACAGACCAGTGACTGGTCTCTCATCATCTGTTTACAGTCTTCCCCCAGACAACATAGAGCTCCACCGATTAGATTTCCTAATTACATTCCTTTTCAGTCTTGCCTCCCTGAGATGAGCCTTGTCAGCATCGTGAATATTTCCAGCAACTCCTCAATCACACATTTATAGCTTTTTTATGGGATACTCCTACAACCTGATTAATGTCTTTATTGCCCTAAGCACTGACAAGTTTCCAGGGACTCGCACATGAAATTCAAAATAAAATTTTATAGCACATGAAATTCAAAATAAAATTTTATTTTTTGGTTTAACATGAAAGTTTATGCTAAAATTTTAAAAAGCAACTTTCTAGATTTTCTGCCTGCAAAATTGTGAATAAGCTCATTACAGCTGAACTTATCCTTCTTTCTCTCTGTTTGCTGGTGCCCTAGGCAACTGTTTGGTTTGTCTATCGGGCATTAGTTATTTTCATATACGAGTAATTCCATTACTAGTTTTTCACAAGCCAGAATGGAGTTCTTGGGAGCATGGAGACGACAGGGAAGAGTCAATGTCCCATTACCCCACATGTGTTGTTTTTCAACCTAGGCACTACTGGCTGGACATGGGACTAACCCGCTCATTGCAGGACATTTATCATTTCTGAGTTCCAGGCGCTAAATGCTGCTAGCATCCCCCAGTCATTGTAACAATTAACAACAAAAGGGCCTCCAAAATCTCCCTAAGGGAGCAGTTCTACCTCAGGTCAAGAAGCATCATTCCCGGCGTGGCTGAATGTAGGTTAAAAGAATGTTCTTTGAAAGGTCCTTCCTTACCCTGCATGTCTGGAATGCACACCCCTTTCTGTTCCTCCTCACTGATGGGACCCAGGTTCTATAAGACCATTCCTGGGCAATGGAGCCCACAACTTCTCTCTACTGTGAGTAAGAACAGTGTGATTAGTGCCACTCCTTAACATTTTGTCATGTGGCATGACTCTCATTATAACATCACCTTTCATGTTAATTAGCTCTCAGAACATTTCAAAATCTGCATGTGTGTCTCTCTGACTAAGTTATGAGCTCCCGGGGGCAGAAGCCATGTTTTATAA